>NC_000020.11:42072294-42375325 GCF_000001405.40 Homo sapiens | reverse complement strand
ACCGTGGCACCCCTTGTCTTTCCTAGTAGAATGTAACCTCTCTGAGGGCAGAGACTGTGTCTCACTCTTCCTTGTATCCTTGCCACCTGATGGGCAGTCAGTAAAGGATTGTTGGATATAACACAGACATGACTGTCCCCTTCCATTAAGAAAGACTTTCCCTGTCCCCCCGACACACACACCCCAATTACAAATACATTACTTTTTCTTTAGAAATTGATATTGAATTTTGTCAAATACATTTTGGAGTCTTTGGGATTAACTTCAAGCTATGGCTAAAGGTAATTACTTTGGTCGAATGTTAATTACAATAATCCTGGTGGAATTTCTGGAATAGATTCTTATTTGTAATAGTATATTATTCTTTTAAAGTTGATATGCTGGTCTATAATTTTGTTTTTGGTTATTGGTTTTGTTTTGCTGTGATTCTGCTCTCTGTGTCAGATTCTAGTTGTTACTAACTTCTTGTAAGAAGCTTCCAGCCATGAGATTAACCCCAAAAGATATATAAAACCCCATCAGCAATGCATGAAACTCTCACTCCAGCAACACTCTGTATTATCATTTTAAATTATCTTTACTGTTTAGAAAAGCAAACCTAGATATCTAATATAAACTTGCAAGTATTTGATTTCTGGTGAGGTGGAATCTCTTTTCCCCCCATTGGTAATATGTATCTTGGTGAATTTCCTGTTCATGTCATTTATCATTGTTTTTCTATTTGCATGTTCTTCTTTTTTATTGATTTGTAAGAGCTTTTTCATATTTGAAAATATTGACGTTCTCTGCCATATATGTTTATGTATTTTTCATTTTGTTGTTTCCCTTTAATATTATTTGATTGTAAGTTTTAACATTATTACCGTATGATTTTTAAACTCTATCACTGGGTTTATTAAGGTACATTTTCTTCATTTACTTGCGTGTTTAAAAAGTCCAGACCAGAGATCAAACAACTAGCCACAGCTATTTACTTCTAATAAATGTGTGGCTTTATTTATTTTACGTTTGACACTTGATTTAATGAGGTTTCCCCTTGTCCACAGACCACACCTGACCTTTTCCTTGAACCTCAGAGGGCAGCAGACCCTGCCTCTGAAAAGTTCTTGAGAAGAAAGAGCTGGTGTTGAGAGTGAGACAGATGGGCTATGGCAGTGATGCTCTCTGCTCAGGGAAACTGCCACATTTCCCTGCAGCTGGCAGACGCTGAAACACACTGAGGTCATTGCTTTTTTATTTAGATGTTAGGGGTTAGAGGTGCTGACTTGCACCTGTTCTGCCTCCTAGACTGTCACTTGCCCTCTCTGCTCCCACCTCCCTGGAGCCCCCAGTTCCCAAACAGGGTGACAGACCCCACCCCAGCACCCTCTGGCCTCAGCTCAGGTTCTCCGCCTGGTTCCTGCATGACTCATGCTGTGAGGTGCTTCATTGGCATCTTTGACCTGTGGTTCCTGATGCAGGTCTTACTGGTGACCCATTCTGGGATTCATGAACTGTAGGGTGGTACAGGGCAAGGAGAGCTGGACTTGGACTCAAACAGTGTGCATGTGAAATCTGACCTTTCATTCTCTGGTTTTGGTATATCCACAGCTTTCCTCTCCTCCCTGCACATGGTGTCACACCGTTCTGCATGCTACACAGAATTGTGGTCAGGGTCAAGTCATTGCGAATGAGACGCCTCTATATGTATGTCCATAATCTCTATTATTACAACTGCGAATTCATATTGGTATCAACAGGTTCATTTATAGTCTGAGGTTGCTGCTGCTGGCCACTGCTAGCATCAAAGGCTGTTAGATGCATCCATGCGGGAGACAGGTCATTTGGGGATGTGACAATCAAAAAGGAGTGGATTCTGTTCCCTCTGAGAGTTCTTGTCAATGATAGGATCCTGTCAGTTTACAAATAAAAAATCTAAATATTTAGAAAGCACAAGCTTCTGCCTGAAAATAAGGATTAAAAATGAATATTTATGAACTGATAGTTCTGCAACTCTGTCCTCAAAATGCTTCCTTTGGTGACACTTACAAGGCTGTCACTCTTTGAACAGAAGCCAGAGCCCAGCCTGGCAGCATACCATTAGTTCCATGACCTTGACTAAGTCACTCACCCTCTCTGAGCCTGTCTCCTCAGCAGTAAAGTTGGAAGGGTGGTACTTCACTCCTGGTGTTACTCTGCAAAGTAAATAACGCAATGTATACTGCAGAGCCTAGTGAAATGCTAGGCACACAGTAGGTACTCAGCAAAATGTGCGTGTCCTCCATAGGCCCTATTTCACTGAGATCCCTGTCATTTCTTCCTGCCTAGGATGTGGCAGAAGCCTCTGTGTTTTGTTATATTTTAGTTAGACATTGTTTTAGTCCATTCAGGTGGCTGTAACAAAATACCACACACAGGATAACTTATAAAGAACAGAAATTTTTTCTTGCAGTTCTGGAGGCTGGGAGGTCCAAGATTAAATTGCCAGCAAGTTAGGTGTCTGGGGTGGGTTCTCTTTCTCGTAGATGGCAAACTTCATGCTGCATCCTCACATGGTGAAAAAGGAAAGGTGTCTCTCTGGGGTCTCTTTTATAAGGGCGCTAATCCTTTTCCTGACAGTTCTGCCCTCCCAAAGGTCCCACCTTTTAATATTATCTTTTTCAGAGTTAGGTTTCAACGTATGAATTTGGGGGGACTTTCAAACTTTAGCAAATATCCTCTAAATTGAATTAAAAACCCTTTATCAGAATCGGGAAAACCCTGGCTTGGCATAGTGGCTCACGCCTGTAATCCCAGCACTTTGGGAGGCTGAGGTGGGTGGACCACTTGAGGCCAGAAGTTCAAGACCAGCCTGGCCAACATGGTGAAACTGCATCTCTACTGAAAATATACAAATTTAGCTAGGCATGGTGGTGCATGCCTATAGTCCCAGCTACTTAGGAGGCCGAGACAGGAGAATCGCTTGAACCCAGGAGGCAGAGGTTGCAATGAGCCAAGATTGTGCCACTGCCCTCCAGCCTTGGTGACAGAGCAAAACTCCATCTCAAAAAAAAAAAAAAAAAAAAAAGAGTTAAGAAAACCCTGTCTTCTGTTTAACAGTCACTCTCCAGTCCAGAACCCCTATTTTCTGACCAACTGTCTTGCTCCTCTGTCTTTAATTGTCTCCCTTCACTTGGAAACATAGCCAAGGGCTGATGGATCTTCTCATCTTTGAAGGTTGGACTCTTCATGCTTTTATTACATCTTGGATATTAGGGAAGTAAGGAATGTTTGGAGTCTCTTGATACAGGGTGACTCCACTCTCCCCCCAGTACCCAAAATAGCCTGAAGACTAGCTGCATAAACATCCTAGGAGTAGAGAAGTCTTGCTAAAACTGCTGATGTCCTGACTACATTCTGGACCAACCTACATGGAGACTCAGCCCCAACCACCTGCCATATGATCCCTCTAAGGTGACCCCAGTCTTACTCCCTAGTTCAACTGGACAGGGGTAGAAAGACTACAATTTAGCAGCTCACCTGGACACAACTGATAATGCCCCCTTGATGAAAGGACTGATTCTGAAATTACCAGCCAGTGTAGTTGAGGTTCTTAACATTTCTTCCCTTGAACCAGGGACTGGGCTCAAATATATGATATAGTGGTAGAATTTCAGGCACTGGGCTTGGCAATTTGGGGCTGGAGAACAGCCCTGGGCACTGAAACTGGAGCTTATTTATTCATGCAACAAATATCTATTGAGGATCTACTCTTTGTTTTAGGTGCTAAGGATACTACAATCACCAGAGCCAACATGGCCCTTTTGTGTGTGTTGCTTAGAGTCTTGTCTGAGTGGAAAATATTAATCAGATAAACAGATAAATGTGAAATTGCATGAGTAATATTTGCTTCAGAAGTAGCTGCAGGAGAGGGCTTGAAGTAGAGTGTCAGTTGCTTTTTCTTAGTGTGTTCTCTGTAAGTGGTGCTTTGGCAGCAGATGTTAAGATGATAGTGGGAAGATGGTAGAAGAAGCAATGTGAGACATAAGACCAAATAATCAGTGCTTTGACTCTGAGTCACAAAGAAAATGTTGGCACAGGATGGTGCCTTTTGGATGTCCTTATTCCTTCACCGACCAGTGGTACAGATCCTGGCCCCATGGTCAGGTTTTACCTCTGGCTGAAACCACTGCCCTATGGGGCTGCTGTTCTGTACCACTCCAGAGGTCACCATCCCCATTGTTATAGTGTGAACAATGCTCCTGCAAGTTGTGCAAAATCATGGTTCTTGTCCTTTAAAAGCCATTGTGGCACATTGGACTTGAGCAGGGAAGGTTTGCCCAAGTAAATAACAATAGAGCTCAGAACTGAAGGAAGAGGTGTTAACCAAACCAAGAGAGGGTGGAAAATCATGCTGTAGTGAGGGAACAGCATGGCCAGAACCTCTGGTGAAAGATGTAGGGCCAGTACCTGGGGTAGGGAGGAGGCAAATGTGGTTTGAGTGCAAAATCAGTGAGATGATGTGGGAGTAACAGCAACCAGGGCAAGACCATGTGTGATCTTCAGGCCACAGTATAGATGGTTGCTTTTATCCTAAGACCAATGGAAAACTATTGAAGAACTTTAATGTCTTAACAGTAAGGATAGATTGTGTTTATCCAGTGCTTATTATGTCCAGGCACTGTTATAGGGGCTTTACAAGTATTATCTCAGTTATTCCCCATTCTGACCTATAAGAAAGGGACATCATTGTCTCCATTTAACAGAAGAGAAAATCAGGGTACCAAGATGCTAAGCACCTTGCCCAAAGTCTCAAAGCTAGTAAGTGGCTTACATTGTTAATCACTGAAGACAGTTGCCTCCTGCTTTTGACAAGAAGTGAGTAAGGGCTCCTACCGTTCTTGAGTGTAGCAAGGAAAAACGTAGCCCGTCCTCTGATGAAAAGGCCCACCCCTCTGCCAGGGACATGTCCAGGCAGGGCAGCATGGTATACCTGAGAGTTTGTGTAGCTCAAGGGGAAGGCTTGACACCTGGCACAGGTACTGACTCCTGTCGCTGGCCGTTATCTGGAGCTGGTGCCTGAGGATTCCGACAAGGCAGAGAAGCCCTTATCAGCCCACACAGCTGCTTCCTGGGCTGTTTCCCCCAGGGAGTTACATGGCAGTGAAATGAAGGCATTGACATTCAGTTCCACTTCTTGGACAAGCTGTGCTGCCTTGGGGAGCACCAGATACCCATATGAGTTAGTGTGGTTTGGAGTCTGCACTTTGGATGAATCCATGGCTCATAACACACGGGTTACAGGATTTGGGATGGGTAAGCATGGACCTGGACACAGAGAGAGGAGGGGACATGAAGGCAGCTACTGAGCTAGGGGAGCCAGCATCTCTTGGCATTTTGCTGAGGAAAGAGCAAGGAAAAGATTGAAGATCCAGATGAGGTGTTCACTTAGGTGAGATGTTCTCATCAGGGAAATATACTTTCTAAAAACACAACATCCCTCAAAATAGCTCAAATTGCCTTACAGAAAATCTTGAGCAGGGGATGAAAAATGATTTGGCATCATGGACATACAATTGGAAACCCGATACCCAGGCTTCTCTTCCTTTTCTCTTCCCCATTGTCTCTGCTTCTTGCTTCCTTAAGTGTGTCTGCCCCATCCTCCTTTCTGCACGCTGGCTTTTCTCTTTGTTTGGGTGTTGATTTTCTCCCCTGTCACCCACTTCAAAGGATGTGTTCTTCAGCCTGCAATGGGACTAACTCTGGCCCCCACTATCTCTGGGCCTTTGAGCTCTGGCACCTTTCATTTTTATTTTGTGGCTTAATATATTCAGCCCTCTTAGCAATTGAATATGTTCCCACAGCACCATTGACTCTATAACAGCAATGGTGGTTCAGGAGCTGGGAGAAGTAGCCTGCGAAGCATAGGTTCAGGGTAGAGAGGGTATTAAAATTCTCCAGATGCACCCAGATTTGGAGACAGGTAGTGCGTTCCTTCTCTTACAGTCTCATTTGTTGGAGTGCTCTCACGGTTCATGAGTTATTTATTCTTTGGAGGCAAAATCTGGGCCCCTAGAATGTTTGTCATTAAATGAAAGAGCCAAGCCAGACGTGGTGGCACACATGACTGTAGTCCCAATTACTCTGGAGACTGAGGTGGGAGGATTGCTTGAGCCCAGGAGTTCAGATCCAGTCTGGGCAACACAGTGAGAAAGGGAGGATGGATGGATGGATGGATTGATGGACGGACGGATGGATGGAAGGAAGGAGGGAAGGAAGGAAGGAGGGAAGGAGAGAAAGAAGGGAGGAAGGAAGGAGGGAAGGGGAGAAAGAAGGGAGGAAGGAAGGGGAAAAGGTAAAGGAAAGGAAGGAAGGAAAGGAAAGGGAAGAAAAAAAAGAACCAGACTCAGGACTCCTCCACCCCTCACACACAGGCTAGGCAGCCCAAGGCAGTATGGTTGAGACACTGTATAACCCCCTCTGAGGCTAACAGTGAACCCAGTGAGACAGCGATAAGGCAAGAAGCCAGTATGAGCAGGTCTCCATGGGAGCGTTTCTATATTTATATTCAGAGCACTTCAAAGAATATTTCAATTGCTATTACTTTAGCAAAAGTCTTTCATGCAAATTTTGATATTTTTCAATGAAGGAGGCTTCATCCAAATCAATGCAATGATTCTTTCCACCTCCTACATGAAACACCCAGCACCTTTTAGTTACACACCTTCAACATGCCAAGGAGAGAGTCTCTGAGTTGCTTTCCTCACATTTGGGGGATTTGTGAACTCTGAATCTTAATAAGAGCCTAGAGTTCTAGGTGTAAACCTTGTAAAGAGTTTGTGTGACTTTAAATATTGCCCCAGCGGGTTACCTTGTCTCTGAAAGCCTGCTACGCTCCCAGCCATACTTGAAGGGCAATGGGTTTCAAGATCTCGGGGTCCCTGGGATGCTAAAGCTGGAGGGTACATCTGCTAAAGCTCAGGGAACTCCCATTTTCGGAGAGCACTGCTTACAATAACCTTTGATGTCTTCAAGTCAAGGTCCACACTCCTGAGATTTAGCTTGGGATGGCCATGCTGGGTACGCAGTGGTCATCTTCTCAGATGCCTCCTCAATACCCTGAATTTGTGTTCATTTTTCCTGCCCAGGGCATAATCTATGTCCTTGTTCTTCCCCACACTCACCCAGAAGGAGCCCCTGAAGGAAGCCTCCTGGGAGGTTGTTGAGTCAGGCAGCTGAACCAGAAGGAAAGGTCTAGAAACTGGGCTGTGCAGCATCCCCTGGGCCCAGGAAGCATGGAGGTGGGACTCCTGCACCAACTTGTCCTCTCAGGTCCGCAGCACCCAGAGCCTGGGTAGAAGAGCCTCAGGAGATCAGGGGTCCCTGCATCCTGCATCTATGGTCTGAGTTGGAGCTGTTACCTTTCAGGATGAAGAGTTCAGTCCTGCAACCAGTTCTCACCATGAAGTCTGTCTCAGCCTGGCTCTCACAATTTGTAGCAGCCCCCATGCCACCCAGGCTAGATGCCTAAATCTTTCAAAGACTCACAGAGATCTGTGTGACCCACACACACCCCTTTCACCCCATCTCCCACTCTCCTCTCCTGGAAAGCTCTTCTCTTGGGTATCCACTTAGCTAATTCCCTCACCTCCATGACGTCCTTGCTGAAATCTCACTTTCTCAGTGAGGCTGATCAGTCTCACCCCTGCATCACCTGCTCATGCACACCTATCCTCCCCACCCTGCTCTGCTGTCTCCTTCCTTTTCTTTTGTTTTCTAGAGAACTTATCATCTACTAACATACCAAATAAATGGCATATTTATTACATTCATTATATTTTTCTCCCCTCCTCTCACCTTCCTAGTAACTAGAAGGTAAACTCTAGGAAGGCAGTGTCTTCACTGGTTTGTTCCTGGGCATATCTCAGGTGCCTAAAATAACAGCTACTGATACTGCCCAAGAGATAGTTATTGACTCCACATGAATGAGTCTGTGGTTTCCCCAAAAATACCATCAAACACCCTCTCTGATGTTGTAGATTCAGGTCTGACTGACCTACTCGACAGTCTCCCAAGTGCTAGGAATTTTCAAGCTCTCTTATACACATGGACACATTTCAACTTCATGAAAAACCTTTCTTCTTGATGATGGAATCGAATATTATTGAAGGTCACCCAGGTGCTAAGCATCACAGCCTAAAACCAGCCCAGCACACCCAAGATCAAGTTCACATTGTTAATCAGGTTCACACTGTCTTTTATAATCCCAAAGTATTTCCTTTTATTCTCCATGAATATTTACTGATATAATTCAAAACAACTCCTTCCTATTATGAACCCCTTCCCAAATAAAATGCGGGAGAAGGATTACATCTATAAAGAAACACAATCCAAGAAGTACATTTTAAGGGAAAAAAAGGCAACGTCTCAAAGCCACTTTCTTTTCTGGTTTTTAGTTTGACTTTTCCCTCCAATGGGTGCCTAATGAGGCGTGACTGCAGAAGGCTGGGCAATCAGGCTGCTCACTTCGTGGGTTTTACTCTGCAATCCCCAGCTTAGGACACCAAGTTTATAGCCTTCGCAATCAGCTTCCTCACATGTGCCGTGTAGCCACTAGAATCACAAGAGGGGCAGAGAGAAAAGGCAGTCTTCTATGACTCCAGTGCTCATGTTCTTACAGCACTGCCCACTGGCAGAATCACAGGTGAGTAAGAGGGACTGAGTTCCTTGTCTCCAAAGTGTTCCAGATGATTCCTTGATGGCCCCTGGCATTGCTTGTAGGGGCATGTCTCACTCAGATGGGACAGAAGAAGAACGGGACAGAAGAAGAACTGGACAGAGAGGGCAGAGTGGTCAATGACAAGGTAGAGCTTCTTGGGAGCCACAGGTGCAGAAATGGACCCTACTGGCCAGTGGGAAGCCACGAGATGGGAAGCGAAGCAAGTGCCAGAATCTCTCAGAAGCTGAGGGAGAAAACCACTTAGCACACAGTTAGCAACCTCCCAAGTCTGGGGTAGACTGGGGCAGGGGTCTGGGAGGAGTTGGAAAATGGAGCATGTGTCTCTGCACAGATAACAAGCCTGGGCACCACCCATCTGCCAATGGGCACTCAGGGGAGGGAAGAGAGGCTTGGTTTGGGTGTCAGGGGACCTGGGCTACCCTCAAGGGTGGCCTCTGGACCTTCAGCATTAATTAGGTGTCCACTAAGAGAGAGAAGGCATTGAAGAAGGTGGTCCACAAGGCCCTGCTGCCCTGGGCTGAGTTGTGGCCAGGCTGAAGGACAGAGCCCCTGGTTACCCTGTGAGGGCTTTGGGAAGTCCCCTGGAGCAGGAGGGAAGTCATGGGCAGAGAGCACGTCTTCCTGGCAACTGGCTGCAGGTGAGGAGGGGGACCTGACTCCTGGCACTCAGTGTGGAAGGGAATGTGTTGGAAACAGCAATGCAACTCCAATATTAGCATTGGTGCCACACTCAGCACCACTGGATGCTTTCCCACAAGAACTGCCTCATTTAGTCCACACACTCATCCTTATTTTACAGATAAGGACCTGAGGCTCAGGGCCGTTACTGCTTGCTCTAGACGAAGCTTGTCCAACCCTGAGCCCACAGGCTACATGCGACCCAAAATGGCTTTGAATACAGCCCAACAAAAATTTATAAACTTTCTTAAAACATTATGAGATTTTTTCATGATTTTAATTTTTTTTTTGTCTCATCAGCTATCGTCAGTGTGAGTGTATTTCATGTGTTGCCCAAGACAATTCTTCTTCTTCCAATGTGGCCCGGGGAATCCAAAAGACCGGACACCCCTGCTCTAGATCATGCATGCTTAATAGGGGTGCCATCGACCCCAAGAGATGAAAATTGGTTCTTGGTGGTAGTGGTGGGGGTAGGGTGGGGAAAAATCCCTTTTCATACACATATGCATAATACGCATAAAGCCCACATACAGCCATGCAGGTATGCATAGCGTCCATATACAACTATACACCACATCTGTAGAGTTAAAATTCATAGGGGTACAACACAGAAAGTCTAAATACATTTCTTAGGAGGTGATAGTAAAGAAAAAAATGATTGAGAAACCCTGGTCTAGCTACTAGCTACAAGTGGCTATTAAACACTCAAAATGTGGCTAGCCGGAATAGAAATGTTCAGAATATAAAATACACAACAGGTTTCGAACACTTAGTGGGAAAAGAGAATGTAAAATATCCTCAATAATTTTGTGTTGAATACATGTTGGAATAATAGCATTGTGGATACCTTGGGTTAAAGAAAGTATATTACTGAAATTAATTCCCACCTGCTTCTCTTTGCCTTTTTTCCCCATGTGGCTCCTAGAAAATATAAAATCACAAATGTGGCTCACATCCTATTTCTAATGGGCAGTGCAGCTATAAATGACCATCTGCTAAGAGGAAGCATCAGGATTTGTACCCAAGGTTTCTGACTCCTTTGTTATCCCATCGCTGCCTCCTTCGAGTAGAACCAGTTACTGTGGGGCCTTAGGTGTGCTTCCTAACCTCTCTGAGCCTCAGTTTCCTCCTGCTCCCATCTCCTTTCAGCACTCTGTAAATGGAGTAGTTCCTTCCAGCTGTGAGGTTCCACTCTGGACCCAGCTATGAGCCTGGGGTCACTGCAGAATAGGAGAACGTAGAGTCCCCAGATGACCCATTTCATCAGAAATGACAGTTCCATAAACAGCAGTGTCACCTGCTGTGTGTCTGCTTCTGGGGAAATACCACAGAGGCAAAGTTAGAAAAAGGAAGCTTCTAACCTGAGGCCAGAGGGTTGGAGAAAAGGTTAGTATAAATGATCGTTTTAACCAAGAAGGGAGAAAAAAAAATGTTCATCTCTTCTAGTAAGAAGGAGATATAACAAAAAAAAATAGGCTTTACAAAACCTTCTCATAGTAAGTAGGGGCGAATACAATTTCTTACAAATGCTACTCTGCTGGATTGAATTGATGGTGTAGTCTCCAACATGCCCTCCCTTTCGTTCCTTTCCTAATGCCTAATTTAGTGGGGGAGAAAATCAATTCTATTTTAATTTCATGAGAAAAATGCTGAATGAAAGAAAAGTGCAATAGAGTGAAACTTCAGCCTTCAGCCCCGCACTGGCCCAGAATGTGTGATTACGTGATCGATGGATTTCTCCTTAGAAGGGCCTCTCAACCTGATCCCTGACTTGGCCTCTGACAATGATGCAGGAAGTTCCCAGGTGGTCAGAAAACCCCTCTGGGGTGCTTGGAAATGCATTCTAGCATCAAGTCCCCTGATCGCCCCTAATTCTCCAGATTTATTTCCACCCCATTTCACCTTAATTTTGGCCTCTGTGCCCCCAACGATGCACTCAAAAGCTCTCTCTGCCTGTCCAAATACTCCTAACATGTCTTTGCACTCTAGCTGATCCTTTAAGAGATTTCCAGCAAAAGTTTTTGGTCTCCCAGGCCCTGGAAGTAAGACTGGCCACTCTTCATGATGACAAAAGAGCTCCAAGGTTAAGCAGGTGGATTCTAGATTCATACTGCCGGGGTTCCAAGCCTGCCTCTGCCTCTTCCTATCTGTGAAGACACTGGGAAGTTGCTCCCCTTAAGTCTCAGTTTTCTCATCCGCAAAGTGGGAATAGTAACGGTAGTAGCCTCATAAACTTGTGGGATGATTAAACGAGTAATGTGTGGAAAGTGCTTGGCAAGGCACCTGGCAACTAGTGAGTGGTATTAAATGTCCTCTCGTGTTGTTAATATTATTGTAATAGGCCGGGCACGGTGACTCATGGCTGTAATCCTAGCACTTTGGGAGGCCGAGGCGGGCTGATCACCTGAGGTCAGGAGTTTGAAACCAGCCTGACCAACATGGAGAAACCCCGTCTCTACTAAAAATACAAAATTAGCCAGGGGTGGAGGTGCATGCCTGTAATCCCACTTACTCGGGAGGCTGAGGCAGGAGAATTGCTTGTACCCGGGAGGCGGAGGTTGCGGTGAGCCAAGATCACACCACTGCACTCCAGCCTGAGCGACAACAGCGAAAACTCCATCTCAAAAAAAAAAAAAAAAAAAAAAAAAATATATATATATATATATATATATATATATAATTGTAATAAATTGCTGCAAGAATGTGAGGGGTGGAGGGGTGTGCCTTTGGCTTCTAACTTGTGGGTCCATGATTACAGATTTGCCAATCAATGAGACTTAGTGCACATTTTTTGTTCTTTTTTTTAAAAAAAATATTTAGTTCTTTTTTTTTTTTTTTTTTTTTCTGAAATGGAGTCTTGCTCTGTCGCCCAGGCTGGAGTGCAGTGGTGTGATCTCAGCTCACTGCAGTCTCTGCCTCCTGCATTCAAGTGATTCTCCTGCCTCAGCCTCAAGTAGCTAGGATTACCCGCGCCCGCCACCATGCTTAGCTAACTTTTGTATTTTTATTGGAGACGGGGTTTCACCATGTTGACCAGGCTGGTCTCGAACTCCTGACCCCAGATGATCCGTCCCCCTTGGCCTCCCAAAGTGCTAGGATTACAGGCGTGAGCCACCGCGCCTGGCTCAATATTTAATTTTAAAATAATTTTAGACTTACAGAAAAGTTGCAAGATTAGTATGGAGTTTCTATATACCCATCACCTGGCTTCCCCTTATGTTAGCATCTTGTATAACCACAGGATAGTGACTGAAACCAGGAAATTAACATTGATAGATACTTTAAGCTACATTATAATGAACACTATAATCTACAGGCCTTATTTGAATTTCACTTATCTTCCCACTAATGTCGTTTTCCAGTCCAGGATCCTATCCGTGTTTCACTTACTTGTCATTTTTTCCTTAGTCTCCTCCAGTCTGGGACATCTCCTCAGCCTTTCAGTCTTTATTATTTTTTTAATATTTTATGACCTTGACACTTCTGAAGAATACTGGTCAGTTATTTTGTAGACTGTCCTTTAAGTTAGTTTTTTTTTTCTTTCTGATGTTTTCTCACGATTAGATCGAGATTATGCATTTTTGGCAAAAAATACCACACATAACCCTTTCTCAGAGCATCGTATCAAGAGGCATATGATGTACATATTTATTTTTATTTTTATTTTTTACTTTTGTTTTTTAGAGACAGGGTCTCACTCTGTCACCGAAGCTGGAGTGCAGTGGACCAGTCTTGCCTAACCGCAGCCTCGACCTCCCTGGCTCACGCAATCCTCCCAGCCTCAGCCTCCCGAGTAGCTGGGACTACAGGCATGCACCACCATGCCTGGCTATTTTTTAAAAAAAATTTTTTGTGGAGATGGAGTCTGGCTATGATGCCCAGCCTGAATGTCCATATTTCTCATTACTGGTATTGTTGACATTCATCATTTGGCTAAGAATGTAGCATGTATTTGTTAAGCATTTACTGTTTCCTTTTGGGGATATGAAAGAGAATAAAATATTGCCGATGCTCTTTAAGAAACTCTTGTCTAATGAACAAATGGTGTTCTAGTTACTACTGCTGGTAACAAATCACTCCAAAATTTAGTGGAATAAAACAACAACTTTATTATGCTTACATATTCTGTGGGTCAGGAATGCAAGAGGGCAGGGATGATTTGCTTCAGCTCCACAATGTCTAGGGTCCCAGCTGAGAAGACTCAAATGACCAGGGGTGACCAGAGAGCCGAGAACTGGACTCACACGGCAGCCTCCTCACTTAGCTGTCTGTTGCCCAGATGACTGGACTCAGCTGGGGCTGTCAATCTAGAGCATCTACACAGGGACTGTCATGCACCCTGCGTTTGCTCACACATGGCGGCCCCAGGGGAGTTAGACTTCTTATACAGCAGCTTAGACACTGTAGACATAAGAGTCTCTGTGGACAAGTCAGAAACTACATTGCCTTCATGACCTAATCTTAGAAGTCACAAAATATCACATCCCCTACATTGTATCGGTGAGAGCAGTCCCAAGTCCCCTAAGACTTAAGGGGAGTCAGGGGATATAAACACCACCTTTTAATGAAAGCAGTGTCAAAGGATATGGGCTATTTTCTAAAAAGCACCAAAAGGACTTTCTACTTACACAGGTTTAGAAATTCAGGCCCAGATACAAGACCTTCACCACCTTGGGCCTCCTTAATTATTAAATACATAGTTACTGAGCACCAACTCTGTGCCGGACAGGCATGGACCCAGCTTCTGGGCTTGCTTGGCAAGTCCCTCCTGAGTGGGGTGGGCTCAGACAGACCCTCTACAAAGCCTCGTGTTCTGACAGTTGCAGCCTCCCCTCAATCAGCCCCTCTCCCTAGAAACTGTTCACACAGGATGTGCACAGAGGAGCCAAGGCCAAGGTGGCAGGGTGGGGCGGAGAATACTGGACTTCAGGATCAGAATGACCTCATTTTAAATCCCAGTTGTACCACATTGAGGATTTGTTACATTTTCATTCTTAATCCTCATGTATTTGGTAAACCTTATTGACTCCTTCTCTATGCCAAGCTGGGTGCTTGGCAATTATTACAATCAATAAATAGAATCTAGGCTTTGCCCTTAATGAAGGATTTGTTCCAGGCGGTGTCTGCCAGAAAGGCTGTTAGTATGGCTGCAGGGTTCCAATGAGCAGGATCATGGGATTATTTAACTTCTTGCATCTCCATGCCCAAAGCCAACTGGAGAGGAATTGGTCATGCAACTTAGCAACTTAACCAGGTTAAACTTAGCAGAACAGAAATCAGCTGAGTGTGAAGTTGGAAGGCAAGCAGCTCATGTTCAGAAACCCAAGAAGTATTGCAATACAGACTAAAAGCCATTGGGAATATTGCTAGACAGACTCATTAAACAAGAAGGTTTCTGTGAAAATAACAAAATCATAGCACCCAGGACACCCCAGCATGAGACTAAAAGCTGAAAGGAGGTTGAGGCTTCATATTATTAGGCTGCATTATGGTAGTTCAGGAAGAAAGAGCTTAGAGCCGTCTGAGTTGATGGTGGCCCTGCTATGGGACTCTGACTGCATTCTTTGAAATTTAGGGCAGCTGGGAAGAGTGAATCTCAGAATATCCCTCTCATGTGAGGCAGGGGAGGGAAGGCAATGAGTCTGGGAAGCAGCCCGGTGCTAAGGATTGGAGGGGCCAGAGGTGTTGGTGGAGGGAGCACCTGTTGACAGGAATACACTCACCTAAAGTGTGTCTGGTAGCTAAGGAGCAGGATGGTGACACAGGGAAGAGAGCCATATGCATGGTAGGCACATAATGTTTGTTCCTGTTATTATCACCCACTAACTAACCCTCCATTTTGGTTGATGGATGGTGAATACTAAGGACCCTGGGCCAGCTGGATTTCGAGTTTGTTTTCTCCCTATGTTTGATCCCACAGCCAATAGGAAAACAGCTGAAGTCAGAGAGCAGGGCATTGATTGGAAATCAGCAAAAGCCATGTTGGGCAAACGAGTTAACTTCCCCACTCCTACAACAGCCCTTTGATCCATGGTAACCAAGAAAGTCCGCACCAGGCTAGAGGAAGCCCCTGCAGGGCCGCAGCAGGGCTGATACGGCCAGGAACCACGGGCATGGGTCCCTGTGCTGGCAGTGCTGGGGAAGGTGTGCAGCCCGGGCAGGCCCCGGCACAGCCAACCAAGCCTGCAGGCTGAGCCTCTGACCCTGAAGCTTGGCTTTGGAAAGCAGGGAAGCCTGGCAGATGCTGTTCAGAGGCGTTGCTGCTCTGTTCTGTTGTCTCCAGGGCCCTTCGGCTGGTGAGGGTACAAAATAGAGCTTCAGTCGCTTAAAGCTTGGTAAGTGATGGGTCAGAGTTTCAGCCCTGGCTCTGCAAGACTGTCAGCCAGTGGTCTTCCCTCCCGCTGGCTGAGACCCACACTCTTTGCCTTCATGAATGTTAACAGCATTGGAAGCACGAGGCCAGTAAGGATACTTGCAGGTCTTCCCCAGTGGTTTTCAGCCTTAGGAGGCTCAGGTCTGGGGCCATGTGTTGGCTCCGTCTCATTCTTACATTTCTAGGGACCTCATTCTTCTCCAGCCAGGACTCAGAATCTCTCAGAGTCACTGTTGTCACCTCTCCATCTCCTCTGCTTCTGGTTGAAACAAGGCCTTCTTTGTATTTGTCATCTGCATGAGAGCCAGACCCTCCAAAGGGACCCCGGTGTTGTTCCTCTGGTCATTTCAATCCTCCATCCCCTTGCCTGAGAAAGTGTTTCTCCAAACTCAGTGTGCATGAGAATCACCTGGAGAGCTTATGAAACAACAGAGTGCTGGGCCTCAGCCCCGGACATTCTGATCAGGAGGTCTGGGATAGACTCATGAATCTGCAGCTCTAACAAGCTCCCAGGTGGTGCTGATGCTGTTTATCTGCAAACCACACGTTTAGTAGCACTGTGGTATGATCCTGTGTCTCTCTTGATGGCCTACCCTCTCCTTTAATGGCTCTATATTACCCTCGAAATAAAATATATACACTTGAGTAGTTCATTAAAGGCTTCCATAATCTGAGCTCAGCAGAAATGCCACCTACTGTTGCTTAGTTTGTGCACTGCACAAAGACACACTACCAAGGAAATGAAATCCATTAAACTCTGTGCTGTGTCTGCCAGGAAGAATATGACTGGGCACCAAGAAAAGCGTATCTTCTTCTTCTCACAAAGGCAGCATCAGCTCACTGAAGTACAGGGGGCTGAGACTGAGTTGAGACAGGCACCTTTTCTACTTTGCACAAAAGCATCCCTTAGGCAAGCAGTTGTCCTGCCCAAGAGCCTTTTCTTCTTTCATTCTCCACCATCTCCTGTCATGCCTCCCACCCTTCTCCCATGCTCCTCATCTGGTTAACAGCTTCACACTCTATGAGGAAGGCATCTGGCCCCAGAGACTCAATCTGTTTTCTCTGTTACATGCTCATAAGAGCCATCTTCCCTTCCTTCAGAACAGAGCTCTTAATGTGCCTTGCCCGCTTATTCCTGTGGGCCATACCTATCTCCCTCACCAAATTGTAGGTTCCTGAGGATTCTCTAGAGCTTAGTACATGGCCAAGCACCTAGTCAAGAGCTCAATGGATATCTGTTTAGGTTCTGTTCTGCAGCCACAAAGATGCTCACAGCAGCCAAATCTCAGCATGCCATTTGTTGTCTTTTAAACAATTGATTTTGAAATAAGTTTACAGAGAAACTGTAAAAAAAAAAAAAGAGAGAGTTTTATACCCCTCATACAACTTTCCCTAATGTTAACATCTTGCATAGCCATGGTATATTTATTAAAATTAAGAATTCACTTCAGTGCATTATTATTGATTAAATGCCAGACTTTTTTTTTTTTCCAGATTTCTCCAGGTTTTCCACAGAGGTCTTCTTTTTTCTTCTAGGCTCTCACATAGCATTTCGTTGTCATGTCTCCTTGTTCCTCAACCTGTGACCATTTCTTGGTCTTTCTTTGCTTTTCTATGACCTTCAAACTTTTTTGTTTTGTTTGTTTGTTTGCTTGCTTGCTTTGAGACATGGTCTCACTCTGTTTCCCAGGCTAGAATGCTGTGCCGCGATTGTGGCTCACTGCAGCCTCGACCTCCAGGGCTCAAGTGATCCTCCTGCCTCAGCCTCCCAAGTAACTAGGACTACAGGCGTGCATCACCATGCCCAGCTAGTTTTTTAAAACAAATTGGTGTAGAGATGGGGTCTCGCTGTTTTGCCCAGGCTGCTCTTAAACTCCTAGGCTCAAATAATCCTCCTGCCTTAGCCTCCCAAAGTGCTGGGATTTCAGACATGAGCCACTGCGCCTTGATACAGAAGCCAAAGCCACTCATGGACATTCTGGAGCCTTCCTTCCAAAACAATGGCTTGTCTTCCAGGAGTAAAGAAATGGGGGTCACTCTGCAACATAAAATGGAAACTAAAATTAGAATTATAATTTTTCCCTTGAAGAACTCGAGGCTCAGAGAGGTTAAGCAATCCCTCAAGCTACACAGCTAATTTAATTATTCATTTAGACATGCAAAAGGATGAAATGTTGAACAAACACCAGATACGATCTTTGCCTCCTTGGAGCTTAAAGTCTAGTACAGAGGTCTGCAAACTTTTTCTATGAAAGGCCAGAAAATAAATATTTTAGGCAGCGTGGGCTGTAGGGTATCTGTTGCTACTTCTCTCTGCTTTCGTAGTGTGAGAGTAGCCATAAGTCCATATTTAAATCAATGGTGTAGCTGTTTTCCAATAAAACTTTACTTACAAAAACAGATGGTAGATTGAATTTGACTTGCAAGTCATATTTTTTCAGCTCCTGGGCTGGTAGAAAAGGGACTTATTGATGAAATAATTACATGGTTACATGGAAAGTTAGTGGCTCAAAAGAGAGACAGGTGACTCTGGAAACGTAAAATAAGAACCTGGGAGTCAGAGAAGATACCCATAAAAAGAGTCCCTGTAAGTGAGGTCCGCTAAGGGTGAGGAGTCATGAATGAGGCAACAAGGAGGCATGGGAAGGAAGACGGGGCCCAGGCTGACAGAAGAGCTGGTGCAAGTTCCTGTGGCAGAAAAGACCATGGCTCTTTTTAGTACTGAAGTAAGGCTTGGGGTGCTGGGGGGAGGACGAGCGAGGCCAGCTCACGCACTGAGCTGATTAAGACCACATGACAGAGACACATTCTTCATCCTGAGAGCTCTGGGAAAGCATTGCTCTTACGACATGATTGGATTTTGTCATTGTTGTTGTTGTTGAGAGGGAGTTTCACTCTTGTTGACCAGGTTGGAGTGCAGTAGCGCCATCTCTGCTCACTGCTACCTCCACCTCCCAGGTTCAAGTGATTCTCCTGCCTCAGCCTCCCGAGTAGCTGGGGTTACAGGCATGCACCACCACACCTGGATAATTTTTTGTAATTTTAATAGAGACGGGGTTTCTCTGTGTTGGTCAGGCTGGTCTCGAACTCCCGACCTCAGGTGATCCACCTGCCTCAGCCTCCCAGAGTGCTGGGATTACAGGTGCGAGCCACTGTGCTCAGCCTGGGATTTTTGTTATGAAGCACCTGCTTTGGTTTCTGGCTGTGGATCCTACTGTCAGCAACTAAAAGAGAAGGGGGACATCCTTGAGTACTTTTTGCAGCCAGAACCCATGCCAGGAGCCCAGGGTTGATGTGCAGCTGTGTACCCTTCCCCCTACTAACCCTTTATTTTATGTTTGCTATTCTACAAATCTTCCGTTTTCCCCGCTTATAAATGAAGGTTCATATTATATTATACGTTTACAGCCACAGCTCCCTCCCATCCCATTTTTCTCACCTTTCTTCTTTCCCTCCCCAGCCCGATCCCTCACTAACTTCGTGAAACTTGCAAGTTAAATTTTTCAAAGACTGTTTCTGACAAAGCAGTGGGAATTAGATTTGGTGAAGCCCTTCATAAAAAATTGAAGACATGCTATATTAACATACATTGATTTATTCATAGTGTTTCATTACAAGTAAGTGAGGATCCTGTAATACCAGGAAAGGTTAGGAGAGCAGAAGAGCGCGGTATATTATATTGACAGCTCGGTGGAAATTGAGTTGCTTTTGGATTGAATTTGGAGCGCAGGAAAGGAATTGGCTAGTAAATAAGGCATGAGTTTTACCTCCCAGTGTCTGTATATCAATGTAGTTGCCACCAGTCCAAGCAGGGGGACGGGGACAGAATTTTCAAAGAATGCAAGCACACGTCCTCTCCACTGGTGCACTGGGGTTGGTGGCTACAGGCTGAACTGTCTGTACATCTCCCCTTTTCTGCCACAGTGGAAACCAGAATCCACCTGCATGCTGAAAACTCCATTTGCCCCCATTTGCTCACTGCTCTGCAGTGGCTCTGGGCTTTGCTCTGTCCAAACCTTTTCCCATCCCAGATCTTTGCCTACGCGGTTCCCTCTGCCTAGAAGCTAGAATACTCTTTCCTCTTCTGACTCAGGATTGTCCTTCGGATGTCAGTTGCACTCTCTCCTGAGATACCTCCACGAGCATTTTTCCTTAGTTTGGTCATTCTCAGATGCAGACCCTGAGATGGGGATTTGAATATGAGCAGTTTGCCAAGAAGTTTAAGAAACACCAGTAAAGAGATATGGAGTGGGGAAGAGAAAGGAAAGTAGCCAATCATCACTGTGTTTTCAAACCAGCTGCCTCTAGAGGCAAGTGGAGCTGAGCCTCTCAGGGAAATTGGGATGCTGCAGGAATACCAAGGAGGGGGAGCTTGCAGGGGTATAAGGAAGGGGAGCCTGGAGAATGTATGCATCAACTCCCATCAGGGCTGGGGTGTTAATTAACCCCCATTCCCAGCAAGCACCCATGGAGAAAGTCCTCAAACAGAGAGGCAGATAGATGCCTGTAGCACTTGCCTCTGAGAAGGAGTGGGGTGGGTAGGGGTGACCAGAGGGAATGCTGTAGACAGGCCCACCAGAGCAGCCTGAAGCTAGCAGCCACCTGCATGGTGCACATGCACACTCAGGTGCTGCTTGAAAAAAAGCCCAAAGCCCTCAGCTCCCTGCATTTTTCCTCCCTCCTGCGCACACTCTGCTCTGGGCACCGTCTGACCTCTCTCCTCAAGGATGCGGCACCACTACTGTTTAATATAGGACAGAGAAATCACTTTTCTCTCCAAAACACTTGGTGCCATTGCCAGTAACAGCAAATTGCTTATTTTTGAAGGGAAGTTGGTGTGCTTCCTTTTCTGCCTGGGTTTGGCCATTCTTGATGGAAGATAAGTGATGTCAGCTGTGTATATAGCTGGCTTACCTCTCTCAAGAATGGAAGTCACTTGAGGATGAGGCCTGACTTGAATTCAGTTGGGCACCTCTCCAGCAGCACACAGTGCAGGGCCTAGAACACAGGAGTACACAGGAAACACTGTGAAGGAGCAAATAAGTGGATGAGTGAATTCATTTTTCAACTGATGCACTGTTAACAGGCCAGGCAATGTGGTATAGAATATAGAGTACAGGCTTTGGAGTCAGACCTGCCTAGTACGGTGTCTGCAAGAGATTGTTGAATGTACCTGGGAATGCCTTATTTGCTACTACCCATGACAACATGGATGAATCCCATGGACATAATGATAATGTTGAGAGAAAGAAACCAGAAACAAAAAAGCGCGTTTCATAGGATTTCACTGATACACAGTGCAAAAACTGGCAAAACTCGTCTATGCTGTTAAAAGTCACACAGAGGTGATCCCTGATGGGGGTAGGCAAGTAGGATTGCAAGGGAGTGTGAGGAAAACGTTTTGGGCCTGGTAATGGTTTGGTTTTTGATTATATGACTGTATCCAGTTTTCAAAAATTCATCAAGAGTTATGCTTTTCTGTATGTATATTATACCATAATTAATTTTTTTTTTAATTTTTTAGAGACAGGGTCTCTCTCTCTCACCCAGGCTAAAGTGCAGTGGTACAATCATGGCTCACTATAGCCTTGAACTCCTGGGCTCAAGCCATCTTCCCACCTCAGCCCCTGAATAGCTGGGACTACAGATGTGTACCACCAACCCAGCTAATTTTTTAATACTTTGTAGATACATAGATACAGAGTCCTACTGTGTTGCCCAGACTGGTCTCAAACTCCTGGTTCTAGCAATCCTCTCACCTTGGCCTCCTAAATTGCTGGGATTTCAGGTGTGAGCCACCACACCTAGCCTAATTAAATATTTTTAATGGAACAAACCAGGTAAGACAAACAAAAAATCTTGTGTTTGCCACTTCACAACTGTGTAATTTCAAGATGTGACACTCAAAGTGTGATCCGTGGGACCAGTGCTGGGCTACCAATTGTTATTTTCACCCTTGGGCAAGTGCAGAAGTTGAGAGTGAGTGCTTCAAAACTCTTCTAGTACCTTGCTGTGACACTCAAGTGTGTGATCAGGGAACAGTAGACACAAATCATTCCACAGGTGTAGACCAGTTTGGTTATTGCTGAACTCACATGATATGTCACATGGGGCATGGTCTTCATATACCATAGACAAACTATCTCCATATACAATTTGAAAAATGGTGATTGCATGCAAGTTGCTTCCATTGGCACCTCAGTTTCTCCATTATTAAAATGAGAGTAGCTATCCTGATGCCCCCAAGGATTTGAGGAAGACAAAAAAGATAATGCACGAGAAAGCACCAGTCAGCAATCGCTATCTGTCTGGAATATGGGGCCTGGGATCTGCATTTTTAACAAGACTTATAAATAATTCTCATCGGGACGCTCTACCTGGACACTGTTCTATGACTGCAGTGTCCAGCATGGTGACCACTGGCCTCACGGGGCTACTGCACTTATGAAAAGCAGTGGCTAGTCCAAATGAAGAAGCGCTGAAGGGGTAAAAGACATATTTGTAAGACTTCATACGAATAGTAGAATGTAAACAATTCCATTCAATTTTTATGTTGTCTACAGATTGAAATGATAATAGTTTGGATACACTGGGTTCAACAAGATGTGTTGTTAAAATTAGTTTCTTTTTTTTTTACTTCTTTTCATGAGACTGTCAGAAAATTCAAAATGACATCTGTGGGTCGCCCTCTGTTTCTTTTTTTAAAAATTTTTTGTGGGTACATAGTAGGTGTATATATATTTATGGGTTACACGAGGTATTTTGACATAAGCATGCAATGCGTAATAATCATATCTCGATAGATGGGGTGTCCATCCCCTCAAGCAATTATCTTCTCTGTTAGAAACAATCCAATTATACCCTTTTAGTTATTTTAAAATGTACAGTTAAATTATTTTTGACCATAGACCGCCTGTTGTGCTAGCAAATGTAAGATCTTATTCATTATTTCAATTTTTTCTACCCATTAACCATCCCCCCACCCGGTACTGCCCTTCCCAGCCTCTGATAACCATCCTTCTACTCTCTATCTCTGTAAGTTCAATTATTTTAAGTTTTAACTCCTACAAATCAATGAGAACATGCATTGCTCCAGTGGGTGAGCAATGGGGTATTTGGAGGCTGGGATCATCTGGAAAGTGGACAGCAACAGGCAGCTTAGCAGAATCTGCTGGCCAAGTTCACATGCCTGCCCCTTCCCCCGCCTCCCTAAGGTTCCTCTAAAGGAGCTCCATCCAGCTTCCTGAGTGAGGCATTTATTTGTTTGTTTGTTTGCTGGCTTGTCCTACAGATCAACTACAAGGCTGTCGGCTCGCTGGACCCAAGTGCTGACCTCTCGAGCCAGAGGGGGAAAGTGTTCAAGCTCCGGAATGAAACCCACCACCTCTTTGTGGGTCTGTACCCAGGGACCACCTATTCCTTCACCATCAAGGCCAGCACAGCAAAGGGCTTTGGGCCCCCTGTCACCACTCGGATTGCCACCAAAATTTCAGGTATCTCTGCTAGAAAGGAAAAAGGAAAAAAGGTTGTTTCACCCCCACTTCCTGATTTTCCTTGAAGTGGAAATTTTTCTTGAATTGTCACCCTGTGATATGGGTGGAATTAGGACGATCCAGTCCCTAGTGAGTTACCATTGTTGTCTCCTATGAAGAAAATCTAAGTGATGAACTTCCTAAAGTGTAAAAATTAGATTAATTAGGTGGCAAGCCACTAAATAATTTTCCCACAGGCTTGCATTAAATAGTACACGTGTGTGTAGATAATGTATATTGCACACAAGTTGGTTATTAAATTCATTTTCAGGAACATTCTTTTTGCCAGAACAAGACATTAGCGCAGGTTCTCATGAAATACCTGATGAATGAATGAATGAATGAATGAATGAATGAATTACTATTATAGGGCCACAGTAGTCCAAAATTACAGACTGCCATCACCCGTAGGGCCCCCTCTGCCACTAGACAGCAACAATGCAGAATTATTTCAGAACCTTTTTTACAGCTTTCATTATCCTAAATATGTATGCAATTCTGGTCTGCATACATACATATTTTGCACATGGTTTTCCAGAAAAACATGTTTTTTTTGTAGCTTAATGTTTTCTCTTATCTTTATCCCATAAGTGTTTCCTATGTTGCTACATTGCTTTCGTTATAATGTTCTGTCAAGTGGATGGACGTAATTTAATTATACATTCCCCTGTGGTTGGATATATTTGGTGCTTCCGTGTTTTTACAAAATAACGCTTCAATAAACATGTTACAAAATAAAGTTTAATTCATTGGTTTGGATTATAGCTTTAGGAATAAATTCAGAATTTGGAAAAACTGAATTAAAAAGGATGTGGGTTTTAATAGCTGTTACTACAAATGGCTAAATTACCTTCCCAAAGGAATAGATATAGTCGCATTCCTATCAGCTGAGTATGAGGGAAGGGAGGTCTCATGAAGGAAAAAAAAAAAAGGTAGAGGGGAAGTAGTTCATAATTGATGTAATTTGCATTTTAAATGTGTTTGGCAAGGTTGACTCTGCTTTCACTTCTTTGTTAGTACTTATATTCCCTGCACATATCTGTTTATTAGGTGTGGAACGTTTTGGTTCATGCAGGTTACTCGACAGATCATTGCTACCCTTCCCCACACTACTGCACCTTGAAGAAACCTACTATGGGCAGGTTGGGCATCGGGGCCTCCTTTACTGAAGGCCTGGAAGGCTTCTTATCCAACCCCTTTCCTAAACGTCCTCCCTCTATCCATGCTGTGTCTTTAAGGATGGCAGCAAGGGGCGGTGGGGAGCCAGTTGGGAATCTGTGCTGAACTCACCTGCACTCTCTGTTTCCTGTCCAGCTCCATCCATGCCTGAGTACGACACAGACACCCCATTGAATGAGACAGACACGACCATCACAGTGATGCTGAAACCCGCTCAGTCCCGGGGAGCTCCTGTCAGGTGAGGATGGTTCTTCACTTGGAGTCTGCAGTTTTTCTTCTCTGTGCCACATGGGCCTCCAGTTGAATCATGTGACTGGCAATGCCCATGGGCAAGACTGGCCAGGAACAAAGCTTCCTCGGAGGAAGGAGGTCAGCAGCCCCAAGCCCAGTTCAAAGGGAGCCCCTGAGTTCAAGGCAAACCTGGGTGACATAGGGAGACCCCGTCTATACAAAGAAAAAAATTTTTTAAATTAGCTGGATGTGGTAGCACACGCCTGTAGTACCGGCTACTCGAGAGGATGATATGGAAAGATTGCTTGGGCCTGGAAGACCAAGAGTGTAGTGAACTGTGATCATGCCACTGCACTCCAGCCTGGGCAACAAAGTGAGACCCTGTCTCAAAAAAAAAAAAAAAAAAAAAAAAAAAAAAAACAAGAAACATCCTAATCAGGACCTGAGATGGTCTAGAAGGAAACTTCCTGGAACATGTTTATGGTAAATTTAGTTAGTGGGGTCGGTGGCCTGGAACACAGTCTCCTGGAAAGGTCACTTTTCTTTGTGTCACTGCCAGTAACAGCCAGATAGACAGGTTTGCTGAATACTGAAAACAACCTGCTCAGATATCACAAATCTGACAAGACCTGGGGACTGGTCCAGTTTAAGGCTGTAGGGTGCTGGAGTCCCATAGGGGCACTTGCTGTCAAGGTAAAACTGCTGATTTTACCAAACGTGGTTGGAGATCAGGAATACACTGACGCATCTCCATAGTTAAACTGACCACTGCTAGTTCATGATATCAGGAGCGTGGGCATCTCTTTTAAACAAGATACACTTTGCACAAGGGCAGCAATATTGACTGCCGGTTTTGCCCAGAACTCCAGGAAGGAGGACTACAGTCCCTTAAAATGAAGCAGAGCATTGAGTGGAACAACTTTCAAATTGCTCAGTTCAATTCATCAAGCATAAACTCAGTATGTTATGTACCAGGAATGAGGCGGGGCCCAAGGCCTAAAAACCATTCATTCATTCATTCAACAAACATTTTTTTTTAAGAATCCACCCTGTCTCGGGCAATGCTTAAGTGCTTGGAAACACAGCAGTGAACTAGCCATGGATAAGTCACATCCTAAAGAAAGTCAAACTCTAGTTGGGGAGACAGAAACATAATTACAGTACAGTGTGTCGTTGTGGAGATACGCATAAGAGCTCAGAGGAGAGAATTCCCAGTGGGGACACTGAGCTGTATCTTAAATGATGCTTAAGATTTCACCAACGTTGTAAGAGTGTCCAGTGTGAGCACAGGCATGGAGGAGAGAGACAGCATGCTATAACAGGGAGCAACCAGGGCGGTTGTTGCTTTAACATAAACATCAAGGTGGGAGTGCTGGGATGAGAATGGGAGTGTGTTTGAGAGGCTCAGGCCTGTTTGAAGGACATGGGCAGCTACTAGAGAGATGCATGCAGCCTCACTCCTTGTGTCACTGGAGGCTAGGACACCAGCCCAGAAGGGGGCTTTTGAGATGGTCTAGCTAGCCATTGTCTATCCTGTATCCAGCTTCATCTAGAAATGATAGGCATTGAAATAGACAGAACCAACCACCACCAATTTAGAAGTTCCTATGTAGTCTGAAGTCTTTGGACAATGCTCCCCCTAAGTCAGAGAAGTCTTTACACTTTCCCTCTGAATCTCTATACTCTTGGTTTTGCATGTCTACTTAACAAGCTTATATATCGTAAGACTCAACAAATTATGAGGAGGGATAAGGGGATGAAAGTTTCCCAGTAGCAATGAGAAATGACAGTTGTCAGGGTGCAAAGGAATAGCGCAACTCTACAAAACAGACACAGGGACTCAAAAATCAAGCAGGCCTACATGCTGTCATCCCTCATAGCCATTCGTGTTTATTACTTGGTCCTGGTTTACCCTGAAAAGATGGGTCTGCAACTTACAGGAGCCTGCTAGCTTTCATTTAAGGAACAAGCACTTGCTACCAGCTTGTCTCTATATATAACACTACCTGTATTCTCGCAACATTGTATAATAGTCTCCTCATTTTGCAAATATAGAAATTGAGACAAACAGAAGCTAAGTCAGTTGACTCAGGCTATAAAGCCAGCAAACGGTACAGGCAAAATTTAAACTTAGTTCAAATGACCTAAAGCCAACACTCATTTTACTATACTATACCACCTCCTAGGAGAAAGGTGTGCATGATATATTTTGGTGACATTTTTATCCAAAAATAAATAAATAAATAAATAAATAAATAAATAAAAGAAATGTCACTGCTCAAAGGGGAAATGGTTGGTGTCTGGAAATGTCTGGCTGCTTTTCCTCTCAAGGCTCTAGAGCATTGAGGGTGGGTGTAGACTCAGTTTCTGGAATTATTTCCAGACTGTTTCTTGAGCATTTGACTAGAAGGGGAAGTGACTAACCAATGCCACCCAGCACGAATTTCAGGACAACTGGAAGGACAGAAGTGGAAATATCACAATGGATTTCAGTTATCTTGACCTTCATTCACCTTGAACTCTGGGCAGTAGGATGTTATATGAGAGGTAGTTGACCACTAGGTCATGCAACAAATATTTATTGAACACTTAGTATGTTTAGGGAAGTGAGCTAAGCAATAGGGATACAGTAAGGAACAAGATAGCCACACCTCTGTCCTCTTGAGGCTCCAGTAAATTGTTTGTGAGTGAGGCAGGGAGGTGGGACATTAAGCAAACACACAAACAAACAAAATCATGAAATTAGCAAAAAAAGTGTCACTGAACAGAACTTGGTCTGTTTGCCCATGCACAATAGAAAGCCAAACTCTGAAGTACTGTGTTTTTGTAGAGAGAAAAGTTTATTGCAAGGCTGCTGAACAAGGAGACAGGAGTCAGGCTTTTGGAGGCGGGGACAGGTTTTATAGGCAGAAGGTAATGGAGTGATCTGATTGGACATTTGCAATGTCGTGATGTGGGAGACTTGATCTGACTGGATCATGTCATGAGGTGATGCTATTGAATCATGGATCATGCCATGTGGTGTTCACTTATTAAACTATCCCCATTCCTTAGTCCAAGCACCTAGGTCCCACCAATGGTGTCATGCCTGGTGCATCTGGTGTGCTCGGCTTATGTTTCTTGCAACCCAGGGGTATTGAGCTGCTTCTGCAGTTCCACTGTAAGATGATATGAAACCACTAGGTACATTGACTGTAGTGATTGAGAGAAGCGGTAGACTGGCTGGACAGATGAGCACCACCCAGGAAAGCAGAGCAGTGTGCAGTTGTGTGAGTTGGGGAGGTGAAGGATGGAGAAAACAATATGGACACTCTATGATCCCAGGACTCAAAGAACTCACTAGATGCACTGGGTTAAGGATGCTTCGAATAAATTTTACAGTTAATAGTTTTCTGAATTAGTTTTCTGAATTGTTCCTTTACTTCCATTGTATTATCTGATCCTCACCTACCTGGTGAGTCAGCTGGTTGGGAAATACCATCTCCATTTTGGAGCAGGAAACTGAAGTCTAAGATGTTAACTGATTGGCCCAAGCTTGTGGGGCTTGTTACAGTTAAAGACAGTGCATAGACCTAGTATCCTGGCTCTGAGTTCATGGCTCCCCTGGGAAGTTCTGAGTTCCTCTGCCTGGTATGTCACGTGATGACCGGGTGGCCCTTTTGTGGGGGTGCTACGGAGTAAACCTCCACCAACCAGGGCATGAGGGGTGGGCAAGAGGAATTCTCAGGGGTCCTCCAACTCTGCCTTGTGTGAGCCCGGTCTATCACTTGTGAGCTTCAGTGGGTCCCTCTTTGAGTGGAGCTGTGTGTTCTCAAACAGACTCACACAGAAACTTTGGCCTTCAGACCCCACTCAGGCAGGCTCTTCTTTCTGCCAGTGATGCTCCAACCCTGGCTGAGCCAAACTCTAGCCCCTGCTTTGCCACTTACTGCTCCTCTGAAGCCCTGTGGATCTGACTCTATCTGGTAGAACTGAGTGTGCAGGGGGGCGAGATGTGACAGGGAGGACTGTTGCTGTGTGGGGCTCCCGCACCCTCATCCCTCCAGCCAAACCACCTCAGCAGCTTGGCCTATTTTTCTAACACTCCACAATGGAGATTTATTGCTTTTGTATTGCTTTCCTCAGGCCTTCAAAGATTTATTGGTTTTTAAGTGACAGAATCCCAGAATTGCTTAAAAGATCAATCAAATAGTGACTAGAATCTAATATTCAGTTCTGGCTTGAACATGCCGAGCCTTCTTCCCCCACGCCCCACCTGTCACACTGATGTGTGACTGATCCGTACTAACCTTCATAAGAAAGTAACTTAGCCATGAATTAGTCACCTATAATGCAGTCCCTGAAGTGAGGCTGGGGGCAGAGCCCCAGGTTCTATAACAGACCGTCCCCTGATCCCTGAAGACTTCCTTGGAAATGTTCTTTCCCCCTCATTCCTCCCCTTCCCATCTAATTAGTCATGGAGACTGGTCCTCTGGACTTCAGAACCTGGGCCAAGCTCTCTCTTCTTCTCCCACATTGGCACTTTCCAGCCTCATCCTGTGGACCTGCACCCGCCAGGATATGCTTGCTGGAGTGCTTGCTGCAGCTTCTCATCCTTCAATCCACCCCCCACTGAACTGCTGGAGTGATCCTTTGGAAGCACAAATTGGATCAAGTTAACTTTCCTGCTTAAAATTCTTAAATGGGTCATTGGTTTTCCATTGCATTAAGTACAGGCTTCTTAGCATGGAATTCAAGGCTCATCAGAATCTGTCCTTAGCCTTGTTTCCGGTTTCCTTTCATTTCCGTCTGCCCCTTTACCAGGTTTTACTCAACAGTGACCTATATAGTTCCTTCATAGTTCTTTCCTGAGCCTTTAATTGTGTTATACAGCTGTTCATATATATATATTTTTTGTTTTGTTTTCTGTTGTTTCTACATACCCCTCTATAGGCTGTGAGCTCCAAGAAATCTGAAGGCTTGGTACTACTGAATTCCCTTTACATGGGATAGTGTCTGGCATCATACATATATATACACACACACACACACACACACACACACACACACACATATATATGTATGTATATATATGTGTGTGTGTGTATAGTAACTAGTTTTATATATATATGTATATCTATAGTAACTAGTTTTATATATATGTGTATATCTATAGTAACTAGTTTTATATATATATGTATATCTATAGTAACTAGTTTTATATATATATGTATATCTATAGTAACTAGTTTTATATATATATGTGTGTGTGTGTGTGTGTGTGTGTGTATATATGCCTTCAGCTACCTCTTATTCTGAAAAGAGTGCTGTTCAATAGAATTTTCTGCAGTTACAGAAATGTCCTATATGTGTGCTGTGTGGTATGACTGCCACTGAACACATATGGCCATTGAGCACCAGATATATGGCTAGTACAACTAGGAAACTGATGTTTAAAATTTTTATTTTAATTAATTTAAATTTCAGGAGCCATATGTGGCTACTGACTGCCATTTTGGATGGTAAAGGTCTACAGGAAAGACAATCAGAAAAAGAAAAGGTGCCAATGAGCCTGTGTTTGGCCAGCTTGTTCAGAAGTTTCCATGAGAGTTCAGTAGAGAGGCAGCCCTTGGTAGAATGGTGAGCTCAGAAGCTGGGAGGGCTTCCTGGAGGCAGTGTTGCTTAAATTGAGACCTAGGGAATGAGGAGGAGTTAGTGAAGAAGGGAAGAGTGTAACCTAGAAGAAAGAGCAGCCTATGCAAAAGCGCACACAGAGAAGGTACAGGGTGTGTTTGGGGAGCCACAAGTAGCTCAGTGCGTGGGGACAGAGAGATGAGGAGAGAAGCAAAGGAGCAGGCAGGGTCCAGGTGAAGAAGGTCTTCACTCTGGATTTAGACTTTGTTCAGAAGGGAGTGTGGAACATTGGGAAGGTGAGTGCCCAACTGTTTGTCCTTCTCTGAGCAAACAGGCCCCTAGTCCATGCTGTTCTCTCCACCAAGCATGCCATTCTCCACCTCTCCAACATCCGGTTCACACTGGCCACATCCAGGACCATCTCCACTCTTGCAGCAGAATGCACCAGCTCCTTCTGAGTTGCCACTCTGTCATGGTCATCCCTCTGTCAGTGCCTTGCGTTGTCAGCCTCTGCTAGACTGTGGCCTCCCTGAGGGCAGAGATGGGTCCCATACGGAGCTCCTCACTCAGACCTAAGACCATTATGCTCTTCCTGCCATAGCTGACTTCCCAGTTGGATACACTGAAACAGGAGTGGCTCCTAAAATCAGACCAGTCTTATCCAATTGTCCCACTGGGTATACTGGAAGCAGGTACTTATTTTCTCTGAACCGTAAGTTGCTTGTCGATAAATGGGAATACCTACATCACAGATTGTTTTGAAGGTCGAATAAGCTAAACTGTGTAAATTGCAACTGGTAATTGTTCAACATGCTCTTTGGGGGCTGGGCCTGATGCCTCATGTCTGTAATCCCAGCACTTTGGGAGGCTAAGGCAGGCAGATCACCTGAGGACAGGAATTCAAAACCAGCCTGGCCAACATGGTGTAAACCCATCTCTATGAAAAATACAAAAATGCGTTGGGTGTGGTGGCAGGTACCTGTAATTCCAGCTAGTTGAGAGGCTGAGGCACTAGAATCACTTGAACCCAGTAGGCAGAGGTTGCAGTGAGCTGAGATCACACCACTGCACTCCAGCCTGGGTGACAGAGCGAGACTCCGTCTCAAAACAAAACAGAAACATAGTCCTTGTGTTTGGCCAAGCTGTTGAGGCAAAGAGTGGCTCTAAGCCATGGGCAGCCATGGGCAAGAATTTTCTCTGAGCCCTGCTGCAAGCCAATGCCTATCTGCTGTGTATCCTCCAGCACTCATGTGAGATCTACTACATGCGAAGTGCTGGCCAGTGTAGGGCACATCAGGAAACCTACACTCATCTCCAGGGGTGATCTTCAAAACAACATTACCTTAAAAATAGGAAAGACAATCAGAAAAAGAAAGTGCCTATGAGTCTGTGAACTTGGTCAGATATGAGCACCTTTCCGAAATATAAATTCAAGCAGACAAGCTTGTAGTATCTCATTGCCAAAGGGCCAGCACAGTCGGGGTTAAGAGCAACACCCTTGGGAGACAGTTACATTGTTCAGATAAGAAATGAAGGTGACCCACCACTAGAGTACTTATGACGATGAGATACAACTTGTAAGAGGTAAAATGGACATGGCTTGTGATGACTTCTCCAAGGGGCAGGGTGTTGGGGTGTGAAGGAAAAGACATTGTCCAGCATGACTCCCAGTTTTCTGGCTTGGTTCGTGGGATGGAAAGTGGTGCCATTCTCTGAGCCAATAGATGCCGAGGGAGGGAAGAGTCTATGAGGACATTTCATCCAGGAAAGGCGAATGGTGGCAAAGGTGGTCTGGGAACTGAATGGGGGAGTTAGGAACTCAGCTGAGCAAGGACAGCTGCAACCTGGCGTGTGGTCTAGGAGAGTGTGGGGGACTTCTAAGGGACCTTTTACAAGGTCAGTTAGGACATGAGACCTGCTTTCTTAGGTTGCTTGAGGCATGGTGCACAGGGTGTGGGAACTCTAGCCTGGAGGACCAGGGGTATGAAAGATGGAACCCTAGAAGACAGTGTAACAAGATATATACTTCTAAAGGTCATTGCAAGTTCTCTTCACCTCCTGATGAGAATCTGTGATCCTTTTGCATTTGACAGGTGCAGTTAGTTAAGACCATAGATTCTGAACTGCACAGTGATTAGCTACAGTACCAATTGGAGATACAGCCTACTTTTAAAGAAAGAAGAAACTTTATTGGGAAGAAAAGCAAACGATTGCCAGATTTCCTTCAGGATTCCTTTAATAACTGTGAAGCCCAGAGTGGGAGCACATGAAACAATCACAGAGGGGTTTTGCTGGTCCATGAAGCCGCAGTGAGCAAAATTGGAATCATTACCGTCTGATTCTCAGATACCAGCATATGATGGTGTCCAATTAGGAAAGAGAAACGAACATTTAGAGGATTTATTGACACAGGGCAGCCTGAGGAGTTTGTGAGGCCTTGTCCACATTGGGAAAGATGAGAAACTGTAATTACATTTAGACACTCTTTCTCCAAACCTCATTTATTCACTTAGTTCCCCAGTTCTCTGGGCCACCTTTGCTGGGACCTGATGATGAGGAATGCTATGGGTCCCACTTTGGTGTATTGGGGGTTAGGGGGACATGGATAAGAGATACCCAGACATAACCTGGGAGAAGACGTAGCTTTGTTAACACCACTTTTAGCCATGCCTAAAATCACGCTGGGACTTCATCACACCAGATTGGGAAATAGGAGAAGCCAGATATATGAAGAGGTAACCAGAAATAAAGAATAAGGGATGAATGTTACTGTAGTGCCCTTCTCCATGAGGTTGTCCCACAGTCTACATATGCCAACCATTGGGATACATATTGAAGGGTTATGTGTGTACCACCAAAGACATCACCCTAGGAGACAAAGGTCAGTCTGGTGATATAGCACAGAGCTGCAATTAGATGATTGTTCAGGAAAACAAAAGGGAAGAAAGGTGACACCCAAATAATGTAGGTGGGTTTGCATTCACTTCAGCTTTTACCCTGACTGCATTTCAGGTCCCCTTTTATAAGGCTCCTTCCTCCACCAACAACTCAGCTTACCAAGAATTGGCTCTGGTGTTAGGATTCTGGATTATATTACTTAGGCTCCAACCAAGGAGGAAAAACAGGTGTTTGGGGAAGAATATTTTAAATGGAGCAGTCGATGGAACATGAAGATCGAAAGAGTGTTCTATTTTGGACTGTCTGCCATCTGGAGAGATGGAGACAGGGACTGTTACTGGCATGAGGGAAAGAAGAGTGGTTGTCATGCTCACCTCCTACCATAGGGACTATTTAAATTCCAAAAGTCTGGAGTGCTGGAGAGGCATCTGAGCAGGGGTTTTAGATTTGGGAGTCATTAGCATCCAGGTGGTATTTCAAGTATGGAGGGGAGTGGATGACCTCATCCTGGGAGAGTGTAGATTAGAAGAGATGAGAAACAGAACAGAGAGCTACGAAACTTTATCAAGGAAACACACAGGAGATGGAGAAGGACTGGCCAAAGAGGTAGAAGGAAAACCAGGGCTGTATATTTCATTTTGACTTTTCTTTTCTTTTAAAACAAGAAATTCAAAGGAAGAATCGTTTAATTTTTTTTTAATCGTTTAATCTTCTCCAGGAGCTTCAAGAAGCTCTTGTAGTAGAAAAGAAGAAAGACACACAAGTTGATCCAGGACTACAGAGAAATGAAGATGATGGATAATGTCAACAAAAGTGCTGGAAAATGGACCATCTGGTGTAGGCTTGCTTTAAAAAGAATGTGAAGGTTGCTGTTCAGAAAATAGATATATTGAGGGCCAGGCAACCTGGATGCTGTTGAAGAATTTGTGCAGAGGGTACAAAGCAGGGAGAGTGTAGAAAGACAGGAAGTGCTATTTGGAGAATAAGATGATCAAATATAAGGTGTCAGTAATAAAACTCTTCTATAGGATATGATGGCTCTCGGTGTGACCACATTGGCAGTGATGGTGAACAGACAGTAATAGATTCAAGGTGAAGGTCATTGGAGCCAAATGTTGCAAGGAACACGAGGCCAGACTAAGGATGGAGGGGCAGTCCAAGTAGATGTAGTTCTTATAATACAAACCCTCCAACCCTGGGGAACTGGTGAAACTCCTTGAAAGAACTCGGTGACCTTGCAAGATGCCTTCTCCTGGTCCTTACTTTTTCTCTAACTTTTTTTTCTGCTGACTTTTACTTCTCCCACTGTTCTGGGCCCCATGAGAGTTTGCATCGCTGCTTTGTCTCAGATCTTGCACAGCTGATAACCGATGGCTCTCGGTCTCTGTCCGCAACTGCCCAAAGGTCAGACTTTCAAGTCTGCTTCCATCAAGTGCATTTCTATAGCCTGATCTATTGATGTTCTTCTGAGTTAGAGCATGGCTCTGTGCCATGTTAGAATCCAAGGAGGTTTGCTCTTATCCAAAAAGCATTCTGCACGATGCCTGCTCCAGCTGTTGAGGGCTGCTCAGGGAGTTGCCTCCACTTGGCAACAGTGAGAGAAGTGATTCTGAAAGCCCTGGCTTTTTGGTAGGAAAATAACATCTTAAAGTTAGAGTCTCCACCAATGGGCCAAAAAAATGTGTGGTTACTCTCTCAGAATACAATTCACCCTTTTCTTACCTGGCTACAGCTGCTTAGGGTTTGCTATTTAGTGCATTTCCACTTAGGTATAGGCTTACGAAGAATTTTATAAACATATAAGTATTCATGCCCAGAGCAAGATGTAGCACCCCCAGTAACAACTGCAAGAATCGAGGGCTAGACTTTAGACTTACACTGTCCAATACAGTAACTATCATTAATAGCTACATGTGGCTATTTAAATTTAAGCTAGTTAAAATTAAGTAAAATTAAAGCTTCAGTTCATTGGTTGCATTAGCCACATCTCAAGTACCCAATGGCCACAAGTAGCTAGTGGCTGACATACTGGACGGCATTTCCATCATGACAGAAAATTCTATTTTACTACATTGCTCTAGACCCTAAGAAGGTTGGTAAGAAGAGGTCAAGGCCCATGTTTGGTTTCAGAGAGGTTATTTGGCAGGCGTTTGGGGAGAGAGGTAAAGGCCAGGGATCCTATCATAAGAGATGAGCAATGTAATGAAGACTTAGACAGAGGTATAGGTCCTGAAAACAGCGTGGGACCTATGGCTGGGCTTACTTACTGTGGAGATTCTGATCTACCGAGCTAGACTTCTAAAATTTCCCCACATCACTTCCACTGGATATAGAATGTGGGAAGTGGTATAATCCCAAGGTTTCCAAACTTTAATGAACATCATAATCAGCTGGGGTTCTAATAAGCCTGCAGAGTCCTGCCTGTCCCCAAGGACTATAGGATAATGCCTGAGAATCTGCATTTTGAACAATTTCCCAGGTGACCTACTGGTCTTGGACCACGCTTGAGTACTACTGGTGTGGCCTATGGGTGGCCTCAGGTATGGAGAAAGGAACCTGTACAGGGAACCAAGTCATCTCTTCTATGGCACCAATATTTGCTCATTCTTGTGATATAGGGAAGCAATAGTTTTGCCTTGTTCTGTGAAGTTGCCCCTGTTGAGTTTACAGCTTTTGGATCTCTCATGTCTCTCTCAGTGTGTGTTTCAGCATGAGGATAACCAGTTTTAGCTCCTAAAAGCTGAACTAGAATCTCTGCCAGCTTATTTCTCTATCCCTGTCCACGTGGGGGCTAAAAACACACCTCTGTTTTCCTATGATGATGACAATAACTGGTGTCAAAATAATTCATGTTGTGTTGTTGCATGCTGACAGCATATCTGAATACGGTCACTTCTATGCGGATGTTGGGGACTAGGTAGAAGATGGATGTTTGATGAGGCTGAATATCAGAATATCAGAATCTGAACAAATCTGTGTTCTTTTGTGGAAGGCTAGAGCAGCCTGGGAGAAACAAATCCACTTCCAACTTTCACTCTATAAAAAGTTCCATATTTTCTTAGATCAGACAAAATATATTGAGTGCCAAAATGCTGCAGCAATATGCACGCGTCACTCAGCTGGGTTGGAATCTGTATGCATTGTCCCCCCGGGCCAGTTTTGATTATGTTCTTTTTCCTTTTATTGTAGTCAGCAAATCTGAATTTGCTATTGTGGGGAGAGCAGGAAGAAGAGAGAAAAAATGAAGGTTTTTAACCTTCAGACAGTTCAGAGGTTCAGTCTGAATAAGCACAAAAACTTTCAGTGTGCCTCTGAATTCCTTGAATTTGCAGAACTTCTCAGAATCCCAAGAGAACTACCTTGCACATAGGATTCAGGCCCTGCTTTGTGGCTAAAAGGCAAAGCTGAAATTATGAGAGAGAAACAGAGTTAGAAAAAGTAGGAAGAGGAATCAATGTTTTTTTTCAAAAAAAGGAATTTGGTCCCAATCCAGGCTAAGTTTCAGCCTATTGTTCAATTTCTTCAATTCAAAGCCATCTGCTTCCCACGGCTCTCAGATAACGTCTCCCCTGCCAGGACACCCTGTTCCTGCTTAATTGAAATTAGTTTCCAAGAATAGTTGTCCAAAGCAGTTTCCAATGGTGGGAATGTTTTGAAAGTCACAATAGGAGTTGAAGCTTTGGGATGCAGATGTTCAAAGGCATCACATGGTCTACAACAGCCATCATATTTCCAAAGCCAGGAGTTCTCTCATTGGCCTCTCCAACTCACAAATGGCTCCTCTGCAACTGGCACCATCTCTCTATCAGGGACATGTAATACTGCAAGTGTGAAGGGAAACAATCACTTCCATTCAGGTTTAGAGCAATGTGTTTCCCAGGCTTAATTATACTGCAGGTATATAAATTACAGAAACATGTTAATGCTCCCATGATTAAAATTATAGAGTGCCTAATTGAAAAAGCATAAACTGAATTGAAGAATTCCTAATTATAGTTTGCTTTGAGGTGTTAATTTCCTCCATAACGAATGCATAATTTCTTGGAACCTAAAAAGGTGGCCTCTGCCTCAGCCCATAGGCTCCAGGCAGATGGAAAAGGTAGTCATCTTTCAGTTCAGGAAGCTGACACGGGAGGCTCTGTTCAGGTCTGGAGGCTGGGAGAGCCTTAGAAGGGAGCTTAGGAAGGAGGTGGAGCTGGTACAGACATCACACCAAGGTTCTACTCTATTTAGTAGGCATCAGGACCAAGGCAGATAAGGAACCCTTATTAAGCTTTTCCGTCCTGCCTTTGCTTTTCCTCTCCAAAGTCTCAACCATTTTCCAAGCTGGTATTTTGTGCCTGTAAGACAGTAATTCTCAAAGTTTGGTCCCAGATCGAATACTGATGTATTACCTGGGACTTTTTTAGAAATGCAAGTGTTTAGGCTCTGTCCCCAGCCAACTAAATCAGAAACTCTAGGAGTAAAGCCCAGCAATCTGTGTTTTAACATGTCCTCCAGGAGATGCTCATGTGTGTACAGTCTGAGAAGCCCAGTCCTAAGGAGTGGGTCATACACACTCAAAGTCACATCTAACTGAGCTTTGTTGAGCTCCTCCTCTAGATCAGAACCTGAGATGAGAACCTGAGGATACCAAGCATCCTTTCATTGACTGTACACTCACAATACAGCCCTGAAGTAGAAAAAATAATCCCCTGTTCTCAGTAGAGAAAACTGAGATCCTGAGAAGATGGCTTGCTCAGCTCATAGTATCTTAGGACCTGTAGCTCTTGTAGGTTCTGATGCAGACTCAGATGCATTATGTTACATTTTTTCATTGTTGTCATATAATTTTCATCAATAGCTCTGCTAAGAAATGGGTTTTCTGACACATTGTAAGTTGGAGGTCGAACTACAGCTTGGAATGACTTCCAGGTGAGGCTTGACTTTGCTAATGGTGAGTCTAACTGTAGAGCCAGGGAAGGGGGGGCTTCTAAATATCTGTAAGCATTGCTATTAGTGGCATCAATTGTGAGTATGCATTCTTCCTGAAGAGTGATGCAAACTCTAAGTATGAAAGACCATGCCACAGCTCAAAAAGAAACTCTTCAGTTTTGGGAAAAAACTCCCCTTGCCCAGTGACTGAAGTAGCTGCGAGGCCCCCTATTAAGGACTCTGGAGGCCACAGAAAGTTGTCTAGAGTAGAGATATACTACATCTCCTCCTCTCTTTAGACATCCAGTTTCTCTCAGGTTTCTATTTCCTAGTCTAAACACATCAGGGACTTTGTATGTGTGTGTGCAGTCAGTTTTAGCTAATCCACAGCCATCTGAAACAATAAACTCATGTTCTTGGTTTATGAAATTTTGTCAGCTTTTTGCGTAATTCTTAGCTATTTCCATATGGTTGAAAATTTGGGTCATTTCCAGTTTTTTTTGTTATAAATAACCAAGCAATCACAAATTTATTCATGTTTTTCTTTTGGTATTGTACCTTTAAATAGCAAAAATCCCCAGGAATGCAATTACTGAAATGAAAAAAATTGAACTACAGTGTACTGAGTGCCTTCTCTAATATGCCAGGCACTGACAGCCAATTCATATACATTAACCTTTTTCATTCTTTAATTAAAAAATCTCAAAGTAACAAATACACATAGTTGGAAAATCAAATAGCCCAACCATTCCCAACACCACCATTTACAACCCCCCCTCCCCCAGTCCTGTGCCTCAGAGGCAAATGCATTTTAATTCTTTGCTCTTTCTTCTGGGAATTGGCAATGTCACTACATAATGTGCTATTTTAAAGTTATCGATTGCAGACATTATCTATTTATTTCCTGCTATGATAGATGGTAACTTGTCTGTCTTAAATCATCCAATACCTCCCTTCCTTCTTTCCAATGTAGTTAAGCCACAGTTTTTTGTTAAATAACTACACAATGGCCAACTTTACAATTCCATAAAAACAGGTCACTTCAGAGCCAAATGGTATATTACTTCTTTTACAGTATAATATAATATGTAAGTATTATATTATTACATAATTAATTTAAAGCTTGCTAAGATTTTAAGTTCTTTATGTATATTAACTCAGTTGATTATCGTCAAAACCCTACCAGGTAGAAACTAGTGTTATCCCTATTTTACAGATGGGGAAACTGAAGTACTGAAAGGTTAACTAACTTGCTCAAGATCATGCAGCTAGTAGCAGCCGATATGAAATTTGAACATAATGGTCTAGCCCCACAGTCTGGAGTGTACTACTATGTTATACTACTTCTAATTACTCTTCTTGTGGGCTTTTTTGTTTAATTCGTTATAGAATGTACAATTATTCTCATTTCTTCAGGCAGTTTATTTATTAAACTATTCATACATTTTTCCTCCCACAGAACTCCATCATTTTAGGTTTGCCTTTAAATACTCTTTTTCCCCTTTTCTTTTCTGCCAATTTCTTCTATTTCCTAAAACAAAACAGAACAACTCCCTCAAAAAAATTCTCAAATTTGTTTATAATTTTGGCAGTCATAATTTTTCATTTTGAGCTACTTACTGTTCTTTGAATTTTTTTTCTTATAACATTCACTTCTTATTTATAGAAGTAATCATTTCTCAAACATCTCAGGATATGATTTTGATTTTGGAGAAGGGGGAAGCTTTTCTGACTCCTGTATTATCTCTGTTTCTTCTAGAGTCATTTTTTTTAATTCACTGCTCTCTTTCATGTTGGAAGCATTGCTTACCTAACCAGTGAACCTCCATAGCCAATATTTAAAAGTAAGGTGTTGAGAAAGTTGACTGGAGGTGCTGTGCTTTTGGAGGCGGAGGCATTCAAATTCTGAAATGAAATCCTCTTCCTATCTCCTGCCTAAGGGGTAGAGGGCAGACACATAGCTCTCCATGTTCAAAGGTTTGATGGTTTTGTGTACAGACTTTTGATAAACACCCCTTTTCAGCCCCACATTTTACTTCCACACTGTCCACACTTGACTACTCCAACATCAGAATCTCTCTTGAAATCTGTGGGGCAAATAAAATCCATTCTTACTCACATGTCTTTGCAATTTGACTTTCTTTATCTCATCACATGTGGTACCTCTCCTCTGACCATTTTTAGGTTTCCAGAATTTTCTTAAAACTGCTCATCCACTGATGTCCCCTCTCCTGTCCTCTTTTTCCTTGTGGATTTCTATGCTTTTTCACATTTCACTGCAATAACAGTGAGGAGATAGAAGAGGTAAATGGAGTACATTAATTCTTCCGCTTTTAACTAGAAGTTCACTTACATTATTGTCTATTGCAGTTCTCAAATAACAAATGATGGAGGCATTATTATCGTATTCAGTTCTTATAAATGCTATCATTTAAATAAATTAAGGAAGATCACATAACCAGTGAGATTCAGAGCTAAAATTCAAGTTTAATGCTGATTCCTGAGCCTATGCTCTTTTTACTTCCAGGTCATAAAAACATTTATGTCTTGAAAACCATTGCCAGATTATTTTCCCCAATTTGATGAATCAATTAAAAATGCTACTGGAATTGTAGAATCCTACCAGTTCAACCACAGCTTCACTGAAATGGCTTGTTATAATTTATGCTTACTTTTACTAATTTAATGCATTTAAATGGGAACATATTGTCATTTTGATTTGCATGTCTTGGCTTACTGGCAAGGCAGAATATTTTTCTAGGTATTTTTATGCTATTAACATTTCTTTTTTGTGAATTTTCTTTTTACATCCTTTTCCTAATTACCTATGGCAGTGGTTCTCAACCAGCGTTAATTTGTCCCTTAAGAGATATCTGGCAATGTCAGGACATATTTTTGTTTATTACAAGTCGGAGGTGATACTGGCATCTAGTTAGTGAGTGGGGGTCAGGGATCCTGCTGAACATCCCACAATGCACAGCACAGCCAGCCCCCTACAACGAAGACTTATCCAGCCCAAAATGTCAGTAGTGCCAAGATTGAGAAACTCTGAACCATGGGGGTCTTAATAGACTTTTTTTTAAAAAAATGTATGATTCACAGGTTCTTGATCTTTTAAATTTGAAGACCCCTTTACACTCTTAAAAATTAATGAAGGCATCAAAGAACTTTTGTTTATGTGGGTTTTGTCTATCAATGTTTACTGTATTAGAAATTAAAGCCAAATTCAAGCCGGGCATGGTGGCTTATGCCTGTAATCCCAGCACTTTGTGAAGCCAAGGTGGGCGGGTCACTTGAGGTCAGGAGATCAAGACCAGCCTGGCCAACATGGTGAAAACCCATCTGTACTAAAAATACAAACATTAGCCAGGTGTGGTGGTGCATGCCTGTAGTTCCAGCTACTCAGCAGGCTGAGGCAGAAGAATCTAGCTTGAACGCAGGAGGCAGAGATTGCTCTGAGCCGAGATTGCACCCCTGCACTGTAGCCTGGGTGACAAAGCGAGACTCCATCTCAAGAAAAGGAATTAAAGCCACATGTTAACAAATATTTAAATTCATTTAAAAACAATACTAAGCCTGGCTGGGCGCAGTGGTTCACGCCTCTAATCCCAGCACTTTGGGAGGGCGAGGTGGGTGGATCACGAGGTCAGGAGATTGAGACCATTCTGGCCAACATGGTGAAACCCCGTCTCCACTAAAAATACAAAAATTAGATGGGCATGGTGGCACCTGTGCCTGTAGTCCCAGCTACTCGGGAGGCTGAGGCAGGAGAATTGCTTGAACCAGGGAGTCAGAGGTTACAGTGAGCCGAGATCACACCACTGCATTCCAGCCTGGTAACAGAGCGAGACTCCATCTCAAAAAAACTAAGCCTATACATATTAATATAAATAATATATTTTTATTTCCCCAAATAATAAAGTTAGGGTGAAGAGATACAGTTTCACATTTTGCAAATCTTTTTTAATGCCTAGCTTAGTAGAAGATAATTGGATTATCATATCTGTTTCTGTGTTTAATCTGTCCTCATGAATTGTTTTGGTTGAAATAAAGAAAATCCAGTATCACATAGATACATAATTGGGAAAAAAAAGGAGGAATATTTTAATAGCCATTTAAGATCATTGTGGGTATTCTCCTCTCATATGACACCAAAACTCAGAGTGGTGGTTTCCTAAAGTTTAGTTGCAATGAAATATCAGTAAACTTTTTATACTCTTTTACGTTAAAATTTATATCTGTCTTGCACTTGAGTGCATTCTTTGCCTTACATGATTTTGCAACGTTATGCATTGGTCATTTGAAAAATATTCATGGATTTATTTTAAAAATTCCAAATGTTTATATATCTTGTTGTACCATATCAAAATATTACATTTGCTACTGTCACCACCAATTTCATCATTAAAATTTTTAATTATTGAAGATCTTTACAGTTCACAGTGGCAGATACAAGTTTTCCAAATTCTAGTTTTCACTTGAAAGCTGCCTTATGTCTTTGACAACAAATACTGTCAGTTTTCTTTACAGTGACAGAGAGACTTCGTTTATTCTCAAAAAAAAAAAATGTTTTCCACATATACAAATCTGAATGACCACAGTTCGTTAGTCATTCTTTCAAGAATTAACAAAAAGGTACCTCATGAAAAATGTGGCTAGTTTAGCATTCAGTTCAAGCAATCACAGAAATATTCTTTTCTGGCCGGGCGCAGTGGCTCACACCTGTAATCCCAGCACTTTGGGAAGCCCAGGTGGGAGAATCACCAGGTCAGGAAATTGAGGCCATCCTGGCTAACACGGTAAAACCCTGTCTCTACTAAAAATACAAAAAAATTAGCCAGGCGTGGTGGTGGGCACCTGTAGTCTCAGCTACTCGGGAGGCTGAGGCAGGAGAATGGCGTGAACCCAGGAGGCAGAGCTTGCAGTGAGCCGAGATTACGCCACTGCGCTCCAGCCTGGGTGACAGAGTGAGACTCCATCTCAAAAACAAGAAAAAAAATGTTTTTTTCTTGAAGAAATCATAGTACCTGAACAAGCAGGAGACATAATTTGTGTATACTGCCCATTGTATCACATGAATGTGAAAAAGACATGGACTCAAGGGTTGAGATTTAATAAAATTAATGCTTTTTACTGCTTCATCGAGGACCTTCTTAAGTGAAACTGGCATTTTTGCTTTTATAGCAAGTATGAGGTGGTGAAGAATATAATGACAAGTACAGTTGGGTACCACTGCCTTGAGTTCTCCTGAGGCACCAGCAGTATTGCCTACCTTTCCAGGGTCAATATTAACAAAGTGGAAAAAGGCAAATGAAGTCTTAGTATTACTATTACAATTATGTCAGTGTTACAGAATCATTGAATGGGTCTGAAGAACTCCCAAAGGACATCTCTGGAATTTGGTATATATAAGAATATCACGGTGAACCTGTTCAAAATTTGCATTCCCAAGCCTCACACTCAGAGGTCTATCATGGGAATCCAGAATTCACAGGCAATTCTGTTGTTGGATGGATGAGAACCTCCAATTCTCTGTGCATACACGATTTTCACCTCATTGCACTTCTGCAATCCTCAACAGTAGGTTACGTCTTCCCATAAGAAGAATATTTCAACTGGTGTTATAATTTTTCTCTTGCATTTGTTTGCCCTATCTGGCAAATAAGTATGCCTGCTATTACGATTAATTTAATGCTTAATTAGTAATTATTCCATTTACATTTTTAGAGCTTAGAAGGGCTTTTTGAAGATAATTGATTTCAGATGGTATTATATTTAAAAAAAAAAAAACTGTTCAGAGAGATTTCACCTGATACTTTCCTTTCCTTAAGCAAATGTCTTTGTTGCAAGGGGAGACATCCAGGCGCCCTACTGATTACTCTTTTAAAAACAATAACATCTTCCTCTGTAAAAGCATTGCTGTGGGTTCTAATCGCCAAGTTAGGAGCTGAATCCCCATGGAAGCTAGTCTTGTTTAACTTGATTTTTTTTATTTGCTCCTCTCACCATGTAAGGTAACTTTAGAAAACGACATTTCAACTGAGAACTTGACAGGAGTATAAAGGGGGTTGCTTCCCAGGATGTCTGAGGTTTGAGAGGCCCGGGGTAAAGAAAACAGCCTGGCTCTCCACTAGGGTACAGAAAATGATTCAGAATGTATATTAGAAAACAAAACAAAACAAAAACCAGCAAGCTTTCCAGTCCCCTAATGTGTTCTGTTTCACATTACTGCTTTTCAAAATTTAATGTGCAAATGAAATAAGTTGGGACCTCTTAAAGTACACATTCTAATTTAATAGAGCTGAGGTGGGGCCTGGGACTCTGCATTTCCAACACATTTCTTTTTAGGTGATGAAGATGCTACTGGTCTGTGACTACACAGGAGCAGGGCCCCTGCAGCATTCTGCTTGTTCTTGCTTCTGTTGGTTAGCACTGTTTGCTTTGAATGCTCTATTTGTTAAGTATAACAATAACAAAAAACAAGTTTATTATTTGTAGAGATGGGGTCTCACTATGTTGCCCAGGCTGGAGAGCAGTGGCGTGATCATAGCTCACTGCAGCATCAAACTTGATCCTTCCAAAGCAGTGGGATCACAGGCATGAGACACTGTGCCTGGCCTACATAGACTACATAGACTTGCTTAAAGTTATTGTTTAATTGAGTTATTAACATAAGCTAATAGAGCTGTTGGCTAGTGGATATTTTAATTATTTTTTATTTATTTTATTTTTTTGAGATGGAGTCTCATTCTGTCACCCAGGCTGGAGTGCAGTGGCGTGATCCTGGCTCACTGTAACCTCTGCCTCCCATGTTCAATTGATTATCCTGCCTCAGCCTCCCAAGCAGCTGGGACTGCAGACATGTGCCCCTACCACGCCCAGCTAATTTTTTTGTATTTTTAATGGAGATGGAGTTTCACGATGTTGGCGAGGCTAGTGTTGAACTCCCGATCTCAGGTGATCCGCCCACCTCAGCCTCCCAAAGTGCTGGGATTACAGGCATGAGCCACCGCTCCCAGCCAGTTATTTTAAGCTGAGTCAAATATCTTTTATACATTACTGGATTCTTGACTGATTGAAATTATACTTTTCAACATGTACTTAGAAAATAGCACTTCTGGAGTCAAGTAGGGATGGGATCTATTTCGTAAACATTGAATAGTCAACAATGCCCAGCTGGGTAGAGAGTATTAGGCATAGATTATGCCATGTCGTTCATGTGGATAAATCCATCCATCAATTAAAAATATGATACTACAGCTATTTTGTAACATATTAAATTAAAAAAATATTTTCAAAGTATTTTCATATTCCTATCTTTGATCCTTATCACAATACTAAGGTAATTCATACAATGTTATCATTTTATTTTAAATGATGTTTAAGTTAGAGTCACCACAAAATAATGCATGCTTATATAGAAATGATAGGAAAATTTTTAAAATACTGACATTTGGGAAATTTTCCCTATTTTTAGTCACCAAATTAAAAAAAATAGGCTTTATGTAAGGTTGATCCTCCCTGATAATGTTGCATCCTTCTTTTGCCACATATCATGATAGCTATTACCATTTTAATGATGTTTGGGGAGTATTTATTCTTTTGTTTCTCCAAGTAGTTGACAGATTTCCTCCACACCGTTTATTGAATACTCCTTCCAGTCTTACTGAACGGTGATGTTGCCTGTGTGTGTGTGTGTGTGTGTATGTGTGTGTGTGTGTGTGTGTGTGTGTGTGCCACTATATTCTTGGTTTATACTGTTCCATTAGATCTGCCTCTCTGTTGGTCACTGTGTCTGTATCACCCATTTTAATATAGCTTTACAAAACATTTTAATATCTAGTCTTCCTATTTCTTGTTGTTCAAAATGTTCTTGGCTATTTTTACCCACTTATGTTTCCCTATGAATTTTTAAATCCCTTTATCATATTCTCTAAACAATCCCCAATGGAATTGGTCTAAATTATATTAAGACTATTGCTTAATCTAAAATGACTATATGTATTAACGTGAGCTTTTCCACACTGAAAGAGGGCAAGCCTATCTATTCATCTGAGTCTTGACTATTTCTCAGGACGTAGGCATTGACTCTCATGTAGACTCCATCCATAGCTACCTTGTTAAAATTGTTTTACTAACATTAAGCTTGTGGTGTCTTCTGCTATCTGTCCCCTATTGTGTTTGCTAACTGGTTTTTGCTGGTATTTAGGGAAACTGTGTGAGAGAGTGTGTGTGTGGTGTGTGTGTTTTCTTCATCTCATTCACTGAAACCTCTTGTGAGTTTCTTTAATTAAGTTTTATTATCTTGGTTTACCAGCTAATAATCACACCATCTATGAATAATGATAATTTTATGTCCTCCTATTACAGTTGCAATAGCTCTTGTTTTGGTTTTATGTTTTGTTGCTTTGGGTAGAGCTTTCCGGGCAACGTTGCCAAATAATATTAATAGCTGAACTTTTTGTCTAAATTCCAACCTCAAACACTAGACCTCCAGCAAATTTCTCTTACGTATAATGTTAGTTGTAGATTTGAAATAGGTATTTTGAAATCTGAAAAGGAAAACTATTTATATTCTATAGTTTATCTTTATGACTCTTTTAAAATGAGTGATTTTATCAAGTGCCTTTTTGGTATCTACTTATATGATCGTACTTTTCTTTTTTCTACTTGGATTTATTTATGTGATATTTTCCTAGATTTTCTATTACTAAATCTGTCTTGTGTACCTGCAGTAAATGATCCACTTATGGAGCACCAATTTAATAGTATGTTAGAGGAATAGTTTGTAACAATTTGAGATGCTTTTCCTCTTTTTCTGTCTGATGTAATTGTTTCTATGACATGGGAATTATCCATTCCTGGAAGATTGAAAGAACTCATTGGAAAAGCCATCTGGCTCTAGTGTTGTTTATTCTAATTTTCTCTTTATGGAATGCTTAATTAATTTATTGTCATTCTTTTTTGTTTAGTAACAAAGGCTTTTCAGATGCTGAAAACAGGTTTGGTCCTGTCCCATAAGCATTAAACATTATTGTTCTCACAGTAATAGTTTCTAAAGAGCAGGAAATTGTGGCTTTGATTTTCTATTTGATATGAGAATTACTTATAAGGCATCATATAAGGTAAGTTCCTATTTTCCCCAGTTGGAGGTTTTCATTTGTGCAGAATTTTGATTTAGCAATTTCTGGTTCTATCCCATTATATATACAGAATATAGACTATACCTTTATTCAGATAATTTATTGATTTTTATGTGTGTCCTTTGTCATTTTTATCCGCTGTACCTGATATGATTTTTAAAATATTAAAATATTGCTTCCTTCTCTGTCATATTTTCTGGGAATAGCTTTTCTAATTGGTTGTTTTATTTTTTATTCTGTTTTCAGACATTTCAGATTTACATATAGACAAATCTGTCATTTTTCTTTTGTCTTTTGTAAATTGTTCTATTATTAAGCTTAAACAATTCTTTTCCACTCAAGATTATCTTTTTCTTTGATTTCAAACCTACAGGATATTGCAAGAATGAGACAATAACCATCCACATATCCTTCCCATAGATTTGCCAGTCATAAGCATTTTGCCATATTTAGTTTCTCTCTCTTTCTCTTGTCTCTCAAATGGTTATTCAACCATTTGAGGGTTACTTGTAGTGACCATGACGCTTCAAAACCTTTAGTTTGTATCTCCTATGGAAAGGTCAGTCTGTTACATAGCCACAAAACAATCATCACGCTCAGGAAATTTCAAAGTGACATAATGCTGGTATCTAATATATAGGTCACATTCAAATTTCCCCAATTCTCCCAATTAATTGTCCTTTAAAGCTTTTTAAAATTCAATCCAGGATCCAATCAAGGATCACACATTGTATTTGGTTGGCAAGGGCATACTAAAATTTTTCAGTAAATAAATTAATTCTGAACTATTGGAATATAATGTGGTTTTTCATATGTAGCGAGGTCTTAAATTTGATGATTTCATCTCATAATTATGGAATTTCTGAAACACTAAGTGATAAAATTTTCTTTTTCATTAATTTATGTTGCGTGTAATTTTATACATAAAATTATATGTTTCTCTCTCTCTGTCATACACACACACACACACACACACACACACACACCCCTACCTAGTCCATTTTTATTTAACTCATACTCTAGTACCCATGGTTTAATCATTGTAACTTCATAATATAACTTAATATCCAGTAGTGGTTTTTCAGCCTCATTCCTTTGTTGTTTTTTTTTTTTTAAGTTCTTAACCATATTTCCCATTTGAACAAAACAAATCTTACTGGAATTGTCAAATTATGGCCATCCACATCTTTAGGGCTCACAAATATCACCTAACTGGCTCATATTTTATACAATTTGCTTTTTCTCAAAGAAAACAATACATCAATTTGGCAAGAATTGACATTTTTACAATATATGATGCTTTCCTCCAGGATTTCAGCCTTTCTGTCCATTTATTCATCTTCAGTTCAGCACAATTATTTAACACCCACTCTACCAAGCCGTGTGCTAGGGGCTGGAGATAGTCTTTTAAATCATTCAGTAGAGTTTTATTTTCCTTCCAATGTCAGTCCTATACGTTTCTTATTTGTGTTTTCCTTAGCTATTTTTAAAGGACTCTATTCTAAAAGGCTTTTTCATTACATCTTCTAGCTTGTTTTCCATGGTGTACAGTGTATTTATTTCCATCTTCTACAAAACTACTTTACTGAATTCTTTTATTAATTTTAACAGTCTTTCAGTTGATTTGCTTCAATATATTAGGTCTAGTCATGTTATCTGCAAATGACGATGAATTGCTTTCCTTTCTAAAATGTGTATCTCTTCTGTTTTGTGTCTTATTGCATTGGTCACAATTATTCCATTTTAGAGGCAAGTTCTAGAGGTAAAGTGACTTTCTCAGCATGGCAGACAGAGCAGCGAGTGTGAAGCCAGTACTAAAACCTCCACCTTGCTTTAGCAAAGGTCCCCATATCAAGGTTATCTACCCAAATATTGCCTAACTGGCCCCATATTGATCCAGCCGCTTTTTCCCAAAGGAAGGTTGACATTTGCAGTGCTTACAGTTCTCTCTTAAAAGGACCTAATCTGTTAGGTGTGGTAGGTAAAAATTAAGAGGGAAAGTGTAATTGGCTATATTGTGGATTTCGGTTGCTATTTTAAATAAAGTGGTCAGGACAGACTTCCCTGGCAGAGGTGAAAAAGTAAGCCTTCCTTAGGTTGCCTATCTCCAAGGGAAGACCATTCAAGGAAGGGGATAGCGAGAGCAAGGGCCTTGAAATGGGAGCGTGTGTGGGGTGTTCAGGGAACAGCAAAGAGGCCAGTGTAACTGGAGAAGAATTAGAAGAGTAAGATCAGAGAGTTCTTAAGAGTGAGTCTTGTAGACATTGTAAAGATGTTGCATTTTACTCTAAGTAAGGTCAGAGCCATAAGGGGGCTTTGAGCAGAGGGGAGTCTTGAGCTGAGTCATGTTTTTAAGGAGTCATTCTAGCCACTGTTTTGAGAATAAATTTTGGGGGCAAAAGTGAAAGCAGGGAGACCAGTTGGGAGGCTATTACAATAATCCAGTTAAGAGATGATGGAAGCTTAGTTCAGAGCTGTAACTATGAAGATGCTGAGAAGCAGTCAGATTCTCAATATACAGTATATTGAAACTGAAGCCATGGGAATTGCTTATGGACTGAATCTATGGTATTTTGAAAGAGAGAAGAGCCATGATTGAGGGAAAACTTATTTGGATGCTTCAACTGGATTTTCATGATTCCTTTACCCAACATATTTTCTTCCTCTAAATTTCTACACAAAATTCACTTTCATTAAATGTATCAAATGCAATTCAATCATAGGAGAAGGGCCCAAATAAGAAACAAAGCCACTCTTTGGTGTCTAATTCAGTAATATTGTAATAATAATGCATGCAGCAATTGTGAAGGCTCCAGCCAACTTTCATAGAGCACTTTCTAGAATGCACTTCCTAGACATGTAATTTCAGTCTTTGCACTGCCCTGTAGGTTCCTTCCTTCCCAGAATCCTTCCCTGGCAGAGTTCTTGCTGCCCTCACTTCATTGGATTATAGTGAACAGTTCATTATTTCTCCACTCTGAGCTCTAAGCACCCAGTACCCAGTGGCCAGGTTGCATTCAAATTTGAACCTGCTATGTTTACTTTATTGAGCTATCATCACCCAATAAATGTCTGATGAATAAATGTATAAAAGACAGACAGATAGGACAATAGGTCGCCGAACTAGTCAGAGGCAAAGCAAAGATGCACGTGCACTAATTCTGACACTAATCTGCCGAATGTACACCTCCTCCCATTTTCTTGTCTCCTCTGCGAGCTATTTTGACTAGGCAAATAGTGAGTAAAAACAGGAATTCCCAGAGTCTTGGAAGAAAGGTTGGCTAACTAAGACATATCATTGTAAATTTCAGCTCCATAGTTCTGAGTGACCTTTAAGCAGGGAATGTAATTGCAAAGCTAGATTCTGTTGGGCATTACAAAGCTCACACTTGTTTCTTAGCCCATCTTATCCTATAAAACCAATGGTTTATCATAGCATTTTGTATTAAAATTTGTGCATACTTAAATGCCAAAGCATAGACTTTTGAAGTGTGAAAGGACATTGAAGATTATTCAGTCTGTTTCTCTTAACAGCTTTATTGAGGTATAATTTACATACCATAAATTTACCTATGTTAAGTGTACAATTCTTTAGTAAATGTATAGGATCGTGCAACTATCACCACAGTCCCATTTTAGAATATTTTCATCACACCATAAAATCCCCTATGCCCATGTACAATTGATTCCTATTTCCACTTCCAGTCCCAGGCAATTGCTAATCTGATTTCTGTCTCTATGGCCTTGCCTTTTCTCCATAACTTAATAAATACGAATAGAATCATACAATATGTAGTCTTCTACGTCTTATTTCTCTCATTTAGCATAATGTTTTGGAGCTTCATGCTGCAGATTGTAGCAGTAGTTTATTTCTTTTGTTACTGAATAATATTCTATTGCATAGATATACCACATATTGTTTACCCATTCACCAATTGGTTGATAAACATTTGGATGGTTTTTATGTTTTGGCGATTATAAATAATGCTTCTATGAACAGTTTAATTCAAGTTTTTGTGTGGAAATGTCTTATTTCTTTTGGATAGATAGGTAGAAATGGAATAACTAGATGAATGGTACTTTTATGTTTACCTTTTTAAGGAACTACCAGACTGTGTCCCAGAGTGACTGTACCATTTTACCTTTCCAACAGCAATGTATGATGGTTCCAGTTTTTCCACATTCTTTCAAACACTGGTTGTCTGTCTTTTGTCTGATGGCCGTTATAATGGGTGTGTGTGATAGTTTCTCATTGTTGCTGTAATTTATATTTTCTTTTTTTTATTTTTATTTTATTTTATTATTATTACACTTTAAGTTTTAGGGTACATGTACACAATGTGCAGGTTAGTTACATATGTATACATGTGCCATGCTGGTGTGCTGTACCCATTAACTCGTCATTTAGCATTAGGTGTATCTCCTAATGCTATCCCTCCCCTCTCCCCCTACCCCACAACAGTCCCCAGAGTGTGATGTTCCCCTTCCTGTGTCCATGTATTCTCATTGGTTCAATTCCCACCTATGGGTGAGAACATGCGGTGTTTGGTTTTTTGTCCTTGCGATAGTTTGCTGAGAATGATGGTTTCCAGCTTCATCCATGTCCCTACAAAGGACATGAACTCATCATTTTTTATGGCTGCATAGTATTCCATGGTGTATATGTGCCACATTTTCTTAATCCAGTCTATCATTGTTGGACATTTGGGTTGGTTCCGAGTCTTTGCTATTGTGAATAGTGCCGCAATAAACATATGTGTGCATGTGTCTTTATAGCAGCATGATTTATAATCCTTTGGGTATATACCCAGTAATGGGATGGCTGGGTCAAATGGTATTTCTAGTTCTAGATCCCTGAGGAATCGCCACAGTGACTTCTACAATGGTTGAACTGGATTACAGTCCCACCAACAGTGTAAAAGTGTTCCTATTTCTCCACATCCTCTCCAGCACCTGTTGTTTCCTGACTTTTTAATGACTGCCATTTTAACTGGTGTGAGATGGTATCTCATTGTGGTTTTGATTTGCATTTCTCTGATGGCCAGTGATGGTGAGCATTTTTTCATGTGTTTTTTGGCTGCATAAATGTCTTCTTTTGAGAAGTGTCTGTTCATGTCCTTCGCCCACTTTTTGATGGGGTTGTTAGTTTTTTTCTTGTAAATTTGTTTGAGTTCATTGTAGATTCTGGATATTAGCCCTTTGTCAGATGAGTAGGCTGCAAAAATTTTCTCCCATTTTGTAGGTTGCCTGTTCACTGTGATGGTAGTTTCTTTTGCTGTGCAGAAGCTCTTTAGTTTAATTAGATCCCATTTGCCAATTTTGGCTTTTGTTGCCATTGCTTTGGTGTTTTAGACATGAAGTCCTTGCCCATGCCTATGTCCTGAATGGTAATGCCTAGGTTTTCTTCTAGGTTTTTTATGGTTTTAGGTCTAACATTTAAGTCTTTAATCCATCTTGAACTGATTTTTGTATAAGGTGTAAGGAAGGGATCCAGTTTCAGCTTTCTACATATGGCTAGCCAGTTTACCCAGCACCATTTATTAGAGAGGGAATCCTTTCCCCATTGCTTGTTTTTCTCAGGTTTGTCAAAGATCAGACAGTTGTAGATATGCGGCGTTATTTCTGAGGGCTCTGTTCTGTTCCATTGATCTATATCTCTGTTTTGGTACCAGTACCATGCTGTTTTGGTTACTGTAGCCTTGTAGTATAGTTTGAAGTCAGGTAGGGTGATGCCTCCAGCTTTGTTCTTTTGGCTTAGGATTGACTTGGTGATGCGGGCTCTTTTTTGGTTCCATATGAACTTTAAAGTAGTTTTTTCCAATTCTGTGAAGAAAGTCATTGGTAACTTGATGGGGATGGCATTGAATCTATAAATTACCTTGGGCAGTATGGCCATTTTCACGATATTGATTCTTCCTACCCATGAGCATGGAATGTTCTTCCATTTGTTTGTATCGGAGTCTTAACATTTGTTGAAATGTTCTTCCATTTATTTGAGACAGAGTCTTGCTCTGTTACCCAGGCTGGAGTGCAGTGGCGTGATCTCGGCTAACTGCAGCTCTGCCTTCCGGGTTCACGGCATTCTCCTGCCTCCGCCTCCTAAGAAGCTGGGACTACAGGCGCCCACCACTGCGCCTGGCTAATTTTTTTTGTATTTTTAGTAGAGACGGGGTTTCACCGTGGTCTCGATCTCCTGACCTCATGATCCACCCGCCTTGGCCTCCCAAAGTGCTGGGATTACAGGCGTGAGCCACCGCGCTCGACCTTAAATTCTTTTTTTTAAGAAATACCTATTGAAAAACCATTATGTGTCTAGTATGGTATTAGAAGCAATGAATTAGATGACAAGATCTCAGACCTCATGAAGTTGGCAGCCTATTTGGGGGCAAGCAGTAAAGCCAGTAAACAAATAATTAAATAAGACATGTTTCAATTATGATAAAAGCTGTGGAAGAAATAAATCAGGAGATGTGGTGTACAACGACTCAGAATACTGGTAATTATGTATTAATGCTTTGGTGAAATTGGAATGACTCAAATCAGTGTGTCTTCCAAGGGAGTGAGAATACTGGAGGGGAATGCCCCTGTTGGCTATACAGGTATAAATATCAGAATAAACATAAGGGCAAGCGTATAAACATCAGAATCACCTAGGTTTATGATTTTGTAGCTGCACATTTAACTATCTAGAGAGCTTTTCTAAAAAGTACTGATGCTAGGGTCCTACCCCTAGAGATTCTGATTCAGCTGATCTGTAGTAGAGCCAAGGAATAAGCATTCTGAAAGCCCTCTGGGTAATTATAATATGCAGCCACAAGTTGAGAACTATTGATCTTGAGCAACCCTCCATTGAGATTCTGAGATGACTGTTCACTGCCCTCACTTGAAGAATCAGTGATGGAGAAGCCACTATGATTGGTGAGAGATTACCGTATCTCTCAGATGAGGAGTGCTGGAAACAAAGTTTGAAAATTACCTTGATAAAATAGGTCTCTGATCCTTTCACAAGTCTCATATGGTCATTGTCCAAAGCTGCCCTGTCAGAGCCACTCTTGCTGGCCTCCCAGACACTGTCACCTCCCCTTTTCTGCTGTGTGTCCGTCTCCCAGCTTCCATGTGCTTTGATGTAAATGGCTTCCAGGTGTGACCTGCTGTGGGATGTTGCCATTAAGATGCCAGAGCCGCCTTGTCTGACCCTCACACAAAGTTAGGAGTGCCTTAGAGTTTATGTCTCTCTGGTGCAGACATAGCCAATAACTGACCAGCACTGGAGGTTCAAAAGCCTTTGGTTTGAGATGAGACAAATGCTGGGGGTATAATTTATGCTCCAGAGCTCCCTATGAGATCAGGCTAAGACTGGGACTTTGCCTGATATCACACCCTTGCTCCACTTCCTCCCATTTTCTCTCACTCCTTTACTAGTTTCTTCTGGGACTACTTCCTCAATACATCATTTGCAGTGAAACTTTGGCTCAGGGTCTGTTTCTGGAAGAACCTGAACTCAGACATGCCTCCTTCTGGGAGAACGTGGACTAAAATATGCATCTTTCTGAAGTTGGGCAATCTGTACCTGTGAGCTAAAGCATACACTCCATCTGTCACCTGACTTCAACTTTCTGAAAGGATACACCTCCTAGCTAGAAACTTTTCTAGATATAGAAAGAGGGCCACAGGAACTGTTACTGATGGAAGGAGGCTCTGATAGGTCCCTGGTCCCCCTCAGTGGAATCTGGTCCGAGAATCTCAAGCCACCATTTAAACCATTAGCTTAGGGTCCAGAGGGAGGAAGATGGTCAAGCAGCAGGCTTTTCCAAAGCCTATGGAGAGGTTCTGAGGGTTTTTGCCTTGGATGGACAGCAGGAGATACTGAAAGTAAGAGTACAAACTCTCCTTGACCTTACAGAAGTCACCTTAGAGTGAATGAAATTAGTTGGGGGCACAGTATAACTCTTAGATCCTTGCAATAAGAGATCCTTGGCATAAGTAATGAAAAAACAGGTCATAAATGCCCATCTTCTCATTGGAAGAAACAGAGAGGGTGTCACAAGAGGAGAAAATGTATGAGTAAATGCTATGTGCTGTGTGGTGAGTGTCTTAGGTTATTCTTCTCTCATGTTATTGGGATTTTTCCTACTAAAAAAATCCTTTCTCTTTAAAAATGATTCTGAATAGATTATTGCAACCACTGTTTTTGAGCTGGAGATATGACCCCAAAAGGGAGGTCATTCACATTTGGATATGATTTTATCATTACCAGCAAGCTGAAAAGAACATGCTCTTAGATAAATGTATTCTCAAGAGAATGAGAATGAAGCTATTGCAAGAAATACAAATAATACCCAATTTCTTGTTTCTTTCCCCCACCCTTTCCTAAAAAGTGTCAGGAAAGGAAAGTTATACAACTTGTGAGTGCTGTTTCTTCTCTCCACCTCTTCAATCAGAGTTCTGTGGTCTTTGAGAGAGGCTGAATCCACTGGCAAACAGATTTATCTAACAAAATGATTTAAATTTTTCTGGCTGCATTGCAGGTTTGCTTTTGAATGGACAGGCTGTGAATGCATGGGCCTGAAGGAGTTGCTGGGTATATTTTGGCACAATAATCACAATCGTATGTGAACCATATGTTGACTGCACAGTTTAAACCAAAAAAAAATACCCTTTGCTATTCTTTGTAATTTCATATGGAGTTGGTTGGGATAGAGCTAAGCAGTTTAGGATGCCAAGTTAAAAAAAAATGCTTGGAAGCCCCTTTATACGTTTTATTGGTTTGTAGGAAGAGAAGAAAATAGAAAAAAAAAAAAAAAGGAAGGATACTGAGCTATGAATGAAAAGTCTGGGTTTCTACTTTTGCTGCAGTTTGACCCTCATGAATCACTTGACCTCTCGGCCTCAGCCTCCTCATGTGTAATCTGGCTTTTGAGCTTGGTTGAATTGACAAGTGGATCTTCAGTAATCAGATTGGTGGGGAGAAAGAGCTGATGGGGATATACAGGCTGACCCTCACAGAGATATTATGGCTGTGTCTAATAGTCCTTGGCAGCATTTGAATGTTCAGAGCCCAGTGAGAACCCATCTTCTTGCTTGGCCACAACTATGGAATCTTATGCTAGTTGTGGACAGTAAATGAGGACAGCCATGTGGTTCCTCTTGATCCATCCCATCACGGGAGGGCCAGAGACAGTAGGAACTGATTCTTGGAGGGGGATTCAGTCCCAGGGAAGCTCCCAAGGCTTCGGGGGTCTCAATTTAGAGGGGAAAGATGACAGAAGGATTTAAGGTAGAATGGGAAGTCTGTCTGAGAAAGCAAGACAAAGGCCTTGTTATGTAGATGTGATCAATTCAAGCGGTGATTAGGGATAGGCTGGCCCTCAGAAGAAAGCAGGGACTCCCAGCTCTTTCCAACTCCTGGTCCTGGGGATGAGGCTATTGGTTCCTTCTAATCTGCTGAAGAGGATATGAGGACTGCTTTGGTTGCATGCTCCCAAATCCAATGCAGTGTTCTTAGGTCTGTTGTTAGCTTCAGCAGGAGAGCCCAAGAGGTTGTCTGCTTCATGAAGCTCTTTTGTGTTTGCCCTTTCCCTCACAGATCAGAGTCCCACAAGTAATGGACCCTCAACTGGTCGAGCTACTATTAGCATTCAAGCCAGATTCAAAGATTTACCTGAATATATTGTTATTTATAAAGCAGTGCAGGTCCTGAAAACTCTGTTACAAACACCCCTCCACTTCTGCCCTGCAACCTCTAGGTTTGGGTATTAGGTCCTTGTGCTATTTTTCAGTGACTGCTTTGAGCTTAGCTGTCCTGATAAACATAGGAATTGTACAGTTGAGAAGGACCCCAGAGTTGAGGAGGAAGTGATTATTGAAATCATAATTTAATTTAAACGTTTATTGACTTCAACAGGCATTATGAACATGCATAGATGGTGCACACCCACACACAAACTTTGGATTGTTAACACCTTCTCAGATGTTACACACACTTATTTAGAAGTCTAAACACTCAGGTTAGCCACGTTCATCTGAATGTTATATTTACTCATTTGGAGTTAGATGCCCAGGTAATACAGATCCTCACTTGGAAATGGTACACCCTCAGATGTAGTGTGCATTTCTTGAGAGATTGTCCACATCCACTCGCATGTCACTCACATGCACTCTGAACTGTCAGGTTCTTACTCAGATGTGTATGTACAACAGGCATGGTCATTGAGCTGCTGTTTACCTGCACTCATCTAAGTGTGGCATATACTCATATGCCCAGCGCTTCCTTTTCGCATGCCTGAAAATTCCTATGCTCAAGAAAATTCAGGGGAAAACTTGCCATATTGAGTGTGTCACATTTTCTTAGGGCAGTTCTCCATAGCCTTTTTTCCTTAATGAAATAGTCCTGTGTCTCTGTCATCTCCCAAGTTGTACTCCTTAATCAAGTGTCTTTAGATGGATAGTCTGATTGAAGGATGGTAGCCTGCAACACGTTTCATTTTTGATAAACCACATGCTGGTTCACTATGCCCTGTTTAAATGATTGGTTTGGGGTCCCCTACTGCAACCACCTCATTAATTCACAGAAGTCTCCAGTGGGTACTCTTTGGGCAATCGATCTTCTGTTTTAGATCATGAGTCCCAGAGATCTGTGCAATAAAGCTCTTCTAAAAGAAGAGCATTTATTCCAGAGAACTATAAACTGTGGGGCATTCAAAGAGATTGAAAAATGTTCTCCAACTTACAAACCTTAAAAGAACTTTTACAAAGAGAGTCTAACATTGGGTATCAGTTGATATTCAATAAAGGATCAGTCATCTCTATTCACACACTAGCATCTTCTTACATCCTTCTAACTTGAAGGGAACAATATGAGATCACTAGACAGGAACTCAAGGCAATCGCTGTTTATCCGATTAGGGTTTCTGCATCCAGGCAGATTTGGTTTCATGTTTGCTTTCAATTTTAATTCAATCCAATTTAATTCATTTGAACAAGCATTCATTGATCACTTGTTGGGTGACAGGCATCCTGCTGGGCAGTATGGGGTGGGGGTGGAGAATGAGGCAGAGATAAGTAAGCAACAATGCCTACTTTGTAAAAGGTCACAATCTAGCCAGTGAAAGAGTAGTCCCATCTCATGATATTGGAAAACAAAGCAGATGGAGATTAGATGAGCTCTAGGGGAACTAAAGAGGGAGGTAATTCATCCAGACTGGACATATCTGGACAGGCTTCATAGAGGAAGTGAAAGACATGCTCAGCCTTTGGAGGAAACCAGAGGTGGCCAGGATGCAGGGCATTGCAGGTAGAGGAAGCATAAGTCAGTAATGCATGAGGTGAGATCCAAAAGATGTCTGTGCAATAGCATGGGGTCTGGAGTAGCTGGAAGATGGGAACACCATGAGAAGACCTTCTAAATGGAAGACAGAAGGCAGGCACAGAGGACTTCAAATGCCAAGATTAGGAGTTCAGATTGTATAATTTGGACAATGGAAGGCCTATGAAAGTGTTTGAAGAGCTATATGATTAGGAAGCCATATGATTAGGATGAGTGATTAATAAATCAAGTGCCTTAGAGGCAAAGAGACTAGTTGAATCTGGGTAAGTGGGAAAGTGTCCAACCAAGGCATTATCAGTGGAAGGAGAAAAGAGAGGTGGGGCAGATGCAAACCTGCAGAAGCCAAATCAACAGACTTCTGTAAGGCTGTTGATTAGGATGAGGAGTGAGAACGAAGGAGTTAAGAACTGAGGATGAGCCCTAGATTCAGATTCTGGCCACTTGTCAGATGCTGCTACCATTTACTAAGAAAGGAAATGTAGAAGGAGGAGCAGACAGGTTTGTAGGGGTTGGGGCTAAGTTGAGTTTTAGATGTGTCTAGTGTGAGCTGGCTCTGAGACAGCTAAGTGGAGGTAAAGTTCTACAACGTGGTAGGTTTGAAAATCTGATGCTCAGGACTGGAGTTTTGTTGTAGACCGAACCAATGCTTCCACATAGGAGAAGTTGGGTTGACACCATTAGAGCTAACAAGCTCATTCTTCCAGAAAGTTGCTCAACCATCTGTGTCTCCTCTTTCCTGTCCAGTGTTTATCAGCTGGTTGTCAAGGAGGAGCGACTTCAGAAGTCACGGAGGGCAGCTGACATTATTGAGTGCTTTTCGGTGCCCGTGAGCTATCGGAATGCCTCCAGCCTCGATTCTCTACACTACTTTGCTGCTGAGTTGAAGCCTGCCAACCTGCCTGTCACCCAGCCATTTACAGTGGGTGACAATAAGACATACAATGGCTACTGGAACCCTCCTCTCTCTCCCCTGAAAAGCTACAGCATCTACTTCCAGGCACTCAGCAAAGCCAATGGAGTAAGTATGGCCACATGGAGGCCATTCCTTGCCTTGTTTGCATTTTTTCATTCTCAAATGATAAGTCAGCAGGGCTCTAGAGCAGAGGATGAAAAACTAAGGCCCGTGGGGCAAATCCTACCTCATGCCTTTAAATTAAAAAAATAATAGTACAGCTATGCCTGTTCATTTACATACTGTCTATGGCTGTTTTGATGCTTAACAGTAAAGTTGAACAGTTGTAACAGAGACTATATGCTCCACAAAGCCTAAGATATTTATTATATGGCTTTTTACATAAAACCTTTGCACACTCCTGTATTAAAGTAAAGAGATGGTGCTTTACTTGAGGAAATTACATGACCTCTCTGATCCTTAAGTTCTTCATATATAATAATAATATCTATCAATTTGCTATCTAGGAATGCACTAATCATGGTTTAGTTGATTAGTGATTAATACGCCCTTTTTCATTGCCATTGGTCACATTAGAAAATAGTGTTTCTCCAAAAACAAAAACAAGGTAACCATTTTTTTTTTTTTTTTTTTTTTTTTTTTTGAGACGGAGCCTCGCTCTGTCGCCCAGGCCGGACTGCGGACTGCAGTGGCGCAATCTCGGCTCACTGCAAGCTCCGCTTCCCGGGTTCACGCAAGGTAACCATTTTTGTGTCAAATATTTCTTTGGTCAAGGATTGGCACCAGTCATAATATTAGAAAATCACAGGGCTGGAAAGCATATCAAAGGTCATTCAACAATCTCAAACACACACAAAACAATGGTTCTATCCATACTACAACACCAATTAACTGGCATTAGTGCTTATTCTTGAATACCTCCAATGACAGAGAACTCATTTATCTCTGAGGTAGCTTTACTGTTTTCTGGAGTAGGGAGTGGGCTGTGTCTCTAAGGAGGCTTTTTAATGTACTTACTGAAATATTTCCTATTGAAGTTTCTATCCATTGTTCTTGATTCACACTCTTAGCATCCTACAAAACCAATGCAACCACCTTCTTGGTTTATAGTCTTTCAGTTACATAAGATCTTTTCTAACACCCTTTTCTTCTCTATATAAATGTGCCCATAAGATTGTCTTTTCTGCAAGCTAAATATCTTTAGCCTGTTTTATTACACAAGTTTGTATTTTCCATCAAGGTGGTCATATTTTCATATTTCTTTTCTTTTCTTTTCTTTTCTTTCTTTTTTTTTTTTTTTTGACACAGTCTCACTCTGTTGCCCAGGCTGGAGTGCAGTGGTGCGATCTTGGCTCACTGCAAGCTCCACCTCCCAGGTTCACGCTCTTCTCCTGCCTCAGCCTCCCGAGTAGCTGGGACTACAGGTGCCCACCACCACACCCAGCTAATTTTTTTGTATTTTTGGTAGAGACGGGGTTTTACCGTGTTAGCCAGGATGGTCTCGGTCTCCTGACCTCGTGATCTGCCCACCTCAGCCTCCCAAAGTGCTGGGATTACAGGCGTGAGCCACCGTGCCCAGCCCCAAAGTGGTCATATTTCTTTTAACAAACACCAACAAATGCTAAGCCCTACAGTTCATATTAAGTTTATGTAGTATGTACCCTCCAAGAGCTTATAGAAATGTAAGGGAGTCTGTCATGTGCCTTGTTATGCAGTGTATAACATGGAGAACTGAGAAGCTTGCTGGAGAAGGGAAGCCTGAGACAGAAGCAAGATTTGGTGAAGTGTGTGGGGAACAGCCTGGGCAGGCTCTGGGTGGCCAAGATTGAGAGTTTAATCTGTCAATGGCAGTCAGTGCTTGGTGAGAAACCCGGATTGAGGAACTAATTAACATTTAGAATGTCCACATACCCATTTAAATTCCACTGTGGTATTTCAGTTCTGCATTTATTACTGGTTCAAGCAACACTCCTCACAGAGAGCATAAGACTACAAAGAGAAGCTGCCAGACTGCCTTCCACCTGTCCATCTGGTCTTCCCGCTGCATGAAGCACTCTGATGTATTGAGCAGGAAGACATAAAAATTGGCAGAAGCATCTGGGACTCATCTTGTTCTCGGTTCTCGGCATCCCACACTGGCCAGTTTATCAGTTCAGCACAACCCTCTAAGAAGGTGTGGCTTTCCCTGCTCTTGGCACATATCAAAAGTTGTGGTTGGGTTTCCATGATGAGATGGGAAAGAAGTAGCTTTACTTTATTCTTCCCACTAAGATACTCAGAAAACCTAGAAATAGAGCATGGCTATAGAACCCGGGAAACCAACAAATGCACATCAGAAGGAATGTCCTCACCATAAGAGTGGTTGGCCCTGAGCCAACCACAGAGGTTTTGTTACAGGAAAGGGGTCCTGATCCAGACTCCAAGAGAGGGTTCTTGGATCTCGTGTGAGAAAGAATTCAGGGTAAGTCCGTATAGTGAAGTGAAAGCAAGTTTATTAAGAAGGTAAATGAACAAAAGAATGGCTACTTCATAGACAGAGCATCCCTGAGGGCTGCTGTTTGTCCATTTTTATGGCTATTCCTTGATATGCTAAACAAGGGTGGATTATTCATGCCTCCCCTTTTTAGACCATATAGGGTAACTTCCTGACATTGCCATGGCATTTGTAAACTGTCCTGATGATGGTGGGAGTGTAGCAGTGAGGTCTACCAGAGGTCACTCTCATGGCCATCTTAGTTTTGGTGGATTTTAGCCAGCTTCTTTACTGTAAGCTGTTTTTATAGCAAGGTCTTTGTGGCCTGTATCTTGTACCGACTTCCTATCTCATCCTGTGAGTTAGAATGCCTTAACCATCTGGGAATGCATCTCAGTAGGTCTCAGCCTCATTTTACCCAGGTCCTATTTAAGATGGAGTTGCTCAGGTTCAAATGCCTCCGACAGTTTGCTCCCCAAACATCATATCAGAGACCTCCCTCTTCAAGACTCAGGGATTTGCCATAGAGGAAAAAAAAAAAAAAAAAAAAAAGGATCTCACTCTGAAACTGCCTCATCTCAGAAGCAGTTTTGACACTGCTTCAGAAATGAACAAGGCCATTTAATTACCTGTGCCTTCTATTCCACACCATGCATATGTACTCTTGCTTTGTAACTAAGATTCCCAGTAACGAAACACAGGCAGGAATGGAATTGGATGAGTGCTTATGCCACATGTCTTGCGGGTGCACTTGACCTCACAGGAACAGACAGGGGAAAAGCAATGGGAGCTGGGCACTCAGAAGGCTGTACTTTTCTGGCAAAGGAAAAACTACACACTGTTTCAAATGACTGTCTTTAGTATTAAATTTTACTGAGAAGAGTTGGGTGAAAGGGTCATTGAAGCAGAACAGCCATTCTCAGTCTAACAAATCTCTGCCTGGTCCCTCTCAAATTTTTCCATATCATAAAGGGCAGCAGACAATGATGTTAAGCCTGGAGGATTTTTGAGGAGAAAGTGTTATAATCCACAAATTCTTTATCAGCCAAGTTGTTGTTCGTGTGCAAATACATCAGAAAGCCATTCTCGGTATCCAGGGGCTCCCACGTTCCCTGCTTCTAATAAATCATTCACAGAGCAATTGACTGAGCAATTAATCAAAATAAAGAAATCAAGAATTGAGAAATGTGGAATACGAAGACCTACAGTGAGCATAAAACTAATTAAACATAGCATTAATGCTCAATAATGGCTCTAAGTGTGTTACAAAATGGAAGGTTAATGTAAAATGTAACTACTTAAGGCAAAGATGCATAATGTAAAAACTTAACAGTTCTAATCTGGATCTATAATTCACTATTTTATCAACAAAAACTAAGACAAAGTTGGAAGATGGATGAATGTAAATAAAAATCTGCTCATTTTCTCATGTTAGACAAGAGGGAATACATAATTACTGTTTTATTTCTGATACTGAGAATACTAAAAAGTATAGTTCTTTTAAACAAAGTCAGCTCTCCAATCTATACTTAAAAAGCTGAGAAACAACAGTCAACGAAGAAAAATGAAGAAAATAAAGAAAACTATAAGTAAACATGAAAATCAAAACTATAAAAAAAGCCAGAAGATGAAAGCACTAGATTTGATATGGGGTGACGGGGGGGTAAAAAAGTGTTGTTTTGCTCCATTGTGAAAGAGAAAGAAAACAGCTTAGGTCAAAGAAAAATCAGAATTACCCATATTTCTGTCACTAAAAGATTAAAGACAAAGGATGAGATAGAGTTATATTAACCTCAAGTGAAAGGAAAGCAGAAATGGGCATTTGTTGCAGGATGGTTGTGAGCCAGGTGGAATAATTTACTATCAGCAAATTTCATTGCTCCCTACTCTACCTGCAAGTTTTAGTCAAGGAAGGGTAGGAGAATTCTGAGGTCTGGACATCTTTGTTCTATGGATGTTAAGGATGGTTTGTCAGGTTAACAGAGTGGCTATGAATTCAACCTTTACTATCAGACTGCCTAGGTACAAAACCCTAGTAGCTGTGTGACTTTCAGTAAACTACTAAAATAATTAGATATGATGGATTAATTAAGGAAACATCTGTCAAGCACATGCAATATGTCAAAAAAGGCATTTTTCTGAGTGCTGAGAATGCAGCAGTGAGTCAAGCAAAGATCCCTGATCTCATCGTGTTTTCATTCTAGTGGGGGAGAGAACAAAAATAAATAAGTGAAATAATGTATCGAATAATGAATCCTTAGGTTTCACATTAGGAATGTGGAAGTCAGTCATTAAATGTTTACTATTATCAGCATGAGGATAAAGACATTTTATAGACTCTTTGTTGATCTGTGAATATGAAGTATTTTAATCCAGCCATGTGAACACCATGCAGAGTTCAAGTGTGGCATGCACTATAAGATATGTTGCTCAGGGTTCTTGCAGGCATTTTCATGACACAAGAGTTGTTCACAGGCACTTGTGTTGGGAATTTTGTTCCAATTAGTAATCTCACATTTATCCATTGATGCCTTCTTACAGATAAAAATGTAGTCCCATTTGTCCTGGCACACTGTCTTTGGTGCCTAATTCACAACACCTGTCTCTTATGAATTAGACCATGTTGTAACCATTTGTTTTGGATATAGCAATATTATAGAACTATAGCATCATAGAGTAGGAAGGACTTTGAAGTGTCATCTAGTCTAGACGAGAAGCCAAAAAAAAAATCTCCAATAAAGCATTCTTAGCAACACATTGTATTGCTTCAGCTTGATCAATGCAAATTGCTGGAGTGAAAGGGAGTTGATTCCTTTGTGGAGCAGGTAAAATTGTTAAAGCTTTTTTCCCATATAGAGCTAAATTCTGTCTCCTTGACTCTCCCCTTGTAGCCACTTGTATTGGTTTGAACAAATCAAAACGTTCTTTCCTTTGTTAGCCTTTCAGAGAAAATAAGACAGTACCAACTACCCTCCTCTGGCCACTCAAGTTATTTCTCATTGATAATTAACATGCTATTACTTCTTTTATTTTTCACATGGCATAATTTCTGGGTATCCTTCATCCTACTTACCCTTTTCTCTGATAGGCTCATTTTCCCCATCATGTTCTCCTCAAAAAGAGTTGCCCAGAACCTATCACTGTTCTTCAGATATGGTTCAGACATGCCTGCTAGATTTTAACTAAGCCTCGTGTCTTGAACCTTTCCTAAGACATTATTTCTCAAACATTCCAACATGTTTTTCACTTTGGGGTCTTAATTCAGGGTGCATTTTACCTACATCTGTCTTTTCTTCACTGTTTGCAGAGCTAGTACCTTCTCATTTTTCAGGCCTGAGTTTCAATCTCACATCTCCAGAGAAGAGTCCAACCATATTACCTAAGAACCACCCACCAGCACTCACTCATATGTTAACCCACTATCTTTCTATATTACACTAGATATATATGTATTTTATTTGCACATGTTGTTGGGTACTGCATGCCTCCCACAGCATGCTGAGAGCTCCAAGAGTGATGAATTGTGGTTGGTGTGTTTGGGTTTTTTGTTTTTTTAGCTGCTATATCCTCCATGCTGAGTGTACTATTTAACACATAATAGACACCTAATAATCATTTGATGGATTAATGAAAGAATGAGACTATGAACTGTTTCTTGTTGTCTATGAATCTGTTTCCTCACTTATAAATTGAAATAGTAATATATACTTCACACAGTCTGTTTGAGGATTAAATAAGAAAAAGATATTGAATAATGAAAAGCACCAAGTAGGTGTCAGTACAGTCTGAATTTCCATTCAGCGTAGAATGAGAGATGTTGTTTGAGCCATTTTCACCATAGATAAAAGAGTCCTAAAGGACCTTTTTTCTCCATCATAGTAGTAAGATTTTTTTCCCCAGATGTCTCATTTCCCAAGCTCCAGGCTCCTGGGCAGCCTTGATTTCCTCCAAATCCTCCAAATGGTACCCAGGGTAGCTGTCTCAGTTCTAAACAGCGGGTGGGTGCAGTTTCGCATTGTTTGTTTCACACTCTTCCCAGAATGAGGTCTGCTGAATCTACTGTTCTCTGCATCCTCACCACCATTAGCCGTAATTGTGAAGTTGAAAGGACCATAATTAACGGTTGGATGCAAAACAAGTGTGGCAAACTCATGCAAATATCCATCAGAAGCCACCTTTTGTTGGGCAATGCTGTTATGCATGTTCTATTTATGCAGAGGATAAAAGTCTTTTCTTGTCATATCCTTTCCATCATGTAGGGGTACATTTAACCTGGATGATGCCTCTGCCAAATGCTAAGCTAAATAAGAGAAGTGGGAAGTAGCAGGGTGATTGTTCTCTCTCTCCTACTTCCTCCTCCAGTTCTTGAACTCAATTGCCTCTTGAGAGCACTTGGAAACCAGATGCTGTGTTGAATTGGTCATGATGCTTGCAGTATAATCACGTTATAATAGTGGGGATTATCTAGGTAGAGCTAGGTTAGGGAAAATTCTGTGTCTCTGAATGAATTGGGAGAAATTATATTCACTTGTGTCCAACCACTGTTAAAGAAATGGTTGCACATGGATGGGTTTTCTGTGGCATGATAGAGTGGAAAGAACTGAGAGTTGAGCATCAGACAGACTTGGCTTTGAATTTTGGCTGCTCTCAGCTATGTGAACTTGAACAGTTTACTTAACATCTCAAGATGGAAAATATGATTAATGATCTGCCTCAAAAAAATCGGGAGAGAGTAAATTAGACAATGTATATTAAAGTATCTTATCGCATTACAGTTGGACTATTTGTTCTTTTTTCTTTTGGCTGCTTTCCAGAGGCTCCTCTTCTGAGGGGGAAGAGGGTTGGAGCATCCTTACCTGGCATATACCGATTTGTCCAGTAAACTCCACATAGAAGCACACACCTTCCTAACTTTGGAGGACTTTAGGACTTGTGTCTGTGTCCCAGCTGATGACCGCCTTGACTCACCCATGACTCACCCCAGGCTGTATTCCTCTTAGTTTAACTTCTCATACATGGTTTTGTCACTGGAAAGGGGTCCGGATCCAGACCCCAAGAGAGGATTCTTGGTTCTTGTGGAAGAAAGAATTCTAGGCAAGTCCACGCAAGTTTATTAGGAAAGTTAAGGAATAAAATAATGGCTGCTCCATAGACAGAGCAGCAGTATGAGCTGCTGGTTGGCCATTTTTGTGGTTATTTCTTAATGATATGCTAAAAAAAAAGGGGTGGATTATTCATGAGTTTTCTGGGAAAGGGGTGGGCAATTCCCGGAACTGAGGGTTCCTCCCACTTTCAGAACATATAGGCTAACTTCTTGATGTTGTCATAGCACTTATAAACTGTCATGGTGCCGGTAGAAGTGGCTTTTAGCATGCTGATGCATTATAATTCGCATATAATGAGCAGGAGAATGACCAGCCGTCACTTTTGTCACCATCTTGCTTTTGGTGGGATTTGGCCGGCTTCTTTACTGCAACCTGTTTCATCAACAACATCTTCATGACCTGTATCTCATGCCAACCTCCTGTTTCTTCCTGTGACTTAGAATGCCTAACCTCCTGAGAATACAGCCCAGTAGGTCTCAGCCTTATTTTACCCAGCCCCTATTCAAGATGGAGTTGCTCTGGTTCAAAGGTCTCTGACAGTTTCAAGCCTGATATCTGTTCCTGTTGAGTCTTTTGGCACAATTGATCTTATCTTTTGGTTATGATATTGCCCTTTCTACCCCATTTCTTATTTCTCGTGTTAGTTCAGTGACTGTTCGCATGTCCTTATGAAAACCTCAGATAGACATGGAATGAGAAGCTGTAGATATAAGCTCTAGAGGGTTCGAGTTAAGATCATCAGGAGATCACATGGCAGTTTGGGTCTTGGATACCCCATCAGGAAGTTTATTTGAAAACTCCTATATTGGTTAAGATAAGCTAAATTATTCTGTAGTAACAACAACAAAATCTCACTGGATCACTTCTGCTATATATTTGAAATGGGTCAGCAGAGGGTCTCTGCTTGTTGCAGGCAGAGACTCAGGCCAACAGAATGTCCATCTTGACACCACCACCAAGTCTGAGAAAGAAAAATGTGGCAAATAGAGCATTCGTTCTACAAGTTTCCATACAAAGTGGTGCATAGCATTTTCACATTCCACTGGCCAAGGCTAACCACATGGCCACACTTAATTTCAGAAAGAATAAGGCAGTGCCTTCTATATGCCTAGGAGAACTGGAATATTTGAGAACTTCCCCAATGACTACCACAATTTTCCATGATGACTAAGCCTCCCCTTCATATTCTTATAATACCCAGACTTGCTCCTGAAGCACCTGGGCAGTTCATACCACAAATCCTGAGGAATTTCAATTGCTTGAGCATCTGCTGTGTCTCAGATATTAAGCAAGGTGCTTTCACCTATGCTGCTTCCTTGATTGGTCTCACAAAGTGACTACATTTTTTCAGTAGATGGACGAACACCTAGAGGCTCCTGGAATCCCATGGGGTCTCAGTTACTTCACACTGAAGGAGGGATTTTAGTAACAGCTTTTCCCCTTTACCTCCATGGAGGAATGGTAAAGAAATGCCTGAAACTCAATGTGCTCCTGTTCCACCCTGAAAAGCAACGGTCTTCCAATGCTTCTATAACTCAGCAGACCTTAGACCTGTACCACCCATCGGTAGCTGAGCCAAGGCAACAGAGAGCTGTGACCCAGAGGCCCCCACGTAACCGTTTGCTGACTTGTCACTATAGTCTATGTAAGGAATCGATTCCTGGATTTTATTAGCTCTGCAGAGCCCTGTTGAAGTGGAGAGGAAGACTGAACTAGACACTTTGATTCCAGGATTATCATCACAACCTTTCCATTACTCCTTAGGAAAATCTCAATCGGGTAAACATCCACTCACAGCTCTTGTCTGTCACCAGAGCCTAGGTTCCATGCCCCATTTATCTGCCTAGAACTCTTTCCCAGTCCTCAGTGGACTCCATCTCCTGGGGCTTACCCACTCACTTGGGCATCCCTGCTTCCAGGCCTCCATTCCATTGTTTGAGCCTTAAAACTCTAAACCCCTGCTGGAGCTCTGTTGGGGCCCAGACTTCTCTCCTTAGGTAAGATAGAAATTCCCCAAGTGTCACCTTGTACAGATACCAAGATGAGCTCTCCCAGGTTGCTAATTTATTTTTTCATCCACTTACAGTTTCTACAGATTTTATTATCATGGTATGAGACCTGAGGGAGCAGGAACATTTTCCTTCCCATGCAAATATACTTTAAATTCATTTGGAAAGGGAGATGAAGGTTACCCAAATGTTGACAGCTGATAATCTTGTCAGCCTGGGCCTTCAGGGATAAATGCTCCAGACTCCAGTCCCAACAAAGTTCATGGAAATAGCAGCCTCAGTTTCTATATAGCAGCATCTCTGCCTCCATCAGGCCCCTACAATGTAAGGAACCTCGTGAAGCTTGGACTGATTGCCCTCAGATGGTGAAAAAGTAGAGAAACTTCTGAATTTGGAAATGGTATCCATGGGTTTTAGAACTGGCTTTTCCGTTTCTTAGCTCCATAGACAGAATACTTGCCTGCCAAACCTCAGTTTCCCCTCTGTCAAACAGGGATGAGATGTGTCCTTCAAGCTCACTAGGACCTTTGTAACAAGTAAATGGTAGGCGTGATAACTCTTTGCAAAGGACCTTTCAGGTAAAGGTATACTTGCTAAAACACACACACACACATACACGCACACACACACGTGCACACACATGTTAAAACTGATACTCAATTCAGTTATTGGAAAACTTTGAAGTATCTTTGGTGGAAACACTTGGGTATGTGAATCTAAATTTTTAACTGTAAATTTTATGAAATTTATATACAGAACAAGAATTCAGCATATGTGCATATACACATAAATATTTTAGCATGCATATATATAGATGTATGTGTATATATGAGTATGTATGTATACATGTTCAATTAAAATTTTTTTTTTTTACTTTTATTTTATTTTTTGAGACAGAGTCACACTCTGTTGCCCAGGCTAGATTGCAGTGGCATGATCTCAGCTCACTACAACCTGCCTCCCAGGTTCGAGTGATTCTCCTGCCTCAGCCTCCCAAGTAGCTGGGACTACAGGCATGCATCAACATGCCTGGCTAATTTTTGTATTTTTAGCAGAGATGGGTTTTCACCATGTTGACCAAGCTGGTCTCGAACTGCTGACCTCAAGCAATCCTCCTGCCTCAGCCTCCCAAAGTGCTGGGATTACAAGCAGGAGCCACTGCACCAGGCCCTAGAATAAAAAGTTTAAATTAGTCTAAGAATCTTATAGTGGAATAAAGAGTAATCATTGCACCAGAGGCCTAGTATAGGTGGTTAGCGCAGGGTACACTATCTGTATCTCCTGAGCTTCCTCGAAGCCAAGGAAAAAAAGAGCAGGTGGCAGGTTTGCATAGCTTCTCTTACTTGAAGGAAGCATACATATTTTTCATGAAAGACACTAAGAGGGTGATTTATCACATATATCCTTGTATAAGAAGCCCTGAGTTGATGCTGGTCAATGTCATCAGAACATTTTTGCTCAAACACTCAATTAGTCCCTCTTATATCAATCCTATGAAATCTGAGGTTAAAATATAAAAAGTTAATGGAGACATTTGCACTCACGGATTCTATTTCTTGCACTATAAAATGGCATTAATGCTATTAAATAAGATTAGTGAATTTCCAAGTTTGTTTCACCTCAGCATTTTTGATTAATATGTCTAGCATGGGGTCTTTCCTGTTGCATAGATTGTCACTGACCAGCTACATGACCTTAGGCAAGTGACTTAGGCTCTCTGAGTCTCTTCTTCTTTTGGAAAACATTAACACCCATAGTATCAACTTTATAAGAATGTTTCTAAATATTAAATAATAAGATGAATAAAACACTTATCACGGGGCTTGGCATGCAATAAACATCCAATTAATGTCAGATATTGCTATTACATATCACAGGTGGGATAGAGCATAGAGGTACACTCAGGAAAGAACAAGCAGAATCCACAGGGGCAGAGTTTTTAAACCCATGGATCAAATTTGAATAGAGTATGAACATGACGTGGGATCAGGGAATTCAGGAGGAGGAAAAAAATTAGTGAAGTCCAGGGTTTCCAGAGACGGCAGCTGACACACTGGCTGCCTGAAAGAAAGAGAGGGATTGAGATGTCAAAGGAAGTTTGGGAATGTCGTACTTACGGAGAGGCAAGTGGAGAAGTGGGACAATTCTTCTGCAGTCCCTTTCCTCCTAGAGGCTGAATTTTCATCAAGTGTCATCTTTTACATCATGGTCCTCAAGTTTGCAAACCCATAAATGCAATTTATTGGGCTACACAGTTGAAGAGATTGACATGAACCATATGTACAAGACACTGATGAAAATAGTAGGCAATGATTCATTCATCTCCTTCAAAGTTATTCCTGCATCTTTCCTATCAGCAAAGTCTGGGTTTCCTGCTATACATCACCTTCTATATTCAGCCATCACCAAGTTCTCTTTGTTCTACACTCTGAAGCTCTCTCTAATCCATGCACTTTTCTCATCTCCAGTGCCACCATCGTAGTTCTGGATAGTAACATCTTCTGCCTGGACAACCTCAACAGTCTCCTAACGCTTCTTCCCACATCCACGATTGCTTGTCTCAAACAGATTCTCGAATCACAGCAAGTGTAAATTGGCACTATATGTATTCTCATTTAACACACAAGCAAGCCAAGGCTGTGAGAGGCTATGATTTGCTGAAGCATACTCCAGAAACAAGAGAACGAGCTGGGGTTGAATCTGTGCATGTGAAAAATGCAGTTAAAAGTCCTATGCATTTACTGCTCCGTTTCATGCCGAGCCCTAGTCCCACAAGATAGCTTCATAGAGGAATATGGGTGCACTAGAACCAGGAGGGTCCCAAATCCCTTATGCACTCATATTTTTCTTTTCCTCCCGCCAAACATGGCCAGCCTAAGTCCCTCAGTCAATCTTGAAACACCTGCTGGCCCTGCCATTAACATCAACAAATAGTGAGGAGCTGTACTAATAACAATTATCATAATAAATTGGCCTTTGATTACATCTGTCACCTGAGAATTTCAAAGACTTTACAAACATCAATTAGTAATTACAGCTCAATGGATCTCTTACAGAGCAGGAATCATTAAGGTCAGATAAGAGCTGCGCAGGGAAGCATGAAGGACTGCTCTGGTTTGGGTTGGTTTAAACCAGGGGGTTGCCAGCTCCTAATAGAAAGTCTAAGTCCCTCTTCATGAGGTGCAGAGAAACTACATTTCCAACTTCTCAATTAGGGGATAGTTTGTACACAGCCTCAAAGTCCTATTGTTGAGGAATGGGAAGTATAAAATGCAGTATTGGAAGGGAGCTTATTGATTGTCCAGTTCTCTTCTTTCAGCAGATAAAAGGAAACTGAAGTCCAGTATGGGGAAGTTATTTGCTCAAGATCAGAGCCATGGCTTAAACCCAGTCTCCCACACCCCATTTGCATTTGTTTACTCTGCAGAATTGTGCCTTCATTGGTCATGAGCTCCTCTGTAAGGAGATATGAATGATGATGATAAAACCCCAAAAACCCACCAATTATTTATTATGGGCTTGTTGTGAGTCAGTTGGGAATACAGATAAATAAGTTACAGTTCCTGCCCTCAGCGAACCCACAATCCAGTGGAGAAGACAGCCATGAAGACAAATGTGGGCAATAAATTATCAGCAATCCCAGTGGCAGAATACCTGGTGTGTTCAGCTATAAACCTGGAGGTAGAGGGGATGAGGAGGTGCCTAGGAAAATCTTGTAGAAGAAGTGACATTTGACTTGGCTATTAGAAGGTAAGTGGATATTTTCCAGGTAGACAGTGGGGCAGAGGAAAGTGTATGTTTTGCAAAGGAAGCACCTGAGCAGAAGCCCCAAAATTGGGGATTCCCTGATACATTTGGGAAGACAATCCCGGTGTTGGTTCCGGGATATGGAATGAAGCCCAGAGAGAGGCAGATATCAAATAATGCTGGGCTTTGTATGCCATGCTAAAATACTTGGCATTTATTCTGTTGAAAACAGGGAAAAGAAAAAAAAATTGTCTTGCCTATAATCTCAATATCAATTTATTAGAATCATAAAGTCATGCATATATATTTGCATCCTTAAGGCACTTGTGCTCACAAAATTTTGTTTACCCTAGAGAGTTGTACAGAGGGTATTGCTCCCATTCTACAGATGAGAACACTGTAAGTCAAAAAAAATAAGGAATGTACCCAATGTCACTCATGTTGGGAAAAACAAAATTTGAATGTCTCAATTTTTTATTGATGACATACTCCATATGTATTGTTCTCACCTTTAAAACACACGTTGTTAGCTAAGAAACGTTTCACACATACAAAAGTCAAGATGATAACAGACTGATCTGTATGTGCCCGTCACTCAGCTTCAACAATGATCATCAACCCATCGTCAAATTTGTTTTTGTTCCAACTTACTTTCTCTTCCACCAATATGTCTAACTCCTTTTTTTCAAGGTAGTTTCAAATGCACAGAGATGTTTCAAGAATAGTGTAAAGAATGTTAATAAGCTCTCTATACAGATTCCCTAATTGCTAACAGTTTACCACAATAGATTTACCATCCCATTTTCTCTCTCTCCCTCTCCTGTTCTTTCTCTTCTTCCCCTATTTGTCTGTTTGTCTATCTATCTGTCTATAAATCACCCCTTTACTCCTAAATGCTTTAATGCGCAATTTCCAACATAACTACAATACAATTACCAGGAAATTAATGTCCACATAATACTACTAGCCTCAGTTTTGCCAATTGTCTCAGTCATATACTTTTTAGTAAATTTAAACAATAACAAAAAAAAACCTGGTCCAGGGTCACATGTTGCCTTTAGTTGTCAGGTCCCTTTAGAGTTCTCATATCTGTCTTGCCTTGACTTTTATGCCCTTGACTCTTAAAAATTACAGACCAGTTATTTTTTAGAATGTCCCTCAAGTTGGGTTTGTCTGAGGTTTTCTCAAGATTAGATTCAAGTTATGCATTTTTGTCAGGAATACCACAAAAGTGATGTTGCTTCCTTCTCAATGTGTCATACTAGGTGGCACATGATATCAGTTTGTTCCATTACTGGTGACATTAACTTTGATTACTTAAACTGTTGTCCATTAAGGTTTTCTCCACTATAAAGCTACTATTTCTTTGTAATATATAAGTGTTTTGTACACACATATTTCTAGACTATGTAAAATCTTCTTCAAACTTTCATCTTTTAGCATTTGCTGATATTTTTTGTTGAAATCAACTATTACAAAGATGTTTGCCATTAGGTATATCTCCCAATGCTATCCCTCCCCCTTCCCCCCACCCAACAACAGACCCCAGAGTGTGATGTTCCCCTTCCTGTGTCCATGTGTTCTCATTGTTCAATTCCCACCTATAAGTGAGAATATGCGGTGTTTGGTTTTTTGTTCTTGCGATATTTTACTGAGAATGATGATTTCCAATTTCATCCATGTACCCTAAAACTTAAAGTATAATAATAATAAATAATAATAATAATAATAATAATACAAATAAAAAGATGTTTGCCAAATGACAATTTTCTAATTCCATCATTTGTTCCACATTTATTAGTGGACATCTATTCCGAGGATGAGTTCTCCTTTCTCCCCTATTTTCAATGTATTAATTTATTTATATTGATAAAAATTTATAGATTCTTCTTTTATTCAGTTGGTTATACTTCAGTACTATCATCATTTACTTTTATGCTCAAATTGTCCCAGAATTAGCTAGTGTGAGCCCCTTCAAGATGGTTCTTTTGTCATTCTGAAATGTCTCCAGCAGTTCTTGAAAACTTATTTTCTTTCTGACAGAATCTTGTGCTTCCTTTGCCCCAGCTCTGGTTCCTTTAAATGGGGAATGGTACTTATTATAGAAACTCAGACCTGGGAACGAGTGGGAATCATTGTTAGTGAGTACCACTGATTCTAGGCTCTTTGTCTATGTATCCCTCTACCTGTCTATCCATCTATCTTTCTGTCTATTTTTTTTTTTTTTTTTTTTTTTGAGACGGAGTTTTGCTCTTTTGCCCAGGCCGGAGTACAATGGCGTGATCTTGGCTCACTACAACCTCTGCCTCCCAGGTTCAAGTGATTCTCCTGCCTCAGCCTCCTGAGTAGCTGGGATTACAGGCACCGGCCATCATGCCCAGCTAATTTTTTTATTTTTAGTAGAGACGGGGTTTCACCATGTTGGCCAGGCTGGTCTCAAACACCTGACCTCAGGTGATCCACCTGCCTCAGCCTCCCAAAGTGTTGGGATTACAGGCATGAGCCGCCACACCCAGCCTTTAGCTATCTATCATAAAAGGCAAAAGTGGCCGGGTGCGGTGGCTCACGCCTGTAATCCCAGCACTTTGGGAGACTGAGGCAAATGGATCATGAGGTCAAGAGATCGAGACCATTTTGGCCAACATGGTGAAACCCCATCTCTACTAAAAATACAAAAAATTAGCTGGGCGTGGTGGTGCATGCCTGTAGTCCCAGCTACTCGGGAGGCTGAGGCAGGAGAATCGCTTGAAACCAGAAGGCGGAGGCTGCAGTGAGATGAGATAGCGCCACTGCACTCCAGCCTGGGCAACGAGAGTGAAACTGTGTCTCAAAAAAAAAAAAAAAAAAAAAAAGGCAAAAGTTCATGATACCTCCATTCTAGTCCAACATCAAGGAGTTTATTCCAGCCTTCACTCTTCCCATTTCTGTAATTCCCTTCTCTGACAGTGAGAAGCTTAACTTCATTATTATTCATATATTTACTTATTGTTCAACATAGAATACTCAAGAAGTATTTCCAGAAATATTAATCTTAGCAAAACAAACCTACTAACTAGGGTTCAATATATATTTTCTGTTCTCTCTTCAGTCTAAATATATGCAAACCGTTGTGTTGAAAATTATTTGGTTTATTTTTTTTCTTTCACTAGAATATGGTTATGTATTTATTGGAAATTAAGTTAGGTTTGTTTATGACTCTTTGTTTTTAATTTTAGTTTCATTTTGCCCATCCCTGTTGATTTCTTAATATGTAAAACATTATAACGTGGTTCTAAAAACATTATAACGTGGTTCTAAAAGCCTAGCTGTACAAACAAGTGCATACAGAAAAGCACATATCACTTCTTTTACATCACCTCTACCATCCCCTGTTGGAAACCAATGTCATTAATTTCTTGGCGGTTTTTTTTTGTGAAAATTTTGAAGTCAATGTATGTTATATTTCCCCTTCTTATAGAAAAGCTAACATACTATAGATACTTGGGTATCACTTTATATTATTTCATAAATGTCTTCCTTATTTTTTTTTTACAGCTGCACAGTACTCTTTGTTTTGTTTTGTTTTGTTTTTTTGAGACAGAGTCTTGCTGTGTCACCAGGCTAGAGTGCAGTGGCATGATCTTGGCTCAACTGCAACCTCCCCCTCCTGGGTTCCAGCCATTCTCCTGGCTCAGCCTCTCAAGTGGCTGGGATTAAAGGCACCCACCACCATGCCCAGCTAATTTTTGTATTTTTAGTAGAGACAGGGTTTAACCATGTTGGCCAGGATGGTCTCTATCTCCTGACCTCATGATCAGCCCGCCTCAGCCTCCCAAAGTGCTGGGATTACAGGCGTGAGCCACCGCGCCCGGCACAGTACTCTATTATGTGATTATAGCTGTTTATTTGGCCACTCTCATGTGTGGCTATATTGTTTTCAATATCTTTCAGTTGCAAATGTTGCTGCATCAAGGAACTTGTGCACATATATTTTTGTATTGTTGAAGGTGCGTCTTCAGAGTGAATTCCTAGAAGAGGAATTGTAGGATTAAAGGGTGGACTAATACACAGTTTTGCTAGATGTCACTAAATTTCCTTCCTTAAGGGTAAAACCAACTTGCATTTGTCCCAGCAATGTATGACTGTTTCCTCACTGCCTTGTAAACAGTTTGTGTGGTCTAACTTTCATTTTTGTCACACTTACATGTAAGAAATTATATCTCAATATAGCTTTAATTTCCTTTTTCTTATAAGTGAAATTGCTATATTCTCCTATACTTAATAGCCATTTTTATGTAATTTTTGAATTACCTGTTTATGTCTTTTGCTCAATTTTCAGTTTGTTTTTTACTTTTTCTATCAATTTTTAAAGTTATTTATATATCAGAGATATCAGTACTTTATCTGTGATATATGTTGCAGTTTTTTCCAGTTTGTGATTTATCTGTTGACTTTGCTTATATTTTTGCCACAGCAAATAAAATGTTGTCAGATGAATCATTTTTTTTCTTTTATTACATTTAAACTTTGAATCACAGTTAAAAAGTTTTTTCTTACACTCAGGCTATAAAGGAATTTACCCATGTTTGCTTCTAAGTCTTATGTATTTTAGTATTTTTATATTTAGTTTTCTGATGTTTGGTCTTTGTTTTTGTGTGTGATGTAAATTATGGATCTAATTTTTATCTGTTTTCCCAAATGTCTGTCTAGTTGTCTTAGCAACATGTATTTAAAAGTCCATTTTTGTCCCGATAATTTGAGATGCTGCTTTTCTCATATTTTAAATTTTCATATGTTCTTGGGTGTTTTTCTGGATGTCGTATTCTATCCCACCAGTCTATGTGGCTATTTACGCAGCAGCCCCACACTGTTATAATTATGGGATCTAAACTTTAATGTCTGCGAGGGAAAGTTCCCCATCGAGATTTCCTTTTTCAGTGAGTTTCTAGCTCTTCTTGCATGTTCCCTATAAATTTTAGTGTCCACTTGTCCAGATTCATAAAAAGTCTATTAGTAATTCTGGGATTGCATTAAATTTATACATTAATTAGAGTGAAATGACATCTTTAAGATGTTGAATTATCTTACCTGAGATAAGGGATGTCTTTCTATTTGTTCGAGTCTACATTATCTTTCATGGGTGCTGTAAAGTTTTCTTTATACAGGTTTTGTGTGTTCTTGCTATTAGCAAGTATTTCATCTTTGTTGCCATTGTAATGGGGTTTTGCTACCCTTATGTCCTCTGAGTATTGGTTTTATATATGACTACTATTGACTTTGTAAATACATTATGTTTTTGGGGGCATAGATGTTTATACCTATTATATTCTTTGTTAGCTGTGGATTTTAGCAATAAAAAGTATCCTTTGCCATGTGTAATACTTTTTTAGTTGAATTCTTGTTTTATATCAGGATCACTACTATATCTTTATTATTTTTTCATTTACTGTTTATAGCTTATTTCATTCCTTCCTTTTTACTTTTCTGAAGAAAATTATTTTGTTCACCTTTTTTTGAAATTTTTTAAATTTGTATTTTTGAGGGTACATAGTAGGATATATTTATATATTTCTTTGTTTATGGGGTAAATGAGACATTTTGATACAGGCATGTGATATGAAATAAGTACATCATTGAGAATGGGGTATCCATCCCCTCAAGCATTTATCCTTTGAGTTACAAACAATCCAGTTACACTCTGTTATTTTAAAATGTACAAATAAATTATTATTGACTATGTTTGTTGTAGCACTGTTTACAATAACAATGTTTTAGATGTGACTTTTATACATAGAAGGTAGTTGGGTCTTGTCTTGTAATCCAAATGAATATCTTCTACATTTCAGTACTTGAGTTAAATCATTAACATTTGGTGATATGACTGAGATATCTCAACTCTGCCATATATTTTTATGTCATAATTTACTATATTAATTTTATAATACTTTCTGGTGTGCTTTCTTTACTCTTTTATTTTAAAATTTCATTTGGTATTTAGGAAGTCTTGTATTTCTGTTCTAGTAGTTACCTTTGTTCTTTTATATTATTTAACACTTTTTTTTTTTTTTTGAGACAGAGTCTCGCTGTGTTACCCAGGCTGGAGTGCAGTGGTGTGATCTCAGCTCACTGCAAACCGTGCCTCCCAGGTTCAAGCAATTCTCCTGCCTTAGCTTCCTGAGTAGCTGGGATTACAGGCACGTGCCACCACACCCAGCTTATATTTGTATTTTTAGTAAAGACGGGGTTTCACTGTGTTGGTCGGGCTGGTCTCGAACTCCTGACCTCATGATTTGCTTGCCTCAGCCTCCCAAAGTGCTGGGATTACAGGCGTAAGCCAGGGCACCTGGCCTATTTAGCACTCTTAATCCCATCTTTTCTTGTTTAATCTTTTGCTATCTGGTTTGTCAGATTTTTCTGGTATCCATTAACTTTCACATATTGCCTATATTAGTTCGTTCTCACACTGCTATAAAGATATTACCTGAGACTGGGTAATTTATAAAGAAAAGATATTTGTTTGACTCACAGTTCCACATGGCTGGGGAGGCCTCAGGAAACTTACAGTCATGGCGGAAGGAGAAGCAAACATGTCCTTCACAAGGTGGCAGAAGAGAGACGTGCGAAGCAAAGGAACTAGAGCCCCTTATAAAACCATCTGATCTCATGAAAACTCACTATGACAAGAATAGCATGTGGGAACCACCCCTATGATCCAATCACCTCCCACAAGGTCCCTCCCCCAACACATGGGGATTACAATTCAAGATGAGATTTGGGTGGAGACACAAAGCCAGACCATAGCACTGCCTGTACAACAATAAATGACCTAATACTACTCTTCTCTTTCCCTATTTCTTCCTCTTTCTCTCTCTCTCTCTCTCAATTTTTAGTTGTATTATTTCTGCAATGACAGAAAACATAACATTTATATATCCTACTTTCATCCAACCCCTACCTTATTTCAGTCTTAGATTTACAGTTAAACATATTAAACTTTTACCCATCAGTCCTTTTGCTGAAGTTTCCTCAGTCGTATTTTTTGGATGAACTTATCTTCTGTAGATCCTTCAAGAAAGACAAGTACAGCATGCCCTGGCTTTTTGAATGTTGAAAGCTACTTTTCCATAGCTTTGCTATATGAAAAACACATGGCTAGCTATGAAGTCCTTGGTTAATATTAATACTTTCTCTGAGCTTTTGGAAAATGCTGCCACATTGTTTTCTTGCTTTGCATGCTGTTTTTGAGAAGTATCATGATAGTCTAATTCTCTTGCATGTGTACATTATTCAATCTCTTTGGCTTTGAGAGTATTTATTCTAAGTTTAATAGTTTACTAGGCTGTGTCTTGGAGTTGATCTTTTCAGGTGCATTTTCCCCAGGGTACTGTGCACTCTTTCAGTATAGAGGCTTGGGACTTCTTTTACTTCCAATAATTTTTCTTGGGTTATTGTCATAAAATATTTACCTACCTATTTTGTCTCTCTGCTCAGAAATTTCACTATATATATGTTGGATTTTCTTTGCCTTACTTTTAAACCACTTTTTCACCAATCCTTGTTAATTTTTTCTATATCTCATTTCTGTTGTCTTTGTTGGGTTTCTGTCTTTCTTTAGTGCCCCTTATTAAATTGCTGTTTTTGACATCTGGTAATTTAATCTTCATTTCTGAGGTGATCTTTTAAAAATTTCTCTCCTGAGTTAAATCAACTTTCTTTTTATTTTTTCCTGATCTTTTGTATATTTTGGTTTTTCACTTGTGCTTCTGTAAGTCAAAGTTGTTTGAGGATATTTAATTCAGTTTGTAATATTACTTCTAGACTGTTTTCTTGTTAGGGGTAGATTTTCATCATTTGTGGTGTTTTGACATTTTCTGTTTTCTTCATCTAGTAGCTTTATTAGGCTCTTTCAAATTTTAAAAAATTTTTTAGATTTAAAGTGGCTTATACGATTCTCAGTTCAGAAACAGTTTGTTCTGACTGGATAGTAAAGTACAGGTATTTTTTTCAGTCGATGATTTTGTGTGTATGTCATAGGGAATGGGTGTAGGTTCTGACTTTTTGTTTTTATTCTAGCTTTTGTGATTCTAAAAATTCCCACTTTGCTTCCTTTTTTCCTTCAATCTCCAATCTTCCAAGAGTACTTCTCCCTTCTTTTTATCTCATTTTCACCCATTGAACCTATTTCACCTGTTGAACACTACCACCTTGAGTCACATGTTCTTTCAAGTCCTTTTCCTGTACTCTTAGTTTTGATCTACCAGGAATTGTTTTAGCACTTTCATGTGTAGTGTGGTCTTTGTCTTTCTGGAACGTATTTTAGATCAGCCATGTACTCTCTGCTAGCTTACCTCTTTTCTCTTCCAAATTGTTTTTACATAGCTCTTGTTCTCCACATAGGATGACAAGGGTGATTGTGTTGAAAGCTTTAGAGATATTTCATTTATATCTGGTTCTTCTTTTTGTACCAAACAGGCCTATGACATTTTAAGACTTCTCTATACATTAATTATGCTGAAATTGTGGATTTTGTACAATTTTATTTTTTTCTTCTTTTCCTGTGTTGTTTTTGAATCATATGTGGGAAAATTTGGTGTTAAATAGTTACCAATTTCTTCAACTACCCAGATCCAACATGAATTAATGGTTGATTGACTGTGGGAAGTCACATATCTAGAAAAATCAATAATGACTCCTAGGTTGTTTGCTTAATCAACTAAGTAGATGATGGTGACATTTATTTAAACATGGAAAATTAGTGGTGAGTAAGGCTTGGAGTGAAAATAAAAGAGAAAACAATTCTTTTAGATGATTGTATATTTGATTGTGAGTATTTCAGGTAGACAGATGGATAGATGAGCCTGGATCTCAGGAATATCAATGCTAGAAAAAGTACTTTGGGAGTCATGAGAACATAATATTCAAATCCTTGCAATTTATTATAATCTCCTAAAAAAGTTAGGATACAAATGATGAAAGAGGATATAAAACCAAGCTCCAGGTCACTCCAGTGTGTTGAAGTCAAGTAAAGGATAAATACATAGGCAAAGAAAGGGATAAAGAACAGGTAGTGAAGTAGGAGAAAAGTCTGGAAGGTAGAATGACTTAAAGCCAAGATAATTAAACAGGTCAAGGAGGGAATGGTCAGTTGCAGCTAATGTTGATGAGAGATTAAGGAAGATGGAGTTGTAGCAGTGACTATGAGTGCTGACCATATAAAAGTCTTAGTGGACTTAGTGTAGTCTCACTGAAGGGAGTTCCAGAGACTTGGAGAGTTGAGGCAATGGAGTCAGCAAGTAGAGATAAAACTTACAAGAAGATTTTCAGAGGTTGGGTTTGATTTTAAATTTTCCGAATGGCTTGCATGCTACTTGGGGGCTTCCTTTCTTAGAGTATGGCTCATGGCCTTGGCTATTGCCTCAAGTGGAGCCTAATGCCTTCCAGGAAGATCTCATAAAGTTGATAGTGAACATTTGTCCAGTTAGAAGTGTCTGTAACCAATAGCCACCTATCCTGCAACCTGAGGCTGCACCTTGCCACTCACTGTTGGTTACTGAGGGTCTGCAGAATCCAGCATACGTGCTTTCTAGTGAGCTAGCACTCAAGTGCCCCACTGCTTCTGTTACCCCTTTAAAGGCATTCCTCATGCATTATCCTTTGAGGAGGAGGCTACCACATTACGTAGTCCTAATGGTTCTGAGTTACTCAAGGATTCCAGATCTTATCTGATTGTTCAAGGTCCTGCGTCAAGTCAAACAGAATTTTGTAATATCACAAACCACTTAGCCTGTTTTCCAAAGAAAGCTGTGCCCCATTGTCTTTGTGTGCCTGCCTGCAACCCAAGAAAGCATAGCATCTGACCTCAATGACAAAGGGGTATTTGCCTTACAGACACCTCAGAAAAGAAGGCCACTTGCTTGAAGTTTACTTTGTATTTTAGCCTGGCTTATTATACGTGTAACCTTGAAAAATGTTATTTAATCTTGTGAGAAAAAAATGGACATTGTCGTATCCACCTCACAGTCTTGTTATAAGGATTAAAAGACATAAACTATGCTAAGTAGGTATGAGACAAGAGAATCACTGGAACCCAAGAGGCAGAGGTTGCAATGAGCCAAGATTGAGCCATTGCACTCCAGCCTGGGCAAAAAGAGCAAAACTCTGTTTCAAAAAGAAAAAAGAAAAGAGGACATCTTTTAAAAAAAAAAAAAAATTCTTAGTGCTTCTTTCAGGTAACAAACATGTTAAGTGAGTGAGTCCCATTGGGGCTAAACAATAGCTTAAGGGTCAGTGCAATGGAAGAAAGTCAAGGAGAGTCAGTTTGTGGGAAGGCTAGACTAAGGACCCAACGCTGTCAATACCATAAGCCCAGGCTGATCCGTATGCGTGAGGTGGGGTGGGATGGTGGGAGGGAGCTCTAGAGTCAAACAGAGCAAAAATATGCTTTCCAAAGGTAGGGAAAGGTTGAGGTAGGATCACTGCAGCCACTCTTCTGGTCTAAGGCACCACCATCTCATCATTCGACTATACCACCACCTTCTTCTCACCAACTTGTTTCTCTTGCACCGTAAGTCTATTCTCTATGTAACAGCCTCTACCTTTAAAAATTTTAAACCTGAAATTTCAATTCTTCCTGCCTAAATAGCTCTTTAATGACTTCCTGTTGTTCTTAAAATATAGACCAAAACTCTATAGTCCCAAAAGGTCTCCTGGTCTTATGTCGCTAGCTTCGTTTTACATCATGCCTCAGGTAATTCATTATGATGATAGCCATGCCAGAATTTTGTATGTCTTCAACAGCACCATGCATTTTCCCACTTTCAGGCCTTTGCATGTCTGTGTCTGAGTCTGGGATGACCTTCCTGATGCTTCCTGTGTCTAACTTCTAAGGTTAAATGGTCTTTCTAAAAGCAGCAGACCATCTCCCTTCCCACCCACACCCCATGCCATCTCCCTTACACATGCACAGCACCTGGCACTTCTCACTTACTTTAGTGTACTAAACTTTTAAACACAACCTCATTTAGTTTACTGTACTAAACTTAAATATAGATTGACAAATTTTTCACCAAGTAAATACATACCTATGTGTGTTTATTGCATATCTCCCAGTGTTTATTGCAACTTTTAATTAGATACTTGTTTGTGAGAATGGTTGTCTAATGTTTGTCTCTCCCCAGGTCTGCATGCTCTATGAGGACAGGGACCATGTCTACTTTGGTCGTATTTGTAGCTCCAGTACCTAGCCCAATGTGTGGCACATAGTAATCATTCAATAAATATCTGTTGAGCAGTTGACCAAATGAGTACATGAACAAAAATTAGGTAGACTTTCAGGATCTCAGCACAGTCTTAGAGGAGAATTAAGGCCTGAGTCAAAGTTACTGGGGAAACTATGGAAAGACGCTGAGGTCAGGTCTAAATTCCATCATATCAACTGGGAAGCTCAGTCTTAGACAAAATAAAGACACAAGTTGGGATAATGTGAAAACTATTTGAAAACTATGGGATCAGGGTTAAATCTACATCCTATTAAATGAGGAGTCTAATAGAGCAGTAAAGTAAGAATTGTATGTATTAGCCAGGTACCTAGGGCTTCTTGATCAGGTTAGCAGCCTAACCCAAGTCTTTCTGGATGATAAACAGCAGCTATGAGACATTTGATGACCTAAACAGTTCCACTGTGAACTCCTCAATTGAAGAGGCATCCTAAAATTTCAGTAAATAATTGAAGGATGGATGGATGGATGGTTAGATGAGTCAGACTTGACCTAGTGTTAAAATGGAGGCTATAAGTAGATACAGATATGAGGCATTTTGAGTAATAAGGTAGGTAACAGCCTACCAAAATAAATAAATAAATAAATAAATAAAATTATTTGCATGAAATGAGGTATTAGGAAGTAGTATCAAGAAGACTGAGTACTGAAAGTAAAGGAGTACTGCCAGTAGCTAAAACCAGACGCAGCATTGAGGACTGGAAGCAACCTTGGTAGAGTGGCCTGCCTATTCTACCAAAGTGGCCTTTTCTACCCCATTCTCCATCATTTGATTGATGGGGAAATTGAGCCACAGAAAGGGACAGAGAGTTACCCAATATTGCTGCACTGGCCGAGCCTTGAGTAGAAGCATTTCTCAACAGAGCACAACAGTAAGGACACGGTGTTCTACCCCAGGGTGATTTATACCTGCATGCAGATTTTAATCTGGAGTGGGAAGTGGAGCATGGGTGAGATTAAAATGATAAGGAAATGAAATTATATTGTACTGTCCCAGAATATATTACAAACCTGGAATTAGGGTATAGTAGAGATCAAATAGAAAATACAGCTTTTTTTTCCATTCCCCAGAGACTTATATAATCCGAGAACAAAGAAAGTGCTCATTTCTTTTTGTTGAAAAGACTGGGCACTTTGGACATAGGCACACTGGCCACACCTCTCCTCTGATAAATATCAGAGTATCCAGAATATACCTGATTTGCTTGCTGACAATCTAGTCACTCAGAAGGTCAAGAGAGTGACTTAGGGCTTTGTTATTCTGTACCTAATTCTGACCAACAGAGACAAATTGGTTATGGAATTAAAGTTGTTAGGAACTTAGGAGAAAACAAACGTTTTGGCATCACGTTTGTCAGTCAGGAAGACTTAAGCATAATCGTATATACACTCTAGATCATAGAAAACAGACTTTAAAACGTGTGGTGCTGAAGGGGTGATTTTAGGAAATGGCTCATTTTCCTGCACGAAACTGTGGAAGGGAAGATTAAGGAAAGTTAAAAACTTCTCACAAATGACACAATGTACAAGAGAAGATAGAATAAACCACTGCACTAATTTACAATATCATCAACAGAGTATTCCCCTTTCTCTGCAACCTTGCCAACATCTGTTATTTTTTTGACTTTTTAATAATAGCCATTCTGACTGGTATGAGACAGTATCTTGTTTTGATTTGCATTTCTCCGATGATTAACAATGCTGAGCATTTTTTCATGTTTGTTGGCCACTTATACGTCTTCTTTTGAGAAATGTCTGTTTGTGTCCTTTGCCCACTTTTTAATGGGGCTATTTGTTTTTTTTTCTTGCTGATTTGTTAAAGTTTCTTACAGATTCTGGATACTAGTCCACTGTCAGATGCATAGTTTACAAATATTTTCTCCTATTCTGTAGGTTTACTCTGTTGATAGTTTTGTTTTTGTTTTTCTTTTGCTGTGCAGAAGCTCTTCAGTTAATTAGGTTCCAATAGTCAATTTTCGTTTGTGTTGCATTTGCTTTTGAGGTCTCAGTCATAAATTATTTGCTTAGGCCAATGCCCAGGAGAGTATTTCGTAGGTTTTCTTCTAGGATTTTTATAGTTTGAGGTCTTACATTTAAGTCTTTAATCCATTTTGAATTAATTTTTATATGGTGAGAGGTAGTGATCCAGTTTCATTCTTCTGCATATGGTTACCTGGTTTTCCCAGCATCGTTTTTTGAATCGGGTGTCCTTTCTCCATTGTTTATTTTTTTCATCTTTGTTGAAGATCAGTTGGTTGTAGGTGTGTGGCTTTACTTCTGTCCCTGTGGAAAGCAGTTTGGAGACTTCTTAAAGAACTAAAAACATAACCACCATTTGACCCAGAAATCCCATTACTGGGTACATACCCAAAAGAAAAGTAACCATTCTAACAAAAGGAGACATGCACTTGTATGTCTATCACAGAACTATTCACAATAGCAAAGACATGGAATCAACCTAGGTGCCCGTTAGTGGTGGGTTGGATAAAGAAAACATGGTTCATATACTCCATGGAATACTATGCAGCCATAAAAAAGAATAAAACCATGTCCTCTGCAGCAACATGGATGTACCTGGAAGCCATTATCCTAAGAAAATTAGTGCAGAAAGAGAAAATCAAATGCCACATGTTCTGTCTTGTAAGTGAGAGCTAAACATTGGGTACACATGGACATAAAGATGGAAACAATAGACATTGGGGACTCCACAAGTGGGGAAAGAGGGAGAGAGGCAAGGGCTGAAAAACTACATATTGGGTACTATGTTCATTTGTTCACTCTTTGGGTGATGGGTTCAATAGAAGCCCTAACCTCAGCATTCCATAATATATTCATGTAACAAACCTGCACACCAACCCTCTGAATCTTAAAACAAAACAAAACAAAACAAAACAAAAAAACTCTGCAGAATTCCCTTTATTGTGACCACATTTTAAGAGAATATTCCCACAGAAAGCAAATTAATGTTCACATTTGCAGAGAAGAAGTGACCAGAAGAAGCATGAGGGAAACTTCTGAGGTGCTGGCAATGTTGAGTGTTTTGATCTGGGTGCTGGTCATAGGTGTGTGTTTACTTGGTGAAAAATTTGTCAAACTGTATTTAAGTTTAGTATACTCATCTGCATGTATATTGCACTTCAAATTAATTGTGCAAGAATTATTAAGATTTAGTCTGTTTCCTTCAGGATGTATTTTTTAAATGCTTAAATTTGCATGTTGTAACAAAAAAATGTACTTTGCTTTATTTATTTAATATTCTCTTATGTGTATCATCCCATGTTATTACATGGCCCTCACAATCATTTTTGTTAACAGCTCCATAATATTCTACTATGTAGATAGACCCCAGTTTTCCTTTTGGAATTTTTTCTTTTTATGTTTTTAACGTATACTAATTGTAAATATTTATGGGATACATAGTGATGTTTTGAGACATATAATGAATAGTGATCAGATCAAGGTAATTAGCATATTCATCATTTTGAATATTTACCATTTCTTTGTGTTGGGAACATTCAGTATCCTCTGTCTAGCTATTTGAAACTATATATTTTGCTTAACTATAGTCATCCTACAGGGCTACAGAACACTAGAACTTATTCCTTCTATCTAGGTATAATCTTGTATCCTTCAACAAATCTTTCCCTTTCTCTCTCTCCACTTCCTAACCTCTAGTATCTGCTTCCTGCTTTTTACCTCTATGAGATCAACTTATTTTAGTTTCTGCATATGAGTGAGAACATGAAGTATTTAACTTTCTGTTTACTGCTTATTTTCCTTAATGTAATGTCCTCTAGTTCCATTTATGTTGCCACAAATGACTGGATTTTATTCTTTTTATGGCTGAATAGTACTCCTTGTTGTATATATACCACATTTTCTTTATTCATCTGGTTTTGGACACCTAGTTTGATTGCCTGTCATGGCTATTGTGAATAGTGTTGCAATAAGCATGATGCAGATGTCTCCTCAATATATTGATTTATCTTCCTTTGGATAAATGCCCAGTAGTAAGATTGCTGGATCATATAATAGTTCTATTTATAGTTTTTTTGAGGAACCTCTGTACTGTTCTCCATAGTGGCTGAACTAGTTTACATTCCCATCAACAATGTATAAGAGTTCCCTTTTCTGCACATCCTCAGCAGCATTTGTTATTTTTTTTGTAATAGCCATCTTAACAAGGGTGAGATGATACCTCATTGTAGTTTTAATTGGCATGTCCCTGATGATTAGTGATATTGAGCATTTTTTATATATTTGTTGGCCATTTGTATATCTCCTTTTGAGAAATGCCTGTTAAGATCATTTGCCCATTTTTTTAGTTGGATTTTTATTTGCTGTTGAATTGTTTGAGTTCCTAGTATGTTGTGAATATTAATTCCCTGAGGGATGAATAGTTTGCAGATACTTTCCTTCCATTTTGTAGGTTGCCTTTGTACTCTGTTTATTGTTTACTTTTCTGTACATAATTTTTTAGTTTTATATAATCCCACTTGTTTATTTTTGCTTTCTTTGCCTATATGTTTAAGGTCTTATTCATAAAATATTTTCCTAGATCAGTGTCATATGTTTGGTTTCAGACCATTTCCCTTATGTTTTCTTCTAGTAGTTTTATAGTTTCAAGTTTTACATTTATGTCTCTTATCCATTTTGAGTTGATTTTTGTATAGGGTGAGAGGTGGCGGTCTAGTTTCGTTCTTCTGAATATGGATGATCCATTTTCTTAGCACCACTTATTGAAGACACTGTCCTTTCCCCAGTGAGTGTTCTTGGTGACTTTATCAAAAATCAGTTGACTGTAGATATGTGCATTAATTTTGGCGTTTTTAAAAATATTATTTCATTGGTTTATGTGTCTGTTTTTATGCCAGTACCATGCTGTTTTTGTTATTACAGCTTTGTAGTATATTTTAAAGTCTGTTAGTGTGAAACCTCTAGCTTTGTTCTTTTTGCTCAGGACTGTTTTGGCTATTTGCGGTCTTTTGAGTTTTCATACAAATTTTAGGACTTCTTTCTATTTCTATAATGAATGCCATTGGTATTTTGATAGAGATTACATTCAATCTATAGATTGCTTTGGAGAGTCTGATTATTTTACCAATATTAATTCTTCCAATCCATGACCATGAGATATCTTTCTATTTGTTTCCCTTCAATTTCTTTCAACAGTATTTTTGGTTTTTCTTGTAGAGGTCTTTTACCTCCTTGGTTAAATTGATTTCTAGGTATTTTATTACTTTTGGTAGTTATTATAAATGAGATTGCCTTATTGATTTCTTTTTTAGGTAGTTTATTGTTCATGTATAGAAACAGTACTGATTTTTGTATTTTTTAGGTAGTTTATTCATGTATAGAAACATTACTGATTTTTGTATGTTGATTTTGTATTCTGCAACTTTACTGAATTTGCTTAGCAGTTCTAGGAGTGTTTTTTTGGTAAAGTTTTTGGTTTTTCGTATACATAAGATCATGTCATGTGCAGACAGAGACAGTTTGACTTTTTTTTTTCCAATTTGGATGCCCTTAAATTTTTCTCTTGCCCAGTTGCTCTGGCTAGGACTTGCAGTGCTGTGTTGAATAAGAGAGACCACAGCTTTCTTTGCCATGCCTGTGTGGTTAGACAGATATATCGCTCATGATTTTCACTTTTATAAAGAACACTGGAACCAACATCATTGAATATAAAGCTTCATTTATATTTAAAGTTATTCCCTGAGAAAAGATTCTTAGATGTCTGGACAGATAAGACTGAATTTCTTTAAAGTGAAGATACATATTTAGAAATTACTCTCAGCAGTATTAGCCTCATCAAACCTTTGCCCTCTGCTCTATTCAAAAATCATGCACAGAACTGGCAAGTTTTCTAATATATTACTTTCAAAATCTTTTTTTGTTGTTGTTGCATTACCATGAAGTGGAAGATCATTCTAACCATCTATAGTCTCCTGGCACCTCTCCCAGTCTACACAATTTCTCAATGATAGTCATTGTGACACTGTACAATCATTTGCATGTCTTCTTCAGTGTTCTGGGTTTCATGCTTTATTTAACCGTCTCAAGCTCTTTAAACCAAAACACAGGGTATGGTGCTATTGGAATGGAAGCCAACAGAAGCTGAAAACCTTTGTCCAAACATGAAAACAGAAATGAGTTTGCTCACTTTAATTGTCATATGCAAGATTTAACTTGTAACTTAAGCTTTTTGTACATCACATTTAGAGCAATGTCCTTTACTGTTACTTTTTTTCTCAGCCATTTTCCTTTTTTTTTTTTTCATCTTTTGGGTATGTTCTCTGAAAAAACTTTGTTATTGAAATGTAACATGCTTCAAATTTTGTGTGAAGATTTTATATGAATGATTCATATACTTGAACCATGACTTGTCATTTTTTTAACATTTCCAAATTATCTACTTTATAAAATGAAATAATTGTTTGTTTTAAAGAGAGACACTTATAGTTTTTATGAAGAAGAAAACACTTGTTCCGAAGAACAAGTCATGTCAACCCAACCTTCTTTCTTTAAGACAGTCTTTGCACTGATTGGAGAAATGCAATAGACAGAGTATCAGTGTCTAAAAGGAATTTGAACCTATTCTCAAGCTCAATTCATAAGCAGTTTAGGATATTAGCAATTAGTTCTGATTCTGATTAACAGATGAATATCAACGTGGAAGAAGGAATCTAGTACATGTCATAAGGTTCTACCATTGGCATTATCCAGATTGTTACTTATATTAATGATCTGGATGAAATTAAAGAAAAAAATGATTTCTAAAAATTTTCAGCTTGTGGAGACTGTGATGATGGCCTGTAGTACTTGGATCAGTTGAAGAAGATGGAAATTGTAGTGGTAAATATGACTCTGTACTTGGGTTTCAAAAATATAGCCACACTTGTACATGTAGAAGCAGGCTTCTAACCAATACTTTTATTTTTGGTTGGGGGAGACGGATAAACACCAGGATGTTAGCTATGTTAATAGAAGCCCAATATAAGTAAGGATAATAGTGATAGTCTAGATAATCATATATCAATATAATCATGTATCAATAAGAGCATGTATAGACTGCTGTTTTGTGTTCTAGTCACCCCACATTAATAGGATAAAGTGGAGTTTGTCCTAGAATGAGCAGCTAGGATAGCTCAAAAGACTTGAACTCTTATAATATGAGGAATTGATAAAGAAGAATGTTTATGAGCCCGAGAACCATCTTTCATTATCCAGACCTCTTTTTTACACAAGCAAAAGCAGACTTTCTGTGCATTTTGAGGAAAAGAATCAAGACTATTGGCGATAACTATGAGATTAATTATGGGGAGTCATACTTGGACGTAATAGAAGTGATCATTTCCAGCATTCAGAGGTGTACCTAGATGGAATAGAATCTGCCGTAGACATTGTCATGTCTTCTCTACTTCTGGATACATGGGAGGATTCCATTTCCCCATCTCACTAAAATTAGGCATGGCCATGTGTCTGGTTCTAGCCAATAAAGCACGCATAGAAGTGAAAGTGTCGCTTCTGATTCAAAGCATTTGATTGATACTGCTTTACCCTTTAGCACTCTCTCCCCTTGGGTTAAAATGGACATACCAGCTATGATCTCTGAGTGGTTACAATGGTCAGAGTGTCTCCCAATCACCCCCAATCTCACCCCTTAGACCCAGCCACACACCTACATTGGACAGGTAGTTTGAATGGAAAATAAACCTTTGCTGTTTTTAGCCACTGAAGTTCAGGGGTTTTATTATGGCCTCCTAACCTTTCCTATCCTGATTGCCACCAATCCCTTCAAGATGCAATGGTTCTTTGTGAATGAGCTGCAGCAAGACAAGAATTGGATGATTGACAGATTTTTGGTTCAGCAACTCACATACTTGCATTCTTTGCATTTTACTTTCCTTGCTACACTGAATTCAGACTGTTGTTGGGGGTATAATTTAGTCAACTGGAATTTTCAGCTGGTTCCAGGACCTCCTGGGAGATGAATCCCAGTAAAGCGGGCAGAGAATTCTCTTCCTAAGCACACTCTTCATTAACTCCACTGTGTGCCCAGCAACATCACACATTTATGAATCCTTTTTACTTTGGCAACAGCTAACAACAACTAGATAGTTCACCTAGCAAAGATTCTATTGCCACACACATTATTTATGAAGGTTGCGAGGCCCACACAAGAGCTCAGGGGAAAAGTAACTTTTGAACATGAACTTTGCAGTTTGAGTTTGACATGTTTCATATAGACTGGACTATTGCCAAGTATCTCTTCCCGTCTATGCATGTAGATGCATTATTGCTAGTAACAAAGTTTCCCAAGGATGCCCTCCTTCCATCTGCTCACTCATGCAACTGAACAAAGCACATTGCATACCCCAAGTACCCACTACGTGTTATTGTTAAAGATGATGAGTGCTGGGAATTATCTGATATGTTTATAAAGTGGTTCTGTCTGGGAATGAGGTTTATGAGATGGTAGGAGTCAGGAAGTGAACTGAATAACATATGTACCTAGCCTGAGAAAAAAATTAAAAAATGGAATTAAAAGGTCATCCGATGGGGAAAAAAATGGAAAGGGCAAATTTAAAATTATAATTAAAAATACATATGCATGAATATATATGCAAATATATATGTATTTTTGTCTTTATATAACAATTTTATATAACTCACAGCTAATTAATTGGCATCTCATTTTTGTTGTTCACAGGAGACCAAAATCAACTGTGTTCGTCTGGCTACAAAAGGTATGTTGGCATCTGCTTGTCTGTCTTCACCTGTTCTTCAGCCATTTAAGTATTTCTTTCTAGCCACACAGAGAAAGATTAGGCAACAGTAACTCAAAACAAGAAAGAATTGTTATTTTCACCGGAGTCATTTGCATCTAGAACATACATTCTAGGGTGTATATTAGTAGCACAGTGCGTAAAATAGAGTAAAAGTTTAAAACATATTTACTGAATGGATGGATGGGTGGATGAATGGTGTAAAAGGATGGACTGGTACTTTGATCAGTGGAGTGATGGATATAAATTTACTCAAATATTCTTTTGATATATGTTTTTCTTATATTTGGGTCTATGTTTATGTGGGTATTTTTTAAGCATGTCTATTAGACCCATCTACTGAGTTCTGTACTTCGTTCTGTTGGTACACAGCTTTCAAAAATGAGGTGATTAGTACTGGGGCCTTTAGTAATGAGAAGACAAACGCTGCATTATTACGTGGTTGGCATTTTCAACACTTATCCCCAAAACTAAGGCAGCATTGTTCAGGCTCATCACTTTTGTTTTCCTAATTATAATTGAATTGCCTGGCTCTTTCAGTTGGTACATGTTTCTGTTTATTACTCTTTTTAAAAAACAAAATCAATGAATGGTTTGCTATCGTTTAACCTATTACAGGGTTGAATAGTTAGAAATCAGATGTATCTTTTTGTTACAGAGTTGATATTTTTAACAGCAAACCCTCCCCATACACACACAACAGAACTGGGCAATTCTACTCTGTTCCCTGAATTTACTGGCAGCATCCATAGTTTCATAGACTGCTTCCAAGGAGATAAAAGTGGTAAACGTAAGTAGGCATATAACCGTAGATTTAAAGTACAGAGAAAAGCGATGACCCAAGTATGTATGTGTATGTGTGTAAATATATAGACACATGCACAACGACAAAACCACACAGAGGAACATAAACACACACACGGGCAGAGTGGGGAGAAAAAGAGAGAAAAAAATCTACAGCTACTTGACGAAATGTGCACCAAGACCCATCACACATGACTTTTATAACTTTGAAGAAAATCAGCCCAATATGTAGGCACAAAAGAGAAGATGCAGGAGGAAGAAGAAAACGGAAGCACTAGGGCTCCCTGTGATAAGAAGTCACCATGATTTCACATGAGTCACAGAGGGTGACATGTCCCTAACTTGTTCCCTCTCAGGAACTCAGGCTCCTGGATGGAAAGAGATAAAATACTCTCTGTGAGGCAAGGAGAATTGATGGCCTGCAAACAAAAGTGACACAAATCACAGATATTGGCAGACTTTTCCACTGAAGAAAACAGATAATGTAGAAGGAAGAACACCATCAATTGGGTAGCACTAGGGCTCTAGACAGCAATCGGGAGAGCTAGGTGTCTGCAGCCTGCTTAAATAAGCAGCTGGAGAGGGAAGGAAACTCACAGAGAAAGCTCCTTCACTATGGTATGCTCTATGGCTCCTCGGTGGCTTTCGATTTCTAGACCAGGAGAGATGGATGCAATGGATTTGCACTCCATGGGGTAGGTGGGATTCTAAGGACACCCTCTGGGATGTAAGCTCTATTAGAGGGTAGCTGGCTGGGTCATAATTTCTGAACTGAGAATTGGAAACATGAGACCTGACAAGCAATAGGAACATATGGGGACAGTGGAAGAATCTCTAAAACTATACTCTCCTGAAAACTTCAGGACTGCAGTCCTCAGAGACATAGAAGCCCACCCTGCTGGGCTTCTCTAGAGTTGCTTTGCTGATGTGCAAGAGAATTGCAGTGACATTTAAAGAACCAGACAGAAGAGTTCTCTACCTCTCCTTAGCATAAGGGCTTCCCCTCTTGCTTGAGCTTTAGGTTACCATCTTTCCTTAAGTGAATGGAGTGTGTATGCAGGTAAAGTAAGCGTGTGTGAAAGGATAGGAATGCATGAATGAGTGTGAATGCCCAGCTGTCCAAGCCCAGGCAGGCTTCTGAGAGGTCAGGGTATTGGGAAATCAGAGCATCCGCATTCTGGTTTTCCAATTTGGTGAGATCCAACACTTAAACCCAAAGAAATGAGGCTCCAGTAGCACTTGGGAATGGGGTAGAGAACTAGATAGTGCAGAATGTCAGTCGGACACAGTTCAGTTATCCCCTCTCACCACATCAGATAAGAAGGATGCTTGGGGAGCATAGGACAAAGGGAAGCAGACCTGTGTTTGATGAGTGTCTACTTGGTGCCTGGTACTATGCTTAGAGTACCTAGGGTTGATTAAAGGCAAACCCTATCTATTATAAATCCGTCCACTGCCCGTGAGGAGTTTGTATCAAGAACCTAAAGCTGGGAATCAATATTCTGTTTATCCCATCCCTTCCTGACCACCCGGATCAAATTTCCTCTAGGCAGCCTTCCTGAAAACAGTATTCTTTTTAACACAGGAAGATACTGAGAATCCCACGGACTTTGGAAGCATATGAAGTCCCAGAGATGGGTCACCAGTCTCTCCCAAGGCTCTTCCCTCTCTCTGTCATCACGGCAGCTGCTTCATGGGTCTGATGGAGGGCATCCAGACCCTGAAGTCCATATGTCAGACTCAAGGCCAGTACTCTGGTGATGAAGCAACTTGCCGCTGTCTGGTCCCTGACCCTGGAGAGTCCAGCCACTGTCTATGACCAGCTACATGAATCCCACAGAACCAGATGGTTGCCAGTTGTAACAGCCCTAAGCACTCATTCAGGATCATTCTAACTTGACCCCAAGCCTAGTACCCCTTACACAAGAATATTAGACACACACCTGGCTCCAGCATGTGTCTCCAACCCTTTCCTTTGTGTAATGTTGCTACTAGTAACTCTGGATCTAATTTAGTACCACCCAGCTTGGACGGTTGCAAAGTAATGGACCTCTATTAGTTTCCTGTGGCTGCTGTAACAAAGTCCTACAAATTGGTTGGCTTAAATAACACAAATTTATTGTCTCACAGTTCTGGAGGTCCAAAGTCTGAAATCAAGGTGTCTGCAGACCTTGTTCCTTCTGAGTGTTGTGAGGAAGAATCTTTTCTACGTGTGTCTCTTAGCTTCTGGTGGTTTGCTGGCAAATCTTTGGCATTTCTTGGCTTTTGGAAGCGCCACCCTGATCACTGCCTTACCATCACATGACATTCTCCTTGTCTGCTTGACTGTGTTCAAAATTCCCCTTTTTATGAGGATACTACCACCTAATCCAATAAGGATGTTTGATTAGGGTAGCAAAAAGCAAGGGAATTTCCTTGAATATAAAAGCTAAAAGACATTTTGAGCACTTTGCTTGACACACTCTAGACCTGGGAATCAATCTGATCAGAGCCATAGAGAGAAAACTGCAGCCAGTGGGTAAACAGGCATTAAGTGATGGTTTGGATTTAAAACTATTATTCAGACTCTGAAAGGAAGACAATAGAAAGCCACAGAGCAAAAAAGAGCAATTTAAAAATCAGGTTTTGTTCTTATCATTAAAATAGGAAATGTTAGAAAGGGCAAGTGAGCAGGGGAATCATTTAGAACCATACCTTTGGAAGATGAGGGATGGGCTCAACATAGGTAGCAGGTTGAAGATGTCAGCCACAGGTGCTTAAGGTGATCCTTTAGAAAATGGAGCATGTGGAAGCTTGGGGTAGGGACTTAGACTTCAGAGGTGCTAATGCTCAAGTAGAGAGAAAATGACCCTTCCCATGAGAGGTACATTATCCCATCTGGTAGAAGATGCCCCAGGTTGCAGCTGCTAAAGGAGGTACCCAGGTATCTCAATTCATGTCCTCTGGCTGAGACAGAGCAGGCCAAGGGAAAATTGTTTCTGACCTAGTTGTTCAATTCTAGAACTATATTGTTCAGTCCCCCTTTGAGAAACTGATGCCCAGTTCCATCCAAGTTCTCTTACCCACTGATGTCCTGTCTTTCTAATTCTTCCGTGACTCCTTTCTTGTACTCATCTGTTCATTTTGCTACTTTTCCTTACCCACAGGCCTTGCCCCACCAGTCTTGCCTGCGTGATCTGATCCCTTCCTCCCTCCAGCCTCCTCTAAGCTTCTATCCTTTTATTCTCTTATTACACTCTGGCACACTGGTCTTCTTTCAGTTTTTCAGGCACATCAAACTCCTCCCAAGCTTGGGGCCTTCGCTCATCTTGCCCTCTCTCTGAAATGCTTTGGCTACTATATATGTCTCCTTAATAGATAAATATCTTAACAGAGAAGTATCTTTAAGATGGCCTCTTAAACCTTATGTCCTCAGAAGACCATCCTGACCTCTGTTTTAATGTATATCCCTAATTTTCCACTCTCACTAAACCCTGTACTTTTCCTTCATAGCACTCATCACAACTTGCAAATATATATATATATATATATATATATATATATATATATATATATATATATATATATATATAGTCTACTTACATGTTTAATGTCTATCTCCCTGCTAGACTCTAAGTGACGTAAGTGCAAAGACTGTGCTTATTTTGAGCACTGTTTTATTATTCCCAGATCTCAGCATATACTGGTACTCAATGAAATGCATTGGATGAACAAATGGATGGATGGATGGATGGATGGATGGATGGATGGATGGATGGATGAGTGGATGACTAACAGGTCATTATTCTTCCATGGCTTCATTTTTTTCAAATGCAAGTTACATGTCAGGATTGTTCTCTTAAATGGTAGGAGTAAAAGTGACAGAGGTAAAGTGTCCACTATGGGATCTGCAGTCCCCACTAACAAGAAGGCCAGCCAGCCTCTGTTTCTGTTCCTGCTGTGATAGAGATCTCTCTACCCACCATGGACTTGCTTCACACTTTGGACACTTCCGTTTGAGAGGGCTTCTACATTATGAGTCCAAACTGGCTCCCTATTATTTTTCTGCCCATCAGTCCTTGAAGTCAAATAGATTCTGTCTACCATTTCTCCTTTCAGAAAATGAAATTTGCTTCCTCTGACCTGCTCCTCCAGCCTTGGTTAGGGTCAGGAAGGTGCATGCTTGCTTCTTTCCATTGGGTGGAACCACTCTGGCTGCCAGCAGGCAGCAGCACTCCCATCTTGTCTCCAGCGCCAGCCGTCAAGGGAACACAGCTGGCTCTGCAGACTCCCGCTGGGTGCGCCCGAGTGGCAGTTAGAAAAATCAGCTTTGATTTGATTTGCAAACTGAGCCGAGTCATTGAGACAAAATAAACCCAGAAACCCATAAAGCCATTTGCAGAGTTGCTTTGCAGAAGACAGCCACAGTTTTAATCTAGTAAACACTCTCTAACGATCCCATTAAAACAACCCCCTTGGAGTGGGTGCTGAAAGCTGAACTCCAGAATAATGAAGCATAGGATGAGGGGCCAGTGTCACCAGTAGTTTTGTTCTGCTTGGTGGCAGCGATGGACTAACGCCATTGTTCCAATAGTGACAGCAAGAGGTTTGGGCGCTGGCTTTTGTAAATATGCCTTCTTTTCATAAGAGCTAAGCCTGAGATAAAGCATTTCATCTGGCATTTTCCTCTCCTTTTCCCATAATGGATTCTCACTCCTGCAGGGACCAGCAGGGACACTAAATAGCCATTTTTCAGTGAGATGCTCTCATTTAACAGATGCTAAGACTGGGGCCCAGAGGAGGAGTGATGTGTCCATGCCTTGTTTATCCACAGAATCACAGCCACAGGTGGTGTGATAATCCTCTGCTATCAATAGGCAATGCCTACTCCCATTGATACAAGCCTATGTGGAAGATTCTGTTTTATATAGGAAGCTTCCTTGAGAGGTTGCATGGAATAATTGGAAATTAGAAACACCTGGATTCAAATCCTGTCCCCCAAAATTTAGCTGTTAGACCTTGGACAAGTCAGTTAAAATCTACGAATCTGTCCCTTCACTTTGAAGCCTGAGATCGGTAGCCCTTTCTACCAAGTATTCAAGAACATTATATATATATATATATATATATATATATATATATATATATATATATATATATATATATATATTTCCTTCTTTCTCTCTTCCTTTCTGAGTCTTTAATGTGGGACTTGGAGACCCAGACCTACTAAGCACAGATCCTCTCTCTCAGTTCTCTAAGGAAAAAGCCACAGCCCAGACTCTAGTCACTGCTTGTACAGTTCTACAAATCAGCCGTTTGTCAAATGGATACAGGTTAGATCCAAAGTGAAGAAACCCAGAGGGGACAGGAGTGATGTTGGCCTCACTTTTCAGTACTTGACCTTCCCATTGATAGGTTGTTGTCTCTAGATGAGATCCTGCAGAGCAATAGTATTCTTTTATGGACATGTATAGGATTGTGGTCATCCCTTTTCTAGCCTTGACTATGACACTGTCCTTTCTTCATCACCAGACCAGCAATTTCAGGAGGGACCCAGGAGCATAGCATGTCCAAATCTAGCTAGAGCAACCAGGGTAGGGGCCATAATGGGGAATCACTTGTGAGAGGAAAGACTCTAGTGAGATAGTCTATTGGAAAGCTCTTGATTGTTGTTCAGTCTTTATAAATCTTGTCAAACTTTTGGAGGTGAAAGCTCAGACTGTGTGGCTGGAGGGTTTGGGCAGGACAATGCTATTCTTCCTTAGCTGAGTCCCATGAGATACATTTTCCAGGACTGGGATCCTCAGAGTTACATGAGTGTAACAAATTCTCCTTGACTTGTGGCCCCCTTTGCTCTCACTGACTGTCTTCTAGGTCCTAAAATGTCAATGGAAAAATACAGATTTTCCTAAAGGTTTTGCAAGAAGTTGGAGGAAGAGAACTATATCATAAGTACACATAAGATAGCCTAAATATGACCTTTAAATATCCCAACTCTTTCTTTAATATTTTTCTTGCTACAACAGCTGGCACATCTCTCTAGCCTCTCTAGTTGTGCTCAAACTTCCCCCGCCACACACACCCCTTCCATACCCCACTTCCATACCCCACTCAGGAAGACAAAAGCTGGTTTGATAGAGTTCAGAAAAACAAGTGAGGATTAACTCTTGCCATTCAAGCATGTACCTTGGGAGTTCCAATCCATCTTTCTCAACTAGAAATAAGAATTATCTACTCAAGATCTGAGAGACACCTGAGTCGACTTGATCGCAAGTCTGTTATTGCAAAGCAGTTGCATCTTCTAAAGGAAAAGGGGGGCCTTTTAAAATTGGGAGTCCGGGAAGGAACACATTTGGGGTAGGCTAGAGACAAGGGTTATAAATAAAGAGAATAAAGCTCTATTGGATATTTTAAACCCCATTGATGGGATCTCAATGTGATGTTTGAGGAGGGATTAAAAGGGATTTGCAAAAATTAACCACCTATTGTGTGCCAGTCACAGGGCTTTGTGTGCTGACACAAGGTTTCAGTGTGATGACAGAAGTAAAGCCTGACACTTAGCACACACTAAATAAATAGTGGTCATCGTTATTACTTAATGATGGGCCAAATGGGCTCAAGGGGTTAAATAAGGAGCTCAAGTTTCCTCAGAATTGGAAATCAGATCTGATTCCATTGTGTTAATACTATAGACAGATGAGATTCATTGACCACTGACAGGATGCTCTGTCTCCTACCTATTTGTTAACCTCTTCCCATGCCTCTTTTCTAGTAATAATTGATAATAGAATATTTAGCATGTGATGGTCTTTGGCCTGTCTCCAGGAGTATTCAAGCTAAGTCCTGGAGCAGAAGGTGAGGTGGCTCAAGAAATCCTCAACTTTCTTCACTTCCACAACATATTGAAGCTAATAAACCAAAAAATTAGTTAGTCTTCAGGGTTGTCTGCTCCAGGGCCATCTGTAGCCCAGCAGCATCTCTCTGCACTCAACACTGATTGCTTTAGAAGGGACAAGAGTCAGAAGGGAAGTCTGAGACATTCAGCATTCTGAGCTCCTTCTTTGCAGGCTAACACACACACACACACACACACACACACACACACACACACACACACACACACACACTGTACAGGGCCTGGAAACAGTAAAGAGAGAAGGGTAATGAATCCTCAAAACGTGATGTGGTCAGGGGACCAGGTGATGCAGGAGAAAGCAAGAGACCTCTACCTCAGCAACTGGATTAGTTAGGCTAGGCTAGGCTTTGCTAACATAACAAGCTAATACCCAACTCCCAGTAGCTTAATACCACAAAGGCATATTTGTTGCTGTGCCATCTAGAATATATGTGGTCTCAGAGAACCCCTGAGCAGGGGAAGAGAAAGCATGGAAGTGGCAACTTGGATCTTAAATATGTCACTCGGAAATGACTCATGCCACTTCCACTTACATGGCCTTGATGAGAGCTAGTCACATGACAACAGCCCAACTGCAAGTTGACTGGAACTCTTTCCTATGCCCAAGGATAGATGGAACAGACACTGGTAAACATGAGACATCTCTAGAACCATATATGTAAACAGGACCTTTTTCTGTTTCTGCCTCCTTTTGTGTTTTGCTGAGATCCATGATCCATCCCACTATATTCTGCCCACCAACTAGAAAAATCTCTCCCCATTCCTGCATTTATCCAGCTGTCCCTCTGTTCCTACCCCAGATAGCTGAGCATTACTGCTAAGCACAGCATGGGTTGCAGACCTAGAGGATGGAGTGGGGAGGTACCTCCTCTAGGCCCACCAACCCAACTAAGGCTTTAACTCTTTTCCATTTGATCCTCAAGATGACTTCATGAGATAATTATTACCTCCACTTTATAAGTGGAGAAATTAAAATTTAGAAATGTATGTAATTTTCCAAATGACACAGCTAGTGAGTGAAAAATACTGAATCAGACTTTCATGTATTCATTTACTTTTCAGTAAGCATTTATTGAGTACAACTTAGTATTGATATGTAATCCCACATTCCCTAGTGGTTAAAAACATCATCTTTAGATTTGGATGGTCTTTGATTCTAGGTAGGAAAAGGTACTAAACTATTCTGTGTCTCTGTTTCCCCATCTATAAACCAATGACAATAACACCACTTATGGCTGGGTGCGGTGGCTCACGCCTATAATTCCAGCACTTTGGGAGGCTGAGGCGGGTGGATCACCTGAGGACAGGAGTTCGAGAATAGCCTGGCCAACAAGAAGAAACCCCATCTCCACTAAAAATACAAAATTAGCTTGGCATGGTGGTGCATGCCTGTAATCCCAGTTACTCAGGAGGTTGAGGCAGGAGAATCGCTTGAACCCAGGAGGTGGAGGTTGCAGTGAGCCGAGATCATGCCATTGCACTCCAGCCTGGGCAACAAGAGTGAAACTCCATCTCAAAAATAAATAAATAAGTACTACCACTTACTGCACAGGGCTAATGTAAGAATTTCATGAGAAAATGTATCGAAAGTACTTAATATAATACCTGGCTTGTAAGAAACACTCAGCAAATAGTAGTTCATGGGAGAGGCAATGAATAAATATAAGTCCAATAAGGGCTGTCGTCAAGGCAAAATCAGGATGTCACTGGTGGGCAAGAAGGGAGACATAAATCAACTTAGGGTATGCTATTTCAGAATGTGTGATCACTGAGATAAGGTTTGAAAGAAGAGTAACAATTATCATGTCGAACAAGGTTGCAAAGTAAGTCAAGAAAGCCTTCAAGCCAAGGGAGTAGGTATGCAAATCACTGAAGGCAAGAGAGCATGCCACTGAATTTAAATGGGACAAGGCAAAGGAATGATGGCTAGTAGGCCAGTGTGACCAGATGAGGTTAGGAGTGATCAGGGGCCACCCAGGACTCTGTGTAGCCCCACTGTATGTGTGTGTGTGTGTGTGTGTGTGTGCGCGCACGTGTGTGTGCACGCATGCGCGCACATATAAAAGCATTGTCCTTAGATAGTGGAGCCCCTGGAGGTACTTAAGCAGACTGCCTTTTTGGGGAAGGACACCCTAGTTATAGTTTAGAAAATGAATCAGAGAAGGAAGACTAAGGCAGGGAGAAGGCTACAGAATGGGAGAGCAGTTAAGAGGCTGCTGAAGGGGGCCAAGTGGGAACATGTAAGTCATCTCTTCTCTGAAGCTTTGCATTTCTTTTACTGACATGTGAGGGCGACAGTCTTTGTCTTGCCTATCTGAGAGCATTGGGGTTAAAAAAAAAACCCTAAAAAATAGCCACTTAGAACAGGAGTTAGCAAACTCCTCTGTAAAAGGACAGATAGTAAATATTTTCAGCTTTGCAGGCCTTATGGTCTCTGTCACAAATACTAAAGTTTGTCATTGTAGCTCCAAAGCAACCATACATATAAGAATATGTATAAGAATGAGTGCAGCTGTGTTCCAATAAAACTTTGTTTATGGACACTGAAATTTGCATTTTATATAATTTCCATGTGTCACAAAATATTACTCCTCTTTCATTTTTTTCCCCACCATTAGAAAAATGTAAAAAGCATTTATAGCTCATGGCTGCACAGAAAACAGGGAGTGGGGGGCCAGATTTGGCCTACAAGTCATAGTTTGCTGACCCCTGACTTAGATTGTGCTTTTAAAACAGCAAAACTTTTCATATTTTTAAGGGAGAAGTATTATGATTACTATTTACTGGTGGTTAAATTTTATAGTATTTCATGGCTGTTGATCAAGTTTGCCATCTGTATTATTTTTGAAATTATGTATTTTTTGTTTATCAGTTGGTCTGGAATACTCTATCTTCTCAATTTTGCATAAGAACTTCCTGCAGTTTTGTTGATGGATCACTGGAGAAAGCTGCAGTCCCTGGACAAGCCTAAAACACCTTTCAACCTTTTGTATGTTTTTCTTTAGAGAGGTGAGGGGTGGATTTGAAAGGACAGGAACATTAAAGCCAGACAAACCAGGGTTTGAATACAACCTTTACCAGTTTGTGACCTTGAACAAGTTTTACAAATTCTATGATTCAACATTTCTTCATTCATTCTTCATTTATTCAACAAATATTCACTGAGTACCTACTATGTGTCAGGCACAATGCAAGGCCACATGAGTACACTAGTAAATGGGACACCGTGTCTGCTTTCAAGGAGACTACAGATTTAAGAGAAGGCATCCATTTCTAATACAGTGATATATTGCAATAAGAAGGGAAGATGAGGGTGTTATGGGAAGACAAGAAGGGGCATCTGTCCCAGATTCACTGACGTACTAAAGACTCCCTAGAGGTAACAGGTTATAAACTGACACCTGACGGATGAACAGTTATCAGCCAGGTGAAGGAGCAGGAGGGAGTATATCCCATGCAAAGTGACTCACCTAAGGAAGGCTTACATACAAGAAGGTGGGGGGCTGTTGATAATGGAAAGCTGTTGTCATGCTTGGGACAGGGTGGGCAGTGGTAGTGAAGAGAGACAAGACCAGAGGGGTGGGCAGGAGATTCATCATGGAGGGCCTGTGAGCTGAGTGAGGTGGTTTGAAGTTTACCTTGGGGACAACGAGGCAGCACTGTTGTATTTCAACTGAAGGATGGAGAGTAAGACTGAAGGGGAACAAGACTGGAGGCAGAGAGACCAGACGACAGGCTGCTTAAATAATCCATGTGAAACACAAGGTTGGCTTGAACAAAGTGAGAATGAAATTAAAGAGAAGGAAGCAGCTTCAAGAGCTTTTCTGGGGTAGAATTAATAAAGCATGGTGATTGATTATAAGAGGGACATCAGAAAAAAGGAGGGCTCCCATGTGTCTAGACTGAGAAGCTACATGGATGGTGGCACCATTTATGCAGAAAGGGAAGTCTAACAGAGAAGTAGTTTCGGTGGAAAAATGACAGATTTATTTATAGTCATACTGACCTTTCTGGGTTATTCTAAATCTTAGAAACATTATATGTGAGGCACCCAGAAAAGTACCTGGCATGTCGTGGGTGCTTGATAAGTGGTGCCTCTTACTCTTGTTTCATTTTTTTTAAATCTATTTCAGGCCCTGTTTTGTTAAATCATGATGTTCTTTTGCTATTTAGTGTGAGCTCTTCAGAGCCACAAGAATTGCAGTTTTGTTCACCGTGCTGCACGTTTTCATGTGTGTTTCTTTCTCTCCTTCTCTTCTGCATGCTGCCTGGGGACTGGCTTCCTTGTGGTCAGCACCAATGGGCAGCGCCCAGGTGACCCCGGGGACTCCACTCTGCCTCCTCACCACAGGTGATCACCAGAGCCCTGGGCGGGTGGGAGGGGAGAGTTGCCCACACTCAGTGGGTCCTCCAGGCCAGGTGCACCAGAGAGGAATCAGCAGTCTTTCCACCCCACCCACCCACCCACCCCCCCACCCATTCACCCATCAACCCACACATTCATTCATCCACCCATCCCTCCATCCCTCTATGCATACACTCATCTATCCACTCACCTATTCATTCCTTCTACTAATGCTTACTAAGTACCTACTGGGTGCCAGGCACTGTTCTAGGCATGGAGATGTACAATGATGAGCAAAAGAAGATATGTTCCAGTGCCTTTCCAGGAGAAGAAACAGCCACTGGTCCAAAAACTACACAAATAAATTTGCCACTTCAAGTGGTGTTACAAAGGAAAGGTACATGGTATTCAAAATAAACAAACCCATGTGCAGCCAAAGGAGTGCTTCACAGGGGAAGCGACAGCTGAGCTGTGATCTAAGTTTGGGAAAAAAGTTGACATAACAATTCTGTGCTTAGGAAATGAGAAGCTCTCACTATGATCAGGTCTACCATTTGTCCTGACAATTTACCCATACCATGATCAGCCTGACTTTTCCTACCTGTTAAATAGGAATAATCCCACCTACCCCTTATGGGGCACCATTTACGTTGTAGACCGTACACATGCAGAGGCCTCTGAGACTAAACAAGATAATAGACATCGAAGGAGCTGCCATGGGTACGCCCAGTCCAGAGTCTGTATTTGTTTGAAGTGAATACCAGCCCCTTTCCTCAAGTGTACCATAGGTGGAGTTCATTTCACATAAATGTATGCCATTCTTCAAAGGACACAGAGCCCACTCATGTCAGAGGTTGATGTCCATCGTGGGGCTCAAAAGATAATCTGCTGACCTAGAGACCTCTTTATTACAGGGTCCCTTTTTAGTCAATGGGAAGTTTCTTGGAGATTTCAAACCTTTAACTGTCACCTCTCTCAAAGTCCTTGCCCAGACAATGGCCTCCGGTCTACTAATCCCTGAACGGTCAGTTTATCATGGTGGAGAAGGAGGTGCAGCAGGCTGTGATGACATGAGTCTGGGCATCCAGTACCTTCACAGTTCACTCCTGCCACCCTGTTTCCCAAACTCAGAGACATCACTGCTGGTGAATGTCTTAGGTTGAGTTCCCTGGACACTGAGACTGAGATGGAGATTCTTGTGCAAATTATTCATTGCAGAGTGTTCTCAGAAGAAAGGGAGGAAGATGAGATATGGCAGAGAACAAAGCTAAGGGGGGATGTGGAGATCTGCATCTACCTGAGCCCTGGGTAAAGGGGAGGTCTGGAGTAGGAAATGTACTAAAGAGTTGGGCCCACCTTGAGGCAAGGGGGCCAATATTTGTACCATGGTGTTGGTCAGCCACTGGCTGTGGGCTGCCATGGGAATGCATGACCTCCTGGGGAAGTGGTTCCCTTATGCCTGATGGTACTTCTCTAGGAAGGGAGGTATTTGTGAGCCATTTGCGCCAGCACCCACAGCAGCTGGAGAGTAGTCACACCCGCCCAGTAAAGGAGATTGGGGCTGAGCCTAAACAGCATCCACTATGGGCAAGTTTTATCTCTGCCTTTGTACTGCCATGGACACCTGTACTCCAGTGTGTCACTGCCAACACCACAGGAATTTCATCTCAGCCACTCCCTGTTAGATTACCTTAAGCAAGTTGCATAGCCTTATTTCACGTGCAAAACTAATTATCATATGTGCTTCATGCAGTCATATTAAAAATTCCATTAGAAAATGCTAGGAATGTTGTGTGCAGTTGCAGCACATAGTAGGTCTTTACTGAAATCAGTCCCCAGCCCTACCTTATCAGAGGCCCTTCCCAAAGGGAGGTGGGAGTTGCAGATGGACAGTGGGAGAAAAGTGACTCTCGTCACTGTGCACACCACCAATTTACAGAGAAACAATACTTCTCCAGAGTGTGTGCGAGCTGTTCCGTTTCTGCTGGGCCATTGTTCTCTAGGCTCTATTCCAGTCGAGCAGTCAGATAATATTTTCTTTAAACAGAGCCAGTCCCATATCAGGTGCTTTTGTTCTTACCTCTTGTCTTCTAAGGCGTCTGAATGTTCCTCCTCTGACAGGTTTATTTCATTGTGATCCATTTATTTCCACACGTTTCTCAACCTCATTTGATGGGTGAGGTGCCTGTGAGTGCCATCCCTTTCAAAGGGTGTTTTTGTTAATGTTCGTCCCCTGGTAGCAATAATGGCTGATGTAAATAATAACTGCCTGGGTCTGAGTGATGGGGATATTAGACTTTAAGCACAGGAGCCTCTTTTCATATCAGCACCAACTCAGAGAGCTGCAGGACCACATTATGTAGCAGGGACAGGCTGGCATTCGGAGTGAGTGGAGGCTGAGTTCAGCTCTCAGCAATGCCACCTTCTGGGCTGGTGATCCTGGATAATTTATTTTTCTTTTCCAGACTTCATTATTTTTATTTGGAGAAATTGAAATATGAATAGCCACAGTCATAGGTAATCATGAGAACTAAGTGCAATAAAAGCTTTAACTTCTTTGCCCATCTAGGTCCAATTAGTTCTTCAGGTCTTCCTAATTTATTGGCTAATCCTTCAAGGAATTCATTCTCTATGGCAAGATTGCTCAACCCCAGCACCATGGATGTCTGGGGCCAGATAGTTCTTTGTTGGGGGCCGGTGGCAGGGGGCTGTCCTGTGCACTGTAGGATGCTTAGCAACAACCCTGCCTCTCCCCACTGGATGCCAGCAGCACGTCAACCCCAATTGTAACAACCAAGTACATCTCCAGACATTCCCAAATGTGCCATGGAGACAAAAATCATCCTCTGTTATAAACCTCCAGAGCCATACTGTTTAATAGAAATAGAATTTGAATATTGTATGTAATTTTAAATTTCTTAGAGTCACGTGAGAAAAGTAAAAAGAAACAGGTGAAGCTAATTTTAATAATATAATGTATCTAACTCAATACGGATCCTTCTCAACTTATGATGGGGTTATGTCCCAATAAATGTACCATAAGTTGAAAATGTTGTAAGTTGAAAATGCACTTAATACAATTAACCTACGGAACATCATAGCTTAACCTAGCCTACTTTAAATGTGCCATGCTCAAAACACTTACATTAGCCTGAAGTTGGGCAAAATCATTTAACACAAAGCCTATTTTATATTAAAGTGTTGAGTATCTCATGTAATTTATGGAATACTGTACTGAAAGTGAAAAGCAGAATGTTTGCACTGGTACTTAAAGTGTAGTCTCTGCTGAACAGGTATTACTTTCTCAGCAGCATTGTAAAGTCAAAGAATCTTAAGCCCACCTATCTTAGGTTCACAATCATCTGGTATATCCAAAATATTATTATTATTATATGCAGCAAAATTAAAGAAAACAACAGATGAAAGATATTTTACATTCTTTTTTTGTACTAAGTCTTTGGTGTGTATTTTACACATAGAACACTTCAATAAAATAAATTTTTAAATTCAGTTCCTCAGTTACACCAGCCACCTTTCAAGTGCTCTAAGTACGTGACTTGGTGACTACCATTGTGGGCAGTGCAGATCAAGAGGTAACACATCTAGGGTCATCTTTGTCCCTAGTTGGTGAATAGAAATGTATGTGTAGAGAAGAGGCTCAGTAAATATTCAGTTCCTTTTATTCCTTGTTGCTCTCTAGGACTAGGGGACGTTTGGCAAAATCTGGAGATGTATTTGGTTGTCACAGCTGGGTGCGAGGGGCTATAGTCACCTAGTGGGTAGAGGTCAGGAATGTTTATATTGAGAAAAATAAGGTAAAATCCTCTTCTGGCCAGGATTGGGCACTTTTCTGCAGTGAGCTGACTGGAGGCTGCAGTAGAGAAGTGACCAGTTAATTAACATTAAGAGAACTCAGTCTTCCCCAGGCCCACCAGTGCAGAAAGAAGGCCTCTTTTCACATCCCTCCTGCAGTTCAGCCAGGCCTCAAGGGGGTGGCCTGGACTTCTGAGCCCAAGAGGAGACTGACAGTGTCCAGTCTGGAGGCCAGAGTAGCTGTGCTAAAGGTCATCCCCAGTGGCAGATCTGACTTCATTGTCTTGGCCATGCCCCATGCCCATTGTCAATTTTCTACAGAAAAAAGAGCTGTGGGACAAGCCCTCATCTGGAGCCCAAACTCCATTCCTTAAAACTGGGGACCTTGAGCCAATTACTCAGCCTTTCGCCTTTCTGAGCCTCACCTTCTTCATTTGTGAAATAGTACAGTTGAGTCCCTGTACAGCCAGGCCTAATCATGGTGAGGGTCAACAGAAGAAATGGATGCACTCTCAACCCAGCTCCAGGTTTGAGAAGATATTGGATACAGCTTCCCTTATTATTCCTTTATTTCCTGTGTACCTCATGTTAAAACTCTCTCTTATTATTTCGCTGGAAATTCTTTAAATCACGGCCTTGGCACAGTGACAGGATTCAGGTCATCATACACTCTCTGGGAGTTCTTAGCAACTGTCCTTAAAGCAACTTTCCCAGGGGCAGCTTTACTCAGACCCAGGCAGAAGGAGTTTGAGCCTTTGGGAGAAAGCTATGTGGGCCAAGAGAAGATGATGAAGCAAGGCAGCAGTCTCCCTAGGGTCATGCCCTGGGCCCTGTGAGCTTGGACACCCTGAGGCTTCAGTGACCCTCCAAGGGAGCATGTGCCCAGTGGAAGGGGTTGACAGATGGTGTGAGAACAGGAACCAGAGGCAGGAGAACCGGGTGAAGCTCCAACCTGAACAGCCACCATGAGGGGAAAATGCTTCATGGAGAGAGGCGAAGACAGGCAGCAGAGGCAGGGGCACAGCCTGTCAGGAGAGAGGGGGCAGCTCTGGGGGACAAAGCATTGGGAATGTCCAATAAGACGATGAAAAGAAAAATATAACAGCAAGTATGTTACATACTTCCTACATGCTATGGAATGTGCTGAGTTTCACATCATTAACTCATTTAAACTTCCCAGCAACTCTGCCAAATAGAGTACTGTTAGTAGTCACAGTTTACAGATGAGGAAACTGAGGGTCAGATGATTAAAAATCACTCAACTCTGAAATGATGAAACTAGAATTCAAACCCAGGTCTCTCAAGACAGTCTGTAATCATACTCTCCATGCTCTGTGCCCATAGACATTAGAGAACACCCATTCTGAGCCAGCATTGGGAAATACCATGGCAGGATGGTTCAGGACAGTCTCAGAAGCCACATAATTTACTATCTGAGAGGCTTTGAGCCCCAAAGTTTCCCCATTTTCTCATCTGCAAAATGGAAATACTAAAAATGACCAGTTATTGAGAAGAATCATGAGATAAAAAACTTCATTATCTTAGACTTGTGCCATCATTATAATGATCTTAACCCATCTTACAGATGAGGAAATTGAGGTCCAGAGAGTGAGCAGCAGGCAAGCTGACCATTGGTAAGATTCAGGCAGACTGAATCTGGGCCAGACTGTGACTGGTGACTGGGCCAGAACTGTGGTTTCTGAGAAACGTGAGTGGTGGAGGAAATAGGTAAGAGCCCATCAGGGCCTCAGGCCTGGGGCACCTAAAGTGCCAAATAGAAGTCATGAATCAGGGCTCATCAAAGCTTTAGGATATAAGGTGGATGGCTGGGCACAGCAGCACAGCAACCCCAGCTCCTGCAGTGACCCAAGGCAAGAGCAAGACTGAGAGCTGAGATAGGTGAAAGGATGTGGACATCCCTGAGCCTTTGACCTGGGCATCCTCTAGTTCCCCTTGACCAGTGCTTTGGTTGGTTCTGGAGTGCACAAAGGTCATGGCTGTGCCAGAAGACTAGGGGAAGAGCTACAGCTGGAGGCCACGAGGGCAGGTGACATCCAGGAGCCAGGCTGATCATTGCAGAGGACCCTCCTCAGCTGTTCTGGGCAACTACTCATATGGCTGTAAGGCTGACACTACAGAATGGGGGAGGAGACGAGCCTTGGATCAAGTGCATTAGGATACTGTCCTTAACAACAGTCTTAGAACAGATGCTCAAAGCTTGACAGACACAAGGCTATTGGTACATCATTTGAGCTGCCATTTTCTGTTGCCCGTCTCCCCACTGAATCAAAAGACTTAATGCAGAAGAGGGTTGTCACATCCCTGTAGGGTGTTCTGTGGGAGATGATTGTTAATGTTTGTGCTTCTTCAAAACAAATGTCTAATCAGGGAGCATATATGACTGAGGCTCTCACTGCACCTTTTTCTCTCCTGGGATATTCTCCTTAAAGCAAGGAGAAATCAGTCTCCAGTCTTCCATTCAAACTGCCATTAAACTCAGATTCAGAAGCCAAGCATCATCCTTGCCTTCTCTTTTTCCTCATCTTCAGTATCCAATTTATCACTAAATCTGATAGATACGGCCTCTGAAATCTCTCCTGAATCTCTGTCTCCTTCTTGCTCACTGCTACAACTCATGTCTGGGACTCATAAGGTTAGTGTCACAGATTCCAAATTGGGGTCCCCATGTCTTTACATCAATCCCCTTCCAATATTTATTCCCCACTGAAGCCAGAGTGATCATCTAAAAATAAGAGTATGATTCAGGCCAGGTATGGTGGCTCCACACCCATAATCCCAGCACTTTGGGAGGCTGAGTCAGTGAATTGTTTGAGCCCAGGAGTTCGAGATCAGCCTAGGCAATATAGTGAGACCATGTCTCTACGAAAGTAAAGTTAAAAAAAAAAAAAAAGGCCCGGCGCAGTGGCTCATGTCTATAATCCCAGCCCTTTGGGAGGCCAAGGTGGGCGGATCATGAGGTCAGGAGTTCTAGACCAGCCTGACCAACATGGTGAAACCCCGTCTCTACTAAAAATACAAAAATTAGCCAGGTGTGGTGGCACGCACCTGTAATTCCATGTACTCAGGAGGCTGAGGCAGGAGAATCACTTGAAGCCGGGAGGTGGAGGTTGCAGCGAGCCGAGATCATGCCACTGCACTGCACCCTGGGTGACAGAGCAAGACTCCGTCTCAAAAAAAAAAAAAAAAAAAAAAAAAAAGCCAGGCATGGCAGCGCATGCCTGTGGCCCTAACTGAGGTGGGAAGATCGCTTGAGCCCAGGAGGTTGAGGCTAAAGTGAGCCATGTTCATGCCACTGCACTCCAGTCTGGGTGACAAAGCAAGACCCAGTCTCAAAAAAAAGAAAAGAAAAGAAAAAAGAGAGAGAGTCTAATCCTGATTAAAATGCTCCCAGGGCTCCCCTTGTGCTTTGGGATAACTAGCCTGAATCAAAGGCCATTTACCACCTAGTGCCTATCCCTTTTTTATCTCTCCAATTTTATTTCCTCCTCAGCATCCTGTAACCCGTTCAAACTGATCATGTGAGTGGTACTTGCCTTCTCACACTCTCCTCTCTCTGCTGAGATGTTCTCCCTCTATGGTTTGCCTTACTCATCCTCTAGGATCAAGTTCAGACAGTTTGATCTCTGCAAAACCTTTACTGGCCCCCATTATCTCCAGATTGCATGCAGAGATAGTCAACTGGGTGGGCCACTTGGCACAAAGAACTGCAACCCCCTCCCCCGCCCTAAGCAAAGTTTTCTATTGAACATGGCATATGTACAAGGTATAAGCATGTTTTGTTGGAGCTGTTTGGTTTCTATCAACTCTTTCCCTGTGCCTAGCACACATTGTAGTGCTCATTCATTTGACCCCATGCATGAATGATTTAATAAATAAGCAGATGACTGACATTGATGGAGCATGTGCCAGGCATGGTATACTCACCCCCATCCCCACTTCTGCCTCCAGCCTGTGATGGTTCAAGCACCTCACTCTACTCACCATCTACCATTTTGTTGGGCTAATTGTGAGTCACTAGTTTTCAATCCAGTATTTGAACTCCATGCAGACTCACCTGCCAAGCTTCCTAGAGACTGAGTCTTCAGAGCCCTTGTTTGGAGCTCCCCCAAATCTGCTGGAGCTGGTCTTGCTGAGCCCAGTGTCTCGCCTGGGATCTCATGGTGTTGGCCCAAAAGAGGTTGGGCTGGGGGCAGGAATCGTGGGCAGTCATAGGGAAGACCCTGTCTTAGGACTCTGTGCCAGTGTGGCAAGTGGCATCTGCTACAACCACACTGGCCACTTCTTCTACCCTCCTCACCTCCCACTAAGAGCAGAGCTGCTTTTCCATCCATCCTTTGGGGAGGGGAACAGATCAGCTTTTAATACAGAACACAGTGATTCAGTGTTTCTGCTTTCAAAAGCAAAGGGGCAAAGGCTAGAAGAAAGAAAACATGTTCATGGTGGATTTGGCTGGAATCTCAACAATCAATTCCGTGCTTGCTGCTGCTCATTTTATTACCGTTGCACGGGTTAGTTGCACTAATCTGAAATTCTGTGCTGCGTGTTTACTGGCTCCTCTGTCTGATCCTGCTTATGCTTCCACTAATCCTTCCTATAGATTGCCTGCTTCCTCCCGTGCCCCTTCTCTCCTTTCCAGGCACTCTGATGCTAGCTGCAAGCGGCATGTTGCAGATGCATAATCTGGACAAAGCTGCCCCAGATGGGCAGATCTTTGCTTCTCCTCCCCTTTCTTGCCCCTCTAAGTCAGGTAATACAGTCACCCCTTAGGGGATCAATTTGGCCAGAGTTGGTTGGAAAGAATTGAATTATGTTTCTGAGTATGAGCCTAGGGGAGCCTCGGCCTCTGGTGCACCCTGCTATGCAGTTCAGACAAAGGAAGCTGAGACATATTATCCTTCCAGAAGCCTTGTGTTCTGCTCAGTCCACAACCAAGCAGGAGCCCCCATTCCTCTTCCCACATGCTGCCTGTCCATTTGGCTGTGAACCCTTTTAGAGTTTGCATTTCATTTAGTGAAATGCTGAGCTCCCGCTCCTGCTTGTAGCCCATCCCCAGGCTGTGTGGGTCATGACTCAGCTTCACCTGGTCTTAGAAGTTGAATTGTGTTCCCCAAAAGGATATGTTGAAGTAATAACCCCAGTACCTGTGAGTGGAACCTTATTTAAAAACAGTATCTTTGCAAATGTAATTAGTTTAGATAAAGTCAGAAGGGTGGACACTAATCCAATATGCCCGGTGTCCTTACAAGAAGAGAAAAACATCATGTAAAGACAGACTCATAGGGAGAAAGTCATTGACAACAGGGGCAGTGATTGGAGTGATGCATCTATAAGCCAAGGAATGCCAAGCATTGCCAACCACTAGCAGAAGCTAGGAAGAAGCAAAGAAGAGTTCTGCCACAGTCTCAGAAGGACCATGGCCATGCTGTCACCTTGATTTGGGACTGCTGGATTCCAGAATTGTGAGGGAATAAATTTCTGTCCTTAAACCTCTTGGGTTGTGGTTATTTGTAATAACAGCCCTGGAAAATGAATGTACTTAGAAATGCAGTGATCCTGAGCACTGGCCAGTGGGCAGTGGTTGAGCTTTAAGGGCTGTGCCTTTAAAGTGGGCAGACCTCAAGAAAACCTTGGCCAAGAGCTGCCATCCAGAGAATCCCTTTGGCTCACCCCATCTCCCCAGTGAGGTCCCCTTGTTGACTGTATTCTACATTTGGCCCAGACAGGTCTCCACTCTGTGGCTCTAAACCTTCCTTTCTTGGTTTGGTTTCTGCTTCTCCCTTTGAATAGTCTCAGCATCTGCTTGCTGGTCATGCCCTGGCCTGGGCTTTGCTTCACAAGCCAGGCTGTGGTAACCTGTTCTCAGTGTCCCGGAATTACATGACCTGCAGACTGTCCCTGATTGGCTTTTGTACTTGGCTCTATACTGGCTGCTCCTGAGAAGCCTCTCCTTGGCCCATTGCTGCCCTGGGACTGCTCTGAGCTTCACAGGAAGAATTACAGTCAGTTCAGTGTGACCACAGCTCTCTCATACTGGCTGCCTGAAGAACTCTAAAGGGACTATCACTTTGCTGCAGGGCATCCTAAAGAGTTTATGTTCTTCTTCTTACATCTGTTCTTCAGACTAAACCCTTAATCCCCAGTGCAGGCCGTGGGTGCTCCTGCCTGCAGCAGCTAAGCGGCTTTGAGCCTCCTGAGCTCCAGGCTCAAAGCACAGATTCTATAAGCAAGGAGCCAGTACTGTCAGCACTGAGATGACTCAGCCTCTTCATCCGCATCAGCAGGACAGTCTGGCCCACAGGGAGTCAAGGTGGGGAGGGAAAAGAGAAGGCCACTGAGTGGTCACAGGAATGCCCTGATGTGTCCCACACCATGGATGACGTGGAAATCAAGTTTGTAGTCTAGTTTTGTTTAAGCAGAGCTGGGCATGCCCTTTCCTGTGCACACTTCTGTGTTGGTGCCCATCACTCAACTCTGATTTTTAGTTTGCACTTTCCTCTCCCCCTAAGTAGTGAGTTCCAAGACAGTAGTGTTGTCTAATTACCTTCCATGCTCAGCACCTTGCTATAGCCACTGTCATCATTATAATCCTAGCACCACTCAGGTTAGGCAATGTCCAGGACTATTCCTATGAAGCCAAGGGTTGAACTGATGCTAATGAGACCAAGGTAATGGATATAGTCCATGTGGAGGTCACTGGGCTTTGTCCAGTTATTTTCATGGCCATGGGCTACATTTTATTTCTGAATAAAGTCTAAGCCACACTTGTGGGCAAGTTTGACCCCACCATGGATGCAGACTGACTGCCATAACACTTCTAAACCCGAGCCGTAAGTTGACTCCTGATCTCTGCTTTAGCTTTGACCCCTACCTCAGCCACATCCTGGTCATTAACCTTGACTGCGGTCTGAAACCTAACCCAGTCTACAAAGTATGCCCTATACTTGGTTTCTTAGACAACCTTATACCTGACTCTAGTCATAGCTTAAGGTCTTAGTCTTACCACAGACTGAATCCTCTCTCTACCCCAGCTGGGTCTTGGCAGCCCTCATAGGTTAGGCCTCCTTGGCACAACAGAAAGTAGTTGAGGTCATTGGGAGGTATAAATGGATTTCCAGCTCACCAACGGTGAAACCTTTAAAAGGATATGCCATAGAAGGGGTGTGTCAATAATGACTGTGTCTGGCATCAGTTGGGCATGACTGCTCATAAATAAGTCTGTTTTCCTCTATTTCCATGGATAAAAAAAAGACACTTTCTTAATAGAATAAAGGAGTTTTCTTACATCCAGAAGACGTTCTCTATCAGAGTCTCATTTAGCCGTCTTTCCTGGTGTGTGTAACATGACTGAACTAGAATTTGACCTACACAGAGCATTTACAGTGTAAAACAAGGTCTATCTGGAAGCATAGATTCAGGAGACCAAGCAAAATCAGCACTTGAGGAACAATTTATTTGAGTGGCCTGAGTGCTTTCAAACAATCAATTAAAGCTATTCCTGTCTCACAGGGTGCTAACCTCCATTCGAGGCCGAAAACGAGGGCAACTTCTGTCAGCAATATTTAGCAGTTTTAGTTGTATAGGCTGTGATGAAGTCAATTCTAACTTCTTAGGACTGACTGGGTAGTATTGAGGAGTCTGGGGTATTAGAAATGTGTATCTTCTTTGCATTTAACAGTACTTATTAAGTGGTTTTCCACAGCAAGGGTAGAGCTATCTTTGAAAACCCTGCATCTCTGTGGTATTTTCCAGCTACTTAACATTGACTCTGAGTTAAATCGTGACTAAAAGCAATTACTGTCATATGATGAATTGAGGCAATTTATTTATTACTTGAGAAACATCCTAGGTGATGTCACTTAGAAGAATGATGAAATAATCCTTCTCAAGTGCTCTATTATCAACCAGATCTGGTGAAGGAGGCATTGCTTTGAGGCATGGGGAGGTAGTCAGCAATTTAAAAAAATTAGTCACAGCAAGATCAAAGAAAGAATATTGGAGACAAAGCAGAAAAAAATCACCTAAATTTGAACAAGACTTGTCTCCCTATGGAATTATATGGGATGGTTTGTTTGCTAAATATCAATAAAGGTATTATATAGAAAGCCCAGCGATTATAATAAAACTAACTGCAACATATGAAAGGCTTGGAGGTGGTGGTTGATATACAAGAAAAGTGAAAAGGATGAGGGAACTTAAGTTAAAAAGGTCAAGTTTAAATATCATTTGAGCAAAGTCTGTATAATTTGGCTCATGTAACAAGGTTCACATGACATGTTCATCAATCCCTTAGATATTAGAATAGGATACGTGGGTGCGAGGGCATGAGAGGAGATAATCTTCAAGAAAGATGCATGAAATAGAACTGCATGATAGAGTGGGTGGCAAACCCGGCAGAGACAGGCATCAATACAAAGATATTTTAATCTGGCTGGTCAATGGAAGATTCTAGATCTAAATACGTGTCTGCTTCTTTCTTCCAGATATTTGAGAAAAGACAAACACATTTCTCTGCTGAACGGTCTCTCCCCCTATTTATTAGAGAGGTGACAGAGTAGTACGATAGGTTAAAGAGAATAATCTCTGTGCTAGACTGCCAGGGCCTATGTCCCAGCTCTCCTGCTTGCTACCATTACTTAGTCTCTCAGAGGCTGTTCCCACATCTCAGAAATAGGTATAATGATGGAACCTGCTTCATAGGTGTATTAGTTCATTCCCACATTGCTATAAATACCCAGGACTGGGTAATTTATAAAGAAAAGAGGCTTCATTGGCTCATGGTTCTGTAGGCTGTAGAGGACGCATAGCAGCTTCTGCTTCTGGGGAGGCCTCAGGAAGCTTCCAATCATGACAGAAGGCAAAGGGGCAGCAGGCATCTTACATGGCAGGATCAGGATCAAGAGAGAGTAGTGGGCGGGGGGGGGGGGGTGGGGGGAGGTGCTACACACTTTTAAATGACCAGATCTCACGAGAACTCACTCACTGTCATGAGGACAGTACCAAAGGGGATGGTGCTAAACCGTTCATGAGGGATCCAACCACCTCCTACCAGGCCCCACCTCCAACACTGGAGGTTACATTTTGACATGAGGTTTGGGTGCAGACACAGATCCAAACCATAGTGATAGGGCAGTGAAGATTAAAAGAGAGAATATATGTGAAGGGTTTAAAACGGCAGCCTGGATTGTAGTAAAAGCCCTAGATGTGTTACCTCTTTATTGTTCATTGTTAGCACTTTGCATGTGGTCAGATATCTTGACCCTTCTGTTTCCATCTTCTGGAAGAACTCAGTTTCACACCCGGCTGTCCTGAAAGTCAGCCACAGTTTCTCCATGTTGGCCTTGACTTGGCTAAAATCAAGCTGCAGTTCTGGACATTCTCCCTGACTTACAAGCCCACACACCCCTCGAAAGTGGCAAAGAGAGGTGAGGCTAGCATCACTTGTTTATAAGAAGCCCATGCTTGTCCTTGGCCCATTTGGTGTCACAACCATCCTTTACTGTTGCCCTATGCTCCTGGGCATGTAGGTGACCCCTGCATGGGACCCGCATGCCTACTGGCTTCTGGATTTGGCTAATGGGAGACTTTAATAAGAGATGGTAAAGCTGGAGGAAGGGAGGAGCCTTCTTTCTCTTGGGCTCAGGCCCCTTCTTTGGCGGTGACTCCATGGCTTCAGGTCTCCAGATGGGTCTACCAGAGTTCCACTTCTGTTGGGTGATCCTTACTTCTGGGCTTTGAGAACTCCACCATCTCTTTTTGTTTCTCCAGTCTGGGCTGGGTAGTGGCTTCCTGATACTACCACCCTCTGAGTTTCCCCAGCATTGTCTCCTAATCCCTGTGTACTAATTTTCTAGTAAATTTGCTCTGTTTTAAAAGTTAGGAGTGGTTTCCTTTTCCCTGGTTGAATGCTGTCTGATGTGAGGCTGTGCTGGTTTCTGGTGATTATTTCTTCCTTTTTTAAGTGGTAAGGGTGGGGGTGGGGGGAACCTGATTTAATCATCTAGTCTATTTTTTTTTCCTGTATCAACATCACACTAGCGTAAAGTATCTGAAATACATTTTTTTTTTCATTTTTAAAAAAAGTCAGCAACAGCATTTGTTTCTCCCCAGGCTTCTCGCACCCCTCCTGTTTGCTACAATTTCAGTCCTCAAAGACTGCCAAAGTAGTTCATGATCACAATTACAAATATTCTCAATGCCTTGGGATGCAATTTGTAAAGTCTAGAGGCTTGAATCTAATGAAGTATCCAGATGCTCTCCTGCCAACTTCTTTTCTGTCTTGGACTTTAATTCCATCTTAAAAATAATCTGCTATTCTGAGAATTTGTTTCCAGCAAAATCAAGAAGGTTTATGGTGCTTACCTGACTTGAGAAGAGCCAGAAAGTTGCCCAGCATCTTCATCTTTTCCCTATTATCTCCTCTTGGCAAAACCCCCATAATCAGAGATGCCTGTAATGCTTAAAACCTTCCCTGACGTAGAAGTACCAGCTTAGAGTCAGGGTTTCAAAGGTTTTCCCTACTGGGTGCCAGATACATACAAAGCCAGAGAAACTCTTCAACAAAAGAAGCCATTCAGTAGACTGGGGTAAACTGCCAGCAAAGTAAGATTTGCCTCTGATAAGCCACACTGGGGATAATATGCCCTTGGATAGCTGAGAAACAACTGTATGTTTTAAAGAGTGCAGTTTTTAGGAATAGTGTCCCTGAGAGCCGGGTTGCTTTCTTTATCGTCAGCAATGATCACCAGCATGGGTTATGCATCCATTGGGATTTACTTGGTTTTATCAATTGCAATTAAATGTTCTTTATCTGTGACTCCTATTTTTGCTCCATATCTTTACAAGGAAAATTCTCTGAAGTAAAGCTCTAGAATTGGGCCTGTCACCAGTGAGAGCACTTCAGAATGAATCATTAATCATTAATTGCCAGTCCCTTGTTGCCAAATTATGTTATTGCTGCCATTAAGTCATCCAGATGCAAGCCTGATATGGGCCTTGCCTATATGAGGAAAGTTAAGTGAATCACTCTAGGGGCTCTGCCTTTATCCTGAGGATCGGATGAACTTAGGTAGCAGGTTACAAGGAGGCATTGCCTCAGCCTCTATGACCTACAGTTCATAGACACAAAAAACCCTAGTGCTACCCTGGATCCAGTGCTAAGGTCACATCATCACTGTGCCCCATATGTGAACAGTTCCTCAAGAGTTTATCAAGCATTTTTCCCTCCATTATTACATTTGATTCTTAGAAAATCCCAGTGTGAACTTGGCATTTTCTAATTATTTCATAAATGAGAATATCAAATCACATTGCGGTTAACAGGTTTGATCAAGGTCACACAACCCATTAGTGATGGCATCTAGACGCAAGCTTGCATATTTCCAATGTGAAACCCAATGCTTTTGACTAGACTCATAAAACCATAGCATCTCGACATCAAAAGGGGCATAAGAAGTCTTGTCGTCCCTTCTGCTTTGTGGGGAGCACAGGATGTTCCAGCCAGCTCTTGTCCTTGTTGATGACACATTCCCCTGCCTTTGTGGGTAACATGGGGAGGGTCAGGGTGAGGGGGTGGGAATGGACTGCATGGGAGTCTCATGGCTCTAAAGATAATAGGGATAATTTCTCTCACCAAGAGTATGAGTATTACTGGAATTAAGGGGAACCAAGTTGAGGTAAAAGATGACGTCAGAGAAAAAGGTCAGCATCCTGTAGACATGAGGTCCTCAGGGCTTAGTTGTGCATCCAGGAAGCCAAGGAGATGAGAACAGAGACAGAGTAAGCAGGTAAAATGAAGGGCTGACTCTGATGCAGGACTTTGGAACCATAATGACCTCATCCTCTCTCTAACATGATGCCGCATTGAAAGGGTCTGGGCTTTAGCCTTAGCTGATTAGCTCTTCCACATTCAAACGTTTCCTGTGTTGATTCCTAATCTACCCCCTGTCACTTCTACCCAGTGATACAGCTCTGAGCTTTGAAATTAAAGGGACCAAATCTACTCCACCTTCCACAATGGCCCTTTATCTATCTAAAGGCAAAAAATAGGTCTCATCTGAATCTTCCCTTCCCTAAGATGAAAAATCCTGATTCAGAGTGATGTACCTTCAAAGTCAATAATCTCTGGAACATTGTGCATCTCAATCAATGTGTACCTCAATCATGTAGAGACCTTGTTACAATGCAGCTGCTGAGTTAGTAGGTCTGGGGTAGGGCTCAAGATACTGCATTTTTTATAGACTCCCAAGTTTCGCCAATATTCTGGTCGATGGACCACTTTTTGAGTAGCAAGGCTCATGGCCTGTCTTCACTCTGGAGGTCCCTGTTGAGAGGTTGGGTTCACAGCTGGACAGGACTCACCAGAGCATTCTGACCAGTGCAGAGTAGAGCAGGGCAGCACTGCCCTTGTTAGGTCTCAGTAATCCTTGGGGAAAATCAGCTGGGAGGGTTGCTGGGTAGCATGGGAGGAGGCAGCAGAGAGAGAAAACATGGCAACTAGACCCTATGTATGGAGCTAATATTGAGGGAGGGAAGTAGAGCTTAATAAACCAAGGGCCATGCCTTGTGCACCAGGTTTCCATATGTAAGAGTAGACAGGTAGCACATATAAAAGCCAGATTAAGACTCTGGGCTGGAGCTAGGAGGAGACTGGATCCTTAGCCATCATGGCATTTGGGGAAAGAATAGACAGCAGGATGCAGCAGCAGCTGCTTTGAGAACTGGTTCAGCCTTTGGGAGTGCTCAGAGCTCAGAGGACACAGTTGGCTGTGCCGTCAGGTCAGGCTTGTGAGGCTTGCAGCATGATGTTGGAGAGGGAGTCTCCTGTCAGTACAAGCTGAGTTCACAAGATTATTTTTGGTTATCACATCACACAGGAGACTCAAGTAGAGCCTCAAAGCTTCCCCAATTGGAGAAATTTATCATCTGGTGCCTGCCTAGATGCCAATTCTGATTTGCTTGGCCTATTCTCAGATTGGGTCCTCTGGAGGGTAAAGATGAGGAAGATGCACCCAAATCCCTCCTCCTTCTCCCAGTTCCCAAATCCCCAGGCCCTGCTTAATAAAACAAAGTCACCCAGAGTCGGAGACAGCCTTTTAGGGACTAAGGCTGATACTAAGCCTGACTCTCATGGAAAGGATATGCTTGGGGTAAAAGTAACGCAGGTGTTATCCCACTGAAGGGCTTCCAGTGGGATAGCCCTCTGAAAAGTCCCTTTCGATTTTGGGGCCACTGAGTCAGACAGATAGCCTTCTATATGGACCTACTGCTGGCATCTGTGGAAAGCGCACCACATTGCCAATGGCCCCATCAGTAGCCAACCCTGATGTGCTTTTTTATGACTCCCATCACAGGTCACATTCTGCTCCACTGAGCATTTAAGATGTAATCCCTGTGGCCACACCTGACTCTGCCACAAAAGCGGGACCCTCCCATCCTCTGTCCATCCCTCAGATATGGGAGTCACACGTGGATGCTGTCTTGCCTTTAGTCCATTTCCTCTATCCCTGTATCACCTTTGAACCCTGTCAACACACTTCCACTATGAACAGAGGCACAAATATCCAGAGTCTAGGGCAAGTTCCCCTAAAGAGTGCCAAAGGCAAAGCTGGATTTTCCCTGTCCCAGGGAATGTTCACGTTCCTGTATCTGATGTCTAGTTAGACCAACCAAGCATGGATTTTTCTAAAAACCTCCTGTGTAAAGTCTGTGATTTCAGCTCTGCTGCCTGTTGGCTGAACTCATTGAATTCGTCTAAACCTCTAGGCTCTGGACTTTCAGACAGCCTCTCCGAATCCCCTGAATGTTCTTCTGTGGCCCTCAAGTATGTTCTTTTGTAGGTTTATGGTCGTTGCTGAAGCTGCTTCTATTTAGGAATGTCTTGGAATTCTTTTGGGAAAATTTTTCTAATACTCATCCAAGATCTTCACTTTCCTTTGTGTGTGGACTTGATTCTACCCTGGGAACAGCCTTTGGCATAGTTGATCATGCCCTCCTTTTTGAAACATTCTCTTCTCTTGGCTCTAGGATACTACACTCTCCCAGGTTTACTTCCTACCTGTCTGGTCACTCCTGTTCCCCATTCAGGCTTATCTCCCTCTACTCACTAAATACTGCAGACCCTCAAGTCTCTATTCTAGGTCTGTTTCTCCTTCCACTCTTTATTCTTTCCCAGGGTGATTTCACCAACAGGCCCCCACGCTTCAAATACCATCTGTGTACATATGACTCACACATTTTTGCCTCCAACTCTGACCTTTAATTTAGAGCTCCAGATCGCATTTTTGACTACATACTTTGCTGGAGTATATCTCAAGCTCCAGTTGCCCTAGATATATTTTCCCCCTAAAGCTATTCTTTTTCCATTGTGTCTGGAACCCGTAAACATTACCACCATCCACCCTATCGTGCAAAGATTTGTGGTCATCCTTGACAGTTCTTTCTCCTTTATTCCCCATATCCAATCCATCAACAGATTTTATCTATAACTATTTCAAGTAATTGTCTCTTTTATCACATCTGCCTATCTTCACTGTCATCACCTGAGCCTAAGCAACTATCAACTCCCATCTGAATGCCCGCAGTAGTCTCAAAACTCATTTCACCAATCCACTTTGGTTCCACACTAAAGCTGGAATGATCTATTGGAAATACAAATCTGACCATATCATTGCTCCTTGAATAACACTTAAATGGTGCCCTGTCTTCCTTTGGTTAAAGAACAACAGCCCTCATTGTGGCCAGTAATATCCTGTGTGGACTCATTCATGATGCCCTCTTCAGCTTCTTTTTCATCTTTCCCTCCTTGCTTTCTTGCCCTGGTTATACTACATTTCTTTTCTTTTTTTTGTTTTTTAAGTACAACAGGGTGCTTGCCCCATTAGGCAAGGCTATTTCTCCTGCTGCTCCCATATGCTGCTTTCATGGTCCCTTTGCCTGGTTACAGCCTGTCTTCCTTTGGAACTCACCCCTATTAGGGGTGAATTGCTCCAAGAAGCAATGCATTTTTTTTAATTATGCAAGTATCTATTTACAAGTGCCATGTGCTTCTCTGTTCAAACCTTAACAGGGTTCAAGTTTGCTATTACTGATTCTTGATTTATTAATTATATTCCCCTACCCCCAACCACCACTAATTGTAGACTCTTTGAGAGCAGGAACTGTTCCTGTTTTGCTCACCACTGTATCACCAAATGCCTGGCACATAGAGGGTATTTATGATCACTTACTGAAGGAATGAAGTATGAGTCTCATTAGACCAAGCTAATAGCATTGTTCCTAGAGTAATAGGATCCTCTCTAGGGGCTCTTTGCCATTGCACTCCTAGTCTCTAGAACAGGACCTGGTAGCAGGCACACTAAGTAAAATTGGGCTGTGCCAGTGAGTGAATGCCCCAGAGACAACCCTTCCTCCAAATCTAAATAAAAAGACTCTATCAATATTGAGGAAATTTGGATCTGAGATTCTCCCCTTCCTTTATGCTTGCTACATTGTGGATTAGCCACATCTCAGAAATCATGTCTCCAGCCTGGGAAATGGGGGCTGCATGGGAGCTCCTCAGAACCAGCCCTCGTCCCCCCATCCCTAAATGTCAGACCAGCCCTGCTGAAGAGATGGTGGCCAACTCTTTCAGGAATTCTCTGGGCTGTAGATGAGAAGAGTCTACTCAGTCAGCCCTGGAATTTGATGAGTTGGTTTTGCCATTAGCTTGTGAAAGGAATGAATAAAATTCCTCATCCAGAAGTCCTTCTAGGAACAGAATCTCTGACTCTACAGACAGCATAGTTTAGCACACAGCACATGGCCACTCAATGGCAAAATAATGAATGATTGAATGGATAAATAAAGTCCACAACTGTGGTTCACTCACCCTCATATTATGTTATAATTTATCTGTTAAGCAGCAATGATGAGGAGGGAGGCCTGTGCTAGACACTGGCATTAGAGAGATGAATAGGGTGACTTACCATTCTCACTAGAGAGACTTGGCCAAGTAAACCCAACATGTCTAAGTTACAACAGCTTGGGGAAAGTGCTCTGAGAGAGGAAACACTTAATGCTCTTAAGCAAAAAAAAAGGGGGTGCATCAATGTGCTGGAGGGCTTAAACATCAGTGCATTTTGGGAATCAGGACCATAGCTTTTGGGTAGTAGCATTCCTTCAACTCAAGACTCTGCTGAGTTCTATGAATAAATGACTTTAAAAAGGAGAAAACTCAATTTGCTTCCATGAGAACAAATGTGTGTGGGCAGAGACGTCATCCTTTTAGCTAAACACTAAACAACCACAAACATTTAGGGAGCCCTATTACCAGTCAGAATCTGTGCTAACATGGGAAAACTAAGATAAACGAGGCGTAATCTTGCCCCTGAGGAGTTTGCAGACCACTGGAGGAGACAGATGTGAAAACAAATAACTAATAATATTGGTGCATTGTAGTAAAAGATATTGTGAGGCATGTGCAAAGTGTTATAAAGTGTTAATAGAATTTAGAGAAGAGGGAGAAACTCTCCCAGGGGCACAGGCTCAGAGAAAGCGTATTGGCTGATGAAGAGTGAGCTGATGTAGATGTGGAAGAAAAGAAGGAATGAGTTAGGAAGAGGATGGTTTGGACTTTAAGCTGCTTCCCACTTAAAGGCTGGCGCCAATAGGAATATAAATAGAAGCAGGAGGAAATTCACTTCGGGTGCTGATAACCCCTGGACTACTCTCTAGAATGTCTGAAATAAGATGTTGCCTCTGATCCCTAGTACGTAGCATGAAGATACTGGTTCTTGGCATTCTTTGCCTGCTTACTTTGTTATGGCATAAGCAGAATGGTTGTTTTAGGGAGAAGGGATTGAGGAACTAGATGACTTGAAGGGATTCAGGGTTTCTGACCACTGAGGTCTAAAATTGGAATCAGGAAACCTGTGGAATTCTGGCCCTGACCTTTATCAGCCATGTGACTTTTAGCAACTTCCCTTGGTTTTCTCATCTATAAAATGGGAAAATCAGTATCTCGTCTACCTTTGGGAATGTTTGTGAGGACTGACCAGGCCAGATCCATGAAGTTACCCAGGATAGGGCTAAGGATGTATAGTAAGTGGCCAGTGACCTGCCTCCTCTACTGAGGATTGTGTCAGCAAGTTAACACCTGGTAGAGCATGTTGCATTAGTATTAAATGCTAAAAATGGAATTGATCAGATTTAAGTGTTTTTTTGAACCCAAGGTGTACTCAAGTTCCCTTGAATATACAAACTTTTTGCCCTACCATTTGTTCCCTATAAAGAACAAAACAAAAACCTCTTTTTATCTTTAAAAATCTAGTTATTTAAATTGTGTTGCCCCAAAATAAAGCTGTTATTTCCACCATTTACCTGAAAGAATAATGTAGGGTTAGGTATAATTCCCAGTGTTCCATGGTTTGATCCTAGAGACAAAGCAATATGAGAGAAAAAAAAATCTTAACTTGATTTGCCTTAAGGAAAAGAATGCTTCAACACAGTTGCCCAAGTGAGAACCTAAGGCAACTCACTTAATTTCTCTGCATGTCAGTTTCTTCATCTCAAAAGAATCTAATGATAATCCCAACCTCACAAGGAATTGGTCCTCAGAAGTTATTAAATGGGACAATGTATGTGATGCCCTTAGCACAGTGCCTGGCACATAGTTAGCACTCAACTAAAGGAAGCTGTTGTCATTATGATGATTGTCTAGTCGCATGTTTGGGTGCTTTCAACATTGCTATCCTTCCCTTTCCCTTCCTAGGTGCCTCCACCCAGAATTCTAACACTGTGGAGCCAGAGAAGCAGGTGGACAACACCGTGAAGATGGCTGGCGTGATCGCTGGCCTCCTCATGTTCATCATCATTCTCCTGGGCGTGATGCTCACCATCAAAAGGAGGTGAGTCTCTGCTGCTGCCTGCAAGACTCTGCTGACCCGAGGTGACCTCAACACTGCTGTGTGGCCAGGTTTTTGCTCTGTTGATCATTGTCCAGCAGGGATCTTCTGTTATAACCATTGAGGTCCGGAAATACATGGGCCGGCTGTGGTTCATTGTGTTGCTGTTTGAAGGGTGCATGCTGCCTGTTTGGCAGGTGGTCCTGAGGTGGCCATTTTCTTATGGGCCAGTGATCCCTATGACTGGGCCACCGCGATGTGCCATGGGATTCCACGTATCATGAATTGAGTCTTATAGGAGTTAACTGCTGTGTTGTTATCAATCATGTCATCAAGATAGCTCGGGAGCCCCAGGAACATGGATCAGTCCAGAAACGCAGTTGCAGGAAAGTAATGTTTTACCATTCTCACCTCCGTTTGCCCCTGATTTCCACTGGTCAAATAATAGCATCCCAGGCTGCCCTCTCCATGAGAGATAGAGTCTACAGTGGTGTGAGAGTTCCCAATTACAAGTCCTATTACAGGCTCTGTACTATGTCCTGTCCCACAGAACCTTCCCAGCTGGGTTGCTGTTGTTTGTCACCTCTCAAAAGCATGTCTCCCTGGACTCCTTTGGCCAGCTACTAGTTTGCTCATACTGTGTGTTTTCTCCAGTTGCATTTCTCACGAAAGCATGCACACAGATTCCTCCCTTATTTCCAAGATGTACTACACCAGCATCCTCTGTTTAAGAGGCATTCACAAGGCTTGAGGATAACACAAGGAAATTACAGAGGGAAGAAAATACAAAGGGTGAATATCAGCTATCCCTGTCCACAGGGTGCACTGGTTATTCCTCTAAACAGAGAGTCTTACTCGCCCCTCTCCTTAGCCCCTGCCTGCCACCATGTTAACACATCTACTTCCCACCTCCACGTCTTCTCAGTTTCAATGCCAGGGCCCCAACCTTAGTCTCTACCTTCCCACTCCTCAGTCTATCATAGCAAACAAAACATTTATCCACATTATAATACTAGGTGGTGTATTGTGCCCTGCTCCCAGGCAAAAGAGCCTTCTACATTATTAACCAAACCAACACCTCAGCCTGAAGCTCTGGGTTTGCTTATGCACAGAGTTCAGGGCAACCCCAAGAACAAGGGCTGGGAACTTGCTTCCATCTATAGGATGAAAAATGCTCATCAAATGTGTTTCCTACCAGAACAAAGGAACAGAATACCCCTAACAACTAATTCCAGCTCCTACCTTAGGAACCACATGAATATAAAATGAAGAATTTTTTAAAAGCAATATCCCCATTTCCAGCAATCAGTGATTTAGAAATACTAGGGTCCCCACTACACATGCAGTCAACCCTCTCTTGGCTATGCAAGCCCCAGGATGTCCCTCTCTCTCTTTCTCCTGGTTCTGCTTTGGATCAACCATACTAGCCTCTGGCCAGGGCATTAAACTGTGAGGACATTTCTTCTTGACATTTTTCTGTCTAATAGGATCATGTCTTGCCTCAAGCTCCCAGCACAATGGCTTAAGAGCTAAGGTTCTCCTCCATCTACTGATTTTCTGGTTGGAGAAACTAGGGGTAACAGAAGGTATTATGTTAATATTGGGGGTGAATAGCCCTCAAAGGGTTAAGGTCAACACTACATTGTCATATCACCATCATCACTGATAACACATGGCCACATTATATGTCCCAGTGACTAGTCTGCTGCTATTACATAGGGTAGTATATGACTTTTGATTTCTCTGGGAGCAGTAAGCACATTGTACATGTAAGATCACTGAAATGTTTCTTAGAGTTACAGATGTATTAGAGGCAGAGGTGAAATGTTTCTTAGAGTTACAGATATATTAGAGGCAGAGGTGAGTTTGGGATTGTCCACCCAAATTAATGGAACTGAATACCTCTTTGATAGACCTGAAATTTTATTATTCTTTGCCACTGATTTGTAAATCAGATATGCTCTTCCAATTTTGCTCTTTCTAAAGCCTGGCTTAACCCACGTCACCATCATCTGTGAGATTGTGAAGAAATTTCACTTCCTTCTCACAGCTATTTCTGAAATGTGTGAGTGTGACTTTTTGGGAGGGAGGAAAAGGCTTTATGTTTCCAGGGTAGGAGCAACTATAAAATAAGTCCTTTGTGGTAGTTTTAACCTCCTCTGAGTATCTTCATCAACTCTCATGTCTATCAAAACTGTCCATCAGACCCAATCAACAGGCATCACATGATCACCATTTCTCCCCAGGAGGCAAAACCTGGGCATTGCATGTTGTGGGGTGCTAATCAGTGTTTACATATATGGCATCTTTTGAAGAAAATAAGACATTTTGTTGGCCTAGTTGATTGGAACAGTTTACAGATGGGAGGGGAGGGTAGGAGGAGAAGAGGAGAAAATGGGGAGGAAGAGAGAAATTGAACATAGGCCTGCACTCTTTCCACTAACCTACAATGTCTTCCTGTGTCTAGAGATGCCCCAAAGGAAAGCGAAATTCTGTGTACCTCTTCTGTCCCCAGCTACCCCCCAGCTGCATATATATATCAATATATACTACACTGATCAATTGAGTCTGCTACCAACTTACTGTTGGCCAGAATACTGTCTACATCTACCTCAAAGGAAGATGTATTCAAGTCAAAGAAACTTCCAAGTAGCAGGCTCATCACCATAGCTCAGGATACTAGTGTTAACATCTCCTCAGTGTCCTATCATCACCTACAGTGCTTGGACTCAGAAGTTCACAGAGGCCAACACTGCTACAACCCCTCCACTGGCTTAAGCTTGCCTGGGTCTTCTCCCTGCCTTCCCTGGTCATGGACATGGTTACTTTCCGGGGTTTTTTTTCTGCTCCTAATAGATTCAGCTGACTCAAAGCCCCCCTAAAGCTATAACCACAGATGTTTCCAGAAACATAAGATGTCCCCAGCTTCTCCCTCTGAAGGTTTGTGATCACTGACTTTAGAGCTTCCTTGCCACTGTCCAAAGAGAGTCTTTCTCTTCCTGTTAGGGGTTTCCTTTTATGACACAGAACTAGAAGACAGACAGAGAATGGGCTTGAGATCCATGGATGAAGGGAAGGGTTTAATGAAAAAAGCTAAATTAATTTATATTTAGACACCTGAATACAAAATAGAGGAGGGAAAAGAGAGAATATCAACAAAACTTGAGAGGTGTTTTGTTGTTGTTGCCTGGTTTTGTTTTGTAACGGGGGGAGGGAGATCTTGAGAAACGAAAAGGAGAAAGGGATATGAGATGTTGGTGGGTGATTTAAATGGGATTCTCTTATAGTTTGAAAGAGAAGCAAGTTAAAGTTTAGAATTCTTTTTGCATTACCTTTGGCTGTTTGAACTGGGCTGTATTGAATGTGGAACCATATGGAATTAGGATTGCATGGACATAAACAGGATGATATGAGCATTATAAGAAGGGATCCTGGAGCCCCTCACTGACAGAGTTAACTACCAGTGTGGTTTTAGCCACACCAACTACACAATATCCATCCTTCTGCTGTCACTAGATAGTGGCTCCATCTTTTTCCTCTGGATCTGTCGATCACATCTAGAGTTCTGAATGTTCTGTAATGGGTACCCCATGTCATTATGTAGTAAAATGTACCTCCTTTTCATGAGTACCATGTTAAGTCCTGACATAAGAGAAAGACCTTCATCACTGACTCAGCACTGCAGTCCTGATCATCTTCGTCCCTTGCCTCCTCCCCTTAGAACTGTTAGACATCCTCCCCACTCCTCCAAAACCAGCAATCAAGAGGTTGCATGACCAACTCTATGTTTTCTTAACTTAATACCATGGGGCACTGTGTGCCTTTAATGCAAATTAAGATGAAAAGATCAAGTATTATTGCCTTAACCAGCATGTCTCAATAGTTGAAAGTGTTCATTAGCCACTCACATATGAGAAGGTCTACAATTCAATGTTTGTTTGTGGAGCGTGAAATTATATGTATGCGCACACAAGTTTCATATAGCTCGATTTTATCCCTTGGGACACACTTCCTGGAGTCTGAACATGGTCCCTTAAAGCTCAAAGCATGGCCATGCACTTATGCATAGGGAAACACCAAAGCCAAGTTATGCAGGACTTTTCACAAGATCCGCACCCCTGGACTTGCCTGGATCCTACACTAACCCGTCCATCACATTTTAATTTTCAAATGAGAACTAGGAAATTTTAGGGAGGTATATTCAAAGTTGGTACCATCCATGGTTCTAGCCAGACCCTGTCTCCTCCCCTGCTCCCCTGCCCAGCTCGTCCTAGTCCAGCCTTAACCTTTTGCCAAACTTTCCTTGTCTGTCCAAATGGAAACTTCTGTTCCAAGAGTGTATTTGGAGTGTCTTGAGTATAAATATGAATGTCTATTCTGATATTTTATATGCATCTCTGGTTATACATCAATTCTCTGTGACTTGTACCTGCCCTCCAGTAGCTCTCAGTCTAATGGGACAGAGAATCAGAAAAACTGGCCCCAAATTTTTAGTCCTGTTTATTTGCTGTCAACCTTGCAGAAGCAACTTAACAAATCTTAGCCTTTGCTTTCCCTTCTATGAAAGGTAGCCAGTTTTATGGGGCTATTCTAAAGATCAAATGAGCTAATTATTGAAATAGGCTTTGTTCCCTGAACCTGCTTAAGGAATTACAATGCACAATATCTACAGAAACATTCATCTCCACATGACCATCAACTGTACCAGGCCAGCTCCAAACCCGTTACTAATATGCTAATGGCAGGGTTGCAATCAATGCTCACACACTGACATAATTTGCATCATTTTTCATTTAAACTGCAGCTATACTCTGATTTTAATATTCCTAATAATCATAGTAGGTTAGGTCTGTTGCTTGTTTGAAAAGAAGAAACTGAAGTTCGAAAAGATCACGTGAGTTGGTGAACGTTTTGGGCAGAGTTGATGTGGAAACCCAGTCTCAGTGTCTCTAGAGCTCATGCTGCTACCTTCTACTCTGTCAGTCCATGGAGACTGACAGGAAATAAGCAAATCCTGGACTAAGAAACATGTGACTCAGATTCGGTACCACTTTCCTCTCTGGGGCTTGTTTTTCCCAATTTCGCTATTTTCTTCTTTTGAGCATGCTGTTTCCCTGAATGAAATGTCCTGAGATTTCTCTTAACCTACAAAGTTCCTATCACACTCTGACTCTCAGCCTCTTGTTCTTCCTAGTAGGACTCCCAAATGTTACCATCTCAGCAAAGCCTTTCCACCAGCCTCCTGCCCCAGGAAGATCCAGTGATGTTCCTCTGCAGCCACTGTGCCATACATGCTAGTCTTCATTTGTGTATTTATCACACTACCCGGTGGTTGTAGTTTTGCTGGCCTGAAGATCAGTCTTCTCTTGTTAGAGCTCCATTATCCATATCATCTGCCCCTGGACATCTACCTTGAAAATCCCTCAGGTATTTCGTAGTCAAAGTCAAAATCATTACCTACTCCCCAACCTGTTTCCCATCTCATTCACAGGCACTACCTCCTATCCCATCAACAAACAGATGGGATTCCAACACCCAGGATTCTCTACATTCTCTTGGTCTCATTCTCTCTCTCTCTGTCTCTCTGTCTCTGTCTCTCTGTCTCTCTCTCTTTCTCCCCCTCCCTCCCTCCCTCCCTCCCTTCCTTTCTGCCTCTGCCTCTGCCTCCTCTTCCTCCATTGTCTTTTCCCTGGGTCAGACCTCTATAGCCCTATTGCATGAGTTTCCTCACTGACCTTCCTAACTGTGCCCCACCCCTCTAACCTATCCTCCATACTGTAGTCAGCATTGTGTTAAAAAATAAAGCTCGTACTCTCAAACCTGTCATCTGAAACCCTTCAATGGCTTCTTCTCCATAGCCATGGTTCATGAGGTGGAAGTGAGGGAAGAAGTACATGTCTAAGTCACCTGGGGAACTTTGTCAAGTGATACTGTCTCCCTGCCCATATGGAAACAAGTTTCTTAGTTCTTCTTAGCTTTTTAGTTTTTCTATTTTTTTCTTAGTTTTTCTGACAAGTCTCCTAAAGTCTCACCTCTGCTCCATAAGTTTTGCTTACGAACTTTCTTCTTCTTCAATGCCTGTGTTTCTCAGCTCCATGTGACCAGCTATTACCCATGTTTAAGGACTAATTCAGTAGGCACTTTCTCCTATAAACCCTTCCTGACCTTTGATCTGGACAGAATCTCTTCACCATCTAGATCCCCTCTGGGAGGACCCATGTTATTTTCTGCCTTATACTTTTCCTTTGTATTTGCATCCCATTTCCTCACTAGACCATCAGCTGTCTATTCTGATTCATCTTCATCTCCAGTGTGCCTTGCAAATACTGAGAATTTCCTAAAAACATGTTGAATGGGAGAGCCCAGTGGAATTAGAACAGATCAACTCTCTATGGATTATACAAGAGAGCTTCACTCAGAGAACAGACCTAAATGTCAACATTAAGCATTAATGGTTCGTGCACCAAGTCCTGTGGTAGGAGGGTGGCAAGGCAAGGCTGGAGGCAGTATGTGGAAGACATGCCATGGTCTGAGCCTTCAGAGAGCACATTGCCACAAAATTTTGTTTTGTTTTGTTTTGTTTCTGGGTAGACAATCAGAAAAGCTAACTCAGGCCAAGCTAAAAGAGCAGTGCACTTTATTAAGGGTACTACAGATCAGAAAACTGAAATGGAAATAGAGTTTAAGGAAATTACCTGGAATCACATACCTAATAAATGGCAGAGTTGGGTCTCAAACTTGGACAATCTGATAATGGAGTCCACACTCTGAAACATCATCTAATCTGGATTAAATATAAAACAGGACCTGCTGAGATGCCAAATTCTGTGGCATAATTTTGAGTGATTTATCGAGGTGGGAAAAAAGCCCAAACGCCCAAACAAAATGTGTCATCTTCTGTTCATCCTGTTCTAAACTGCTCCTTCCTCTACACCTGAAAATTGAATCCTGCTCCTTCTGCTTGCACTCACGTGGACAGCCACTTAAGCTGAGAACTTGGAAGTCTTCTTCAATACATTCACATTTAATCACCTTTTGATTTTGTGTCTTAAACACCTTGCACACTGCTGACCTTTCTTCCCCATCCCATGGCCACTGCAAAGGAAGCCCCTGGTATTTCTTGTGTTGGCCAGTCAGTGATGGTGTAACCACATTCACTCTGCCTTTGACTTTCTCCTCACCCTCCTGCTAAAAATAATTCACCTACAAGAAATATTTGGCCACATGACTTCCTGGGTTTTCCCTGTGACCTATGGGACTGAGACCAAGCTGCTTAAACTCTTTGGGAACTAGCCCTTCCAACATCTTGCCATTCCCACTTTGTTAACCCACCTGCCCAAACCACAAACACAGTTCCATCTACCTAAAAATTCCCTTCCCCTCTCCTCCATCTGACTTCTCTTTTACTTTACCACTCAGGCATCCCAGATTTTGGGCCATCTTGCCTGCTTTCCCTCCTCACTCCTATCCCCAGGTATGGACTGACAGCTCCATGTGTTGCCTTATCATACAATTTATCATGACAGAAGATAATACAATGTAATAGCTATTAATACAGGCTCTTTAAATCAGACTCCCTGGATTCAAATCCCTGCCATGCCACTTAACAACTATATAAATGTGAGAAAGTTCCTTAACCTCTCTGAGCCTCACTTTACTCATCTGTAAACAGGGATAATAATGCCTCATAAGGTTATTGTGAAGATTAAATAAAATAGTTCATGCAATATACTTAAAACAGTACCTGACACATGATTGATCTCCCAGTATTTAAGTGACAGCTATTATCATCTGCTTTATAATTTGCTAGTCTGGCTCTCTCATCAGACATATGGACTAGATTAGGATCTCATATGTCTTTCTATCTGTACTTGACAGAGATAAGGATATAGTAGGCCTTTGAGAAGTTTCTGCTGAATTAATGATGGAAAGATGGATAAATGGATGATGGGTGGGTGGATGGATGGATGGGATGGATGGATGCATGCATGCATGCATGCATGAATGCATGGATAGGTTCATGGATGGATGGATGGATAGATGGCTGAACAGGTGGGTTTGTGATCTAGATGGATGGGTAGGTGGTTAAATGGGTCGTTAGATAGACAACTTTGTCCTGTTTAAATTGTATGGAACAAAAGAAAACTGTGCCTGAAGTCAATCTTGTGAGCTAGCTGAAAAAAGGTTCTGCAGTATGTGATTTATTAAGTTTGGGGTTATTGTTTTGTTTTGTTTTGTTTTTTCTAAGCACAGCTGTCTTCCTGCTCAGGATTTTTGGTTTCAGGCAATCTGTTACTTGCAATATCACTGTATCCTTGTAAATTTAGACCTTCAGTAAATCTTCTTCAAGGCTTAGAGAAAAACACACATGTAAACTGTTTTGGTCACAGAATAAAGACCTGTGATACTTGACCTAGAAGACTTTGCAGTTTAATTGGGAAAAGAGATTCAATTAATAGAAGTTTGTCAGTTACCATTATCCTGGAGTTGCCTTGCTGCTGGGTCAGAGATAGCACGAGAAGGCTTTTGGTGACACCCAGGATAACTCAGAAAAGCAACTTGGAAAAGGTGGTCTGTGGTTTGAAGGTGAAGAAGGAAGCATGTTTTCTTGGCTCAGGCTGAGGTGAATCCTGAAGGTTGACAGCAGAAAAACTAGAAGGTCCAGAATGCTCAGTGTAGCTGAGGAGGAGGTGGCTGCTGACAGTGAGAGCATCCAGCTCAGGATGGAGGCCTTGCAACTGGTCCAAAGATACACAAAGCCTTTGACCTAGTGAGGCATGGACTTATAATCTTAGATTCCTCAGCTAACCGTGAGAGTAATTATATCTGCTCCTCAGGGTTGTGGGGAGGATTGAAAGAGATAACGTTTTGACATCCCAGTGCCTGACTCCCCAGATTTCTCAAGATATATCCATTTTCTTCTGTCCTTGAAAGCAGCACAGGCTTGAGGTCAAGAACATGAGCTATGGGCTGGGCACGGCGGTTCATGCCTGTAATCCCAGCACTTTGGGAGGCTGAGGCAGATGGATCACGAGGTCAGGAGATCGAGACCATCCTGGCTAACACAGTGAAACCCCGTCTCTACTAAAAATACAAAAAATTAGCCAGGCGTGGTGGTGGGCACCTGTAGTCCCAGCTACTCAGGAGGCTGAGGCAGGAGAATGGCGTGGACCCGGGAGGTGGAGCTTGCAGTGAGCCGAGATCACGCGCCACTGCACTCCAGCCTGGGCGACAGAGTGAGACTCTGTCTCAAAAAAAAAAAAAAAAAAAAAAAAAGAAAGAAAATGAGCTACAAGCTTTATAGCCATGTTGCTATCAAATCCAGTTACTAGCTGTGTGATCTGAAGTTACTTCTTGTTTGCCTCAGTGTCTCCATCAGAATAGTGGGAATGGCACTAATTCCTATCTTTTAGAGCAACTGTGAGGAATACATGAGTTAATGTGTGCTAAAGCTGAGAACAATACCTGGCACACAGTAAGTGCTGAATAAGTATTTGTTCATATTTTATTATTCCTAAAGAGGTGAACACTTTGTTCCTGGTGACCAGAATAAGAAGCAGTAAACCTTATCTCTGTGGATGAGGTGCAGACATAAGCCACCCTTTACTGAGCCCTAATACATTCCAGATGTTTAGATTAATATAATCTAATATCAATTTAGATTAATGGAATTTACATAGAATACTTTATATATTACATATCATATCTAATGTGAGTATAATTTAGATTAATATAATGCTAATGCCTATGGTGATTCTTGGGAATACATAATTATTGTCCCCAAGCTTGAGATAGAGAAACTGGGACTCAGGGCTGTTTAGTGACTTGTTCAAGGTCATGCAGTTAGTTAAGTGATGGTGCTGAGATGCTAAGGCTTATTGTATTTCCACTCCTGAAAGCTGTTTGAGCTGTCGGTCATCTATGCCATCCACCTTGGTGCATGGATCAGGAAATAGAGGTCCAAAGGGAAGAAGAAGAACTTACTTGCCCAAGATGTCACAATGAGCAATTGAAAGATCTGAGATTATAATGCTGGCCTCTTGATTCTCAGCTCAGTGTTCTTGACAATACAGAGAACACAGGTGTCCTATAAGTCTTCATCAAATGGACCCTGAGTTTTGTGTCCCAGGGGAATCACCTTCCAGGCACTGGACCTGCCAGCAGTGAGGTAAAGAAATTATCTCCTTACAGTGCTAACGTGTATGGCTGGTGAAGGGGATTTGATGACTTTCTGTAGGAGCTTCCAATTCCCACTCATTGCAGTCCCCAGTCCTTCACCTTCTCATCATCTAGGGTCACTGTTCTTTCAGTCCAGGATATTGAACAGTTTTCTATGTGGCCAGATCTTGCTGCACTGTGGCTCATTTTCCCTAGCTCAGCCCCCTAAGGAGGTATGGGGCTTTCCTTCTTCTGTGGCTTCTTAACTTTTAGACTCACTTTCCTTCTGGGTGTGTAGGGTTGGGCTTTGCTTTAGGAGTGATGCAGCTCTGGGCTCATGTCCCGCCTCTATCATGCACTGGTTATAGAGCCTCGGGCAAATTTTCTAAACTTTTTGATTCTCTTTTCTCTTAATTATAAAACGAGGGTAATGGTGCCTGACTCACAGAGTTGCTGTGAAGAGGAGATGAGATGATGAAAGAAAGACTAGAGATAGCCCCATCTTGGGAGTTTTGGATATTTCCTACTTGAGATGGGAAAATTTGGGGCTGTGAAGACGTATCCCCCACTCTGCAGTTATAACGACTGTATTTTCCTGTACCAAGCAAATGGGATAATGGTTGCAAGTAATCAAATAGTTCAAGAAAAAAGGAAACCATTCTTGTCTACTCAGATGGATATTTGGAGACCTGAATTATCTAGCCATTTTTCTCAATCTATAAATGTATCATTTATTGTCAGTATAGCTGAATCTGATGTGAAATAAGAACACTCCTATTTATTTTCTTACAACATAAGAAAAGTTATAACAAAGGGAATATCATGCTTTTATTTGAGTTTTGTGATTGCTTAGAAGCCAGGAGCCAGTAGGAACATTGGAAAGAGATTGAAGCCAGTGATTTTTGAAGCTTTCTTTTGGAGAATGGAATTCTCAGCCATATGATATCTTAAATGAAACTTCAAAGTATAAAATAGATAAAACTTCAATATATAAAATAGGTGCTTTGGTGGATGGTGGGGGGCAGCAGCCTCACTTGCTCAGTACCCTCCTTCTTCATTACACAGTGGCTGCTATAGAACCCCCAGACTTCTGTGAACACAGTTGGAAAATTACTGATCTAGTTTAATGGACCTAAGGGACAGATGCAGAAATGAAGGAACAGAGAGTTTATTCAAGGTAGAGTCTGTTCAGACTGAAGGTTGGAACTCCTCTCTCTCAGTACAGTGCTCTTCCAAGATAAGGTTGGACTTTGCGCCGGTCATCTACTGCCATGTAACAAACTACCCCCAAAATCTAATGGCTTAAAGAGCAACAGTTATTTATTTTTCTCATGTGTCTTCACTTTGGGCAGAGCTTGAAGGGAATGACTTATTTCTGTTCCGCAATGTCAATGGTCTCAGCTGAGATAACTTGGTTGGCTGAAAGTAAAATGGCTGGGGGCTGGTGGGACATTTCTTTCTTTTTATGTAGTCTCAGAGGCTCTCCTGTGATCTCTCCAGCATGGTAGCCTCAGGGAAACTGGGCTTCTTCTATGGAGACTGAGGGTTCTAAGAGAGAGTTATGGACAGAGCTGAGAGGCTTCTTTTTTTTCCCCAGCTTGGAAAGTCCCAGAACATAATTCCTACCACATTCTATTCACACAGGGTCAGTCCTGACTCTGTGGGAGGGCAGTCCACAAGGGCCTGAATACTAGGAAGTGCAGATCACTGGGGAGCCATCTTGGGTACTGGCTATATGATTTCCTTGCTTTGGGTATGACCTTACTAAATAGACTCTGATGTGACTTTATCTGAAATAGAGGAGACAGAAGAAGTTTGGTGTTGCTTAGATCACAGGACATTATCATAGGGAAGAGTGGTAGACTAGTCCCAGGAAGCCACAGAGAGCTGATCCAATACCCTCACCTGCACCCCGCCGACCAAAAAAAAAAAAAAAAATCATAATTACAAGGAATCTAGTTTTGGTTGACCATAAGGAAGAACTTTGAACCAACTACAACAGCCAACATGAAACATGGCTTACTCTATGTGAGACCATGGGTTTCCCTATTATAGAAGAGGTCTCTCTTGTTTCTTCTACCACTGGAAATATCTGATTCTCAGTGAAGATGATTAGTAGAGGAACTTGCATCTCCTTGAGCTTAGGGATGCTGAAATAATATGTGCATTTCTAAGAATCAAGATTTCATTAAAAATCTAATTCTTGTTTGTTTGTCTTTTCTTTTTCCCCCATTTTGGACATTTCCTTCATCTGACTGCCCATCAATATATAGAAGAAATGCTTATTCCTACTCCTATTACTTGTAAGTATCGAGCTGGTGTTAACTTTGCTTCGTGCCCTGTAAGGGAACCTGTAGCATGCATTTCCTGCACCAACCAAGTGTCTGTTAGTTTCTCATTTTCACTTCTGTCTAAGTTGTCTGTAGCCTTAAAGTTTTTATTTTGCATAAATGTGTTACATTTGAAAGTGCACTGTCATTGTTCAAGTTCGTTATGTTTCCACCATCTTGGATTTTTTTCCTCTTATTTTTAGAGATGTGAAGGGCTGTTTCTCCTTTGTGAGTGTAATTTTCTAGTTAGGAATCCCTGAATTCCATCAAGCAGGGGACCAAATCCTGCTGTAGGACTTGCACACATGAGACAGAATCACAGTCTTAGCAACTTCTAAATCCATGTGTTTTTACTTGGAGAATGGGTAGCCCTGGGGGCTCAAAGTTTAGAAAGGTATTCATTGGCTGTTTATGCTATTTCAGAAAGTCTGCAGGGATTCATTACTTTATCTAGAACCGGCCTCACAGGTGAAAGAAACATCCAGTGTCTTTGCTTTGGGTTGGGATTATGTGTTTGGTGTTTAGCATTATTTATCTCATATTATCAGTGCATTTTGTTGGGAGTTATAGATGGGTGCTTGCTTATCCATTTTTTTGCACTTGCTAAAAAAAAGTGATTATTTTTCTTATTAATAAAACAGAGGGCCAGGTGCGGTGGCTCACGCCTATAATCCCAGCACTTTGGAGGCCGAGAGGGCAGATCACCTGAGGTCAGGAGTTCAAGACCAGCCTGGCCAACATGGTGAAACCCCATCTCTACTAAAAATACAAAAATGAGCTGGGCGTGATGGCAGGCGTCTGTAGTCCAAGCTACTTAGGAGGCTGAGGCAGGAGAATTGCTTGAACCCAGGGCGGAGGTTGTAGTGAGCCAAAATCGTACCATTGCGCTCCAGCCTGGGCAACAAGAGCAAAACTCCATCTCAAAATAATAATAATAATAATAATAATAAATAACAACAACAACAGAGATGCTCAAAACATGATAGTAAAGGAGAACAACTCTGTACAGTAGATCCTTGGTGATAAAAAGTTAGAAAGCCCCTGAACTAGTCCACATTCCTAATATGCACTTTCTATTTTTGGAAATTGAGAGGTTGTAGGGACCTTAGAAAGAGATTGAAGGATGTGAATTCATTGAACATCCAGCTAGCAAAAGAGTGGGATTAAAACAGAGAATGCCTGGCTTCCGGTAAAATGTATTGCTTAGCGCTCCATGTCTTCCCTCACCTCTGGCAAACTCAGCTTTATGAGAGAGGCTGTGCCTAATAGCATTACCTGCTGAAGGCTTCATAGATAAAGATGGAGCCAGCAAAAGGCCTCCCCATCCCCTCTGCTCAGTGTGGGGTCCACAGGTCTTTAGGACGGGTACTACCACCCTCATGTTATATGGGAACAAATGGGCCCCCATCACCAATACTGGAAGTACCAGATCACTTATTCATTCATCCCACAAACATGCTTTGAACATGCACATTATGTTTCATATGGTGTGGATGAAGAAATGGCTAGAACCCAGAGGTTCAGCCTCACAGTATGCAAGCCTATCTGAGAGACTAGCATAACGTCACCTATTAGAAACGTTAGCTGAGAGATGCCTCTACATACTGTAGTACAGGAACACTTAGTTGAGTGATGAATTTTTTGTGTGGCAGGGGATAGGTATCAGTGTATTCAGAGATGGCTTTACCCATTACTGAAAAAATTAAAATTCTGATTAGAGGAAACTGCATCTGCAAAGACACGGAGGTACGAAACAATATGGTGTGTCATTGCTATGGTGGAAAGAGAATGAGCTTCAGGAGTGACGCAGCTCTGGGCTCATGTCCCGCCTCTATCGTGCACTGGTTATAGAGCCTTGGGCAAATTTTCTAAACTTTTTGATTCTCTTTTCTCTTAATTATAAAATGAGGGTAATGGTGCCTGACTCACAGAGTTGCTGTGAAGAGGAGATGAGATGATTTTGTAAAGTGCCTGGCACAAAGTTGACACTCATGAAATATTAGTTTTCTTTATTTCCCCTTTCAGAAACCACAGGGTTCATGGCAGGAATAGTAGTCCCTGGGAGCCCCTCTCTTCTTCCAGGGCCTCTTAGGGTATGCATGTTTCACAGCAGATGTGGGCATACAGGGACCCATCACCACCTCTGGCATCTAACCCCCATCCCTCTATCAGCCAGTTTGCCTATCAGGGTCTTTGAATGCCCACTTTATACAGTGCTGTGTGCTGGGTGCTGGGGTGGAATCCAAGATAAGCAGTGTGAAAGGACAGAGGATGGATCTGCACATACTTGCAGTTGAAGGTGCAATGATAAACACAGGCCTTTCAATTGGTGCAGACATGAAGTTCTGTGCCACAGGTCCCAGAGCAGGAAGCTCATACCAGCAGTGGGATGCAGAAGCATCTGGATAGGACACAGGGTTTCCATAATTATATTCATTTTATATTCACCAACCCCAAGGCCCCCATGACGGTCATATATTGTATGCCACTGCAAATAGCCTGCCTTCTATACAGAAACCTTAGGTGGTTACATTTCCTCTTAAGCACCATCTTCCCATCCCAACTACCACCAAGCACTTGTGATAGATGAACCAGTTGCTAGACTTAAAGGGATCGAACAGGTAAGGTATATTTAATCATTTATACAGGAGGGGAGAATAGGAAACCACCACCACATGCCAAGTAGTCTGTACATACATTAGCCCACTAAGTCCTCCGAATAGCCTAGTCTGGTAGGTACCATTATCCCTATTTAATGGGAAAGAAATTGCTCTGAGAAGCTAAGTCATTCCCCCAAAGCTACCCAGAAGTAGATGGGAGGGAGAATTGATTATCCTGGAAATGGAGACGTCTTGGGGTGAGAAATGGTCATGTGAGTCATATGCATATGACTCTGGATATATTGCAGTGAGAATGCTGGTGGAGCTCCCAAGCAAAAGCATCCCATGGGAACTTAGAAATGCAGAAGTGGAGTCTAGGTAGGACGTGGATGTTTGGAACCTTCCTCTGAGAGGTTGCAGATGAGAGTGCCAGGTGGATGAAAGCAGGCCTGGAGAAAGGGGACAAGAACAGAGGGCTAAGGGCTAGGGGCTGAGGCCCAGGAACTGACCATGATTAAAGAATCAGAAGAGGAGAGGAACTGGCAAAGCAGACAGACAGGTAGGAGAAAAGCGTAAGGCCCAAGAGAAGGCTTTTGCAGCAGGAGGAGTTGGTTGGCCATAGCAGATGCTGCAGAGGATGGAGGGGGTGGGTTTGGGCACAGCCTGGACATTTGGCCATCAGAAGTAACTTGTACAGGTTGTAGGGATGAAGGTTGAAGAGGTAGCCAGCCTGCCTGGGGACCATGAGTAGGATCACCTTTCACCTTTTTTTTTTTTTTTTTTTTTTTGTAAAACAGAGAAGAAACATGATACTGGCTACCTGAAAGATCAGAAAGTCCTGGGCAAAGATTTAGTTATAGTGGAGGAGCCTGGGCAGAAGGAAGGGGCTGAAGATACTGGAGTTGGGGGCTATGGAAGTGAAGGACTGGAGGCGAGGTGTTTGGGGACAGGGAACAGTCTGGGAGTGGGGGAGGAGGGAGAGGCCTTGGAGATGATAGGATTGAGAGAGAGCCATGGAGATGAGGAAGAGGAAACAGAAAGGAAATGATGGCCCCCCATGTGCTAGTATATGCCCCGAGGGGGAGCCTTGAAGCCTCACTCTTCAGTGTGTGGACCCTGGACCAGTAGCATCAGCATCACCTGGGAGCTTGTCAGAGAGGTAGCATCAAGGGCCCCAGCCCAGACCCCTGAATCAGAATCTGCATTGTAACAAGGTCGCAGGTGATTCATATGCATGTTAGAGAATCACTGACTTAACTGGAGTCTCAGTTGTCTTATCTATAAAATAGGAAAAGTAATACCCTCCTCATAGGTATCAGGGGCCACCTGGTCCTTTTAATGAATAAACACTGATTTCATTGAAGTGTGTTCTCTCTTCAACACACTTTGGCTCACCAGTCTCTTCAATGAAATCAGTGTTTATTCATTCCACCAATATTTGTGGAATGTCCTCTGCATGCTAGGCATTGGACAAGGTTCTGGGTATATAGGAGTTAGCACAAGTAAAAATTCCTGCACACGTGGAGCTTTTTTAGTAGAAGAGGTAGAAAGTAAACAACATATATAACAAAAATAAATAGTATGTAGTGGTAAGAGCTAAGAAGAAGAAATAAACTAGGGAAAGAGGAGATAAAGTATGGATGGGGGAGGAGCAGAGGAATTCTATATTTCCCCCAAAATAAAGAGGCCATCAAGTGCTCTCCATCTTTGAAAGTATCCCTACATGAGAACAGTGGTCCACAAATATTTTCCATAAGGAGCCAGACAGTAAATAATTTTGGCTTTACAAACCCTTGTGTTCTGTGTTGCATCTACTCAACTCTGATGTTGTAGCATGAAGTCATAGCTATGTGTTTGAATGAGTGTGGCTGTGTTCCAGTAGAACTTAATTTTTAAAAACCAAGCAGTGAGCCAGATTTGGCCCACAGGTCACAGTTTGCCAATTCTTGCCCTAGAGTTTTGAGCGTAGGAAGAGTGTGACAGTCAAGATTCATCCTGTCTTATTGAGCTCCTGCCATGTACTTTATCCCGTGCCTGATGTTGCAGGCACAAAAGTGAATAAGGCGCACCCTATACCAGACTACAAAAGGGCAGAAGTTGAAAGGCATTACCAGTTGGTCCCTACTATATATACTTACCCAATGCTTATAACAAGCCCTGCAAAGTATATGTTATTTTGTTGATTTTATTTAGATGTTAAGACTGAAGTCTGAAGACTTGTCTATTGCTCACAGCCAGAATGCAGCAGGGTTAAGTTTGAACTCAGGACCACATGGCCCACAAGCCCTACCCATTCTTCTTACTAAGCCCTGTTCTTTGGGAGATGGGGGCACTTCTGCCTGGACCACGTGCTTGGAGCACAGCAGCCAGGTTGAAGAAGAGCCAGGTACCAAATGCAAGTCTGTCTGCCTGTAGGGCCTCGTTTCTGTGCATGGCCATCAGTGCCCTTCTAGGCATAAGAAGTGGTAGCTATTCCAGGCTGGTAAGGAGGCCGCTGGGGCAGTCCTGTCTCTGCTGTCCTGGGGATTGGCCACATGATGTGGCTGGTCTTCCAAGCAGTGCTGTGCACAGGCAACATGTTGAGAGGAGTCAGAGCTGAGGGCACTGAGCTGCTGCATCAGAGGTAGCCAAAGGGTTAGAGCAAGAGGTTATGAAAGGGGTGTTAATGACCAGGATAAATAACAGCCCAATAAAAATGGAGCTATGGAACAGAGGGATCTGGGGACCCAGGGACACAGGATAGTTAAAGATAAGGCCCATTATTGTCTCTCCAGTATACACGCACACGCACACACAAATGTGAATCATGTGGGTTTTGGTGTCAGGCCTATTTCACAATTCTAGGTTTGCCTCTCCTGTGAGATTGTTTCCACCTGGAACACTCATAGAAACACTCTGAGCCTCAGTTTCTTCATCTGGAAAATCATGATAATAGCGGTGACTTCCCAGTGTTTTGGTGAAGGGCAACGAGAGAGTGTGTATGTAGAGTGGCTGGCACACAGTAGGTATTTTATAAATAGCAGCTACTATTCCTCACATTCTGAGCTGACAAAAATGCCTCTCTGGGATCCCTTTTTGCCTTTCTGTAGTAAAGCAGACCCCAACAACTTCAGTTGTTCAGTGTTTGCCTTTTTAAAGGATATTAAGAGTTGGCATGTGTCCACAGGTTAATTTACCTCAAGGTGTGTGATAGGCACAGTAATTGTTTTGAACAGAGGTATTTTACTGTAGTAGTTCTTGAGAAAGCGCGAAGGTGTTTACCAATTGTTCTGGCTGAGAGAGAGCACGTAACTACTTCACTTAGCCTTGGACAAATGCCTTGTGCAGATGTCTCCGAGGCAGAAAACCGTGACCTGGGCTGGTTTCTGTCCACAGATACTCCATGGGACTCCTGGGCTTTTCTATAGCCTTCTGATCTCCTCCATCTCAATATATTCAAATCCGATATCATTCTTCAAAGTCCAGATCAAACACTGCCTTCTACAAGAAGTCTCTCATGATTCTCTCCACCTGTGGGAATGGCGCCTTTCTCTGAACTGCAGTTGCTTTATGTTATGGGCAGGAGCAAATTTGTCTTAAGGATGTTGCTTGCTCATTAGGGTATTCTCCATGGAACTCCTAACACATGCAGTGAACCCCAGTAAGTGCCTGTGTAATGAGTGAAGGAACAAGATGAATTTAAAAGACATACGGACATACAGCTAAAGTCAACAGGGTGGTACTCTGTTCTTGAAAAGAAAAAAAAATGACATCATTTTTTAGATAACTCTAGACCTTGTAACTTCCTTGCTTCTGTGGGTTTAAGGCCATTTTTGCTTCTATTTTTGCATCTGTGTGACCTGAACAAGCCACTCAACTTTTTCTGAATCTCAGTTGCCTGGTATGTAAAACAGAGACAAAAAATACAAATCTTACAGAAGAAGTCTCACAAAGATTCAATGGACATAATGTAAAATGCCTAGCACATAGTAGGGCCTCACCAAAATAAGAGACTGCTCCTTTCTTCAAAGGCAAATGCCTTTTCACATCATCAGCTGCTGTGAAGCAGATATCATTGCTTCAATATATTTAAACAGGCATTTTAAAATGATTCCATCAAGAGATACTCAAAAGTTATTTAATGTAATTTATCAGCCACTTTGAATAAAAATGAAGAAAAAATAGGAATAGAAGAAAACCATTTAAAGTTGCTAAATATCAATTACTAGTAAATATCAAATTATCAACAGCAAACATGTTAATAGGTGAAAATGTAAGACATTACCATGCAGTCAAGACTAAAGTGGTTACTAGCAGTGTGGCTCTTCAGCCAAGAGGAGAACCTTGGTGGGAAGTCTGATTCCTGAGCCTCACCCCCCAGATCTGCTCAGTCTCCTTAAAAGCATGGCCTGGGGATCTGCTTTTTAACAAGTATCTCAGATTCTTATTTTTCCTGCTGACTTTGAGAACAACTCTCATGGCATCCTCACATCACTCTGATTTAATTGTCCCTTTCATAATGTTTATCCCTGCAGTGAATTCTTCCTGGAATTCTTCCTATCCCCCTTGTGTGCCCAGAAAACTCCAGTATCTTTATAAAGGGAGTGTCATTGTTCTCTACTTTGGAGGCCCCCTCCAATTTCCATGGACCATATCCATAGCGCTGGGCTCATATCTTTGTCGTTGCATTTATCTTTCATTCCTTCACCCATTGACTTACTAATTCATGATCCCTTCCCAGGTTATCCTGCCCTTGGCATCTTTGCATGTCAGTCTCCATGTAGGGAGAACTATGTATTACTCATCATTCATTTCCCAGTGACTAGATCAGTGCTCAGGACAAATCAGGCATCATAAGATTGTGTTGATTAGATGAATGAACAAAGATACATGAGTGGTTATATGTGTGGAGTTGATACCCTTCCAATTTTGTTTTGTCTCTCATTGAGTTATATTATTCTATTCTCTAGAAGTTAGTTAATATCCATGTTCACTTATTTTGGCCTACGGTGATGATAGAGCTTTCAGATCACCTATTTTGTAGTCTTATATGGGTTTTAGGTTTAGAAATGTTGCATTGGTACTTGCATGACACAATTATAAATGTGTAAAATTAATGACTGCTATTACAATGAGATATTAATAGATATAAATGCACTGGGCTAGACCATGTGTACTGATAGATTTGGATAGGGATTGCAACTGAACGGATGCTTTATTGTTTACTCTATTGAACTGGCGTCTAAACGCATCAGTCACGCATGCCAAACAGAGCAAATCTGTAAGTCAGAGGCTCTGTCACTTTAATCAGGAAAAATACAAATTTTACCTCCAAAGGTGGCAAAAGGTGTTTATATTTCAGTTATAAATTTATACCTAAGTTTAAGTTTTATTATGTTGGTGCAAAAGTAATTGTGTTCATTACTATTTTAAAAAGGTAAAATGTACCTTTAATGGCAAAAACCGCAATTACTTTTAAACCAACCTAATAATACCAACCAGGTATTAGTGATGTCTTGAGGCTTAGAAAAGACTGTCTGTGACTCTTAATGCTTCTACCTCATAAACATACTTGAACTTTATAAACAAGGTTAATGAGAGTATGGAGATTCTCTGCTAACAGAAAGGAGTACCCTACTGCAGTGTGGTTAGAAAGAAAATTCCTGTGGAGGACTCTGTGATGTGCTGCTCAGATCCACCTTCAAGAATGAGGGGGCTGGGCGTGGTGGCTCATGCCTGTAATCCCAGCACTTTGGGAGGCCCAGGCAGGTGGATTACCTGAGGTCAGGAGTTTGAGACCAGCCTGGTTAACATGGTGAAACCCCGTTTCTACTAAAAATACAAAAAATTAGCCAGGCATGGTGGCACGTGCCTGTAATCCCAGCTACTTGGGAGGCTGAGGCAGGAGAATCGCTTGAATACAGGAGGCGGAGATTGCAATGAACTGAGATCATACCATTGCACTCCAGCTTGGGCAACAAGAGTGAACTCCGTCTCAAAAAAAAAAAAAAAAAAAAAAAAACAATGAGGGACTTTCCCCATTCGCTACAATTGATGCTGACAGATGCCTATGAAAGAATGATCACCCAAGGAAAAGCTTTTTAGAGTTTTTGTATTATCAGTGAGCAACAAACTAATGACCCCAATCGGTAGGCAAAGTGTTCATAGGCAATGAAGAGTGCATTTCAGGGGAGGGAAACCCACTTGTTTGTGACACTAACAGCCCCCCTTCAGAACTTGCCCTTTGGAGCCGCCTCACTCAAAGTCATCTACTCACTGGTTGACACAGGGTGTAAAAGCAACCCCAGCTTCAGGGCCTCCCCTGGGGTTGGCTTTAGCCACTGCTCCAACTGCATCACCATTCAACCTTTCCTCTGCCCACTCCCTTTCTTTTTCCCTTCCCTTTCCTTCCCTCCTTCTTTCCTCTTCCCTTCCTCCTCTTCCCCTTCTCTCCTCTTCCCTTTTATCTACAGGTGAAGCTTCCCCAATACATCTCCTGCTTGTCAATCTCTCTCAGAGTCTGATTGATTTTCAGAGAACCCAGCTTGGGACTCTCCCATTGGCTTTTCTGGAGACAAGTGGGTTTCCCACCACTGAAATGCACTCTTCATTGCTTATGAACACTCTGCATACCAACTGATTGGGGTTATTACTTTGTTGCCCACTGATAATACATAAACTCTAAAATGTTTTTCCTTGGGCGATCATTCATTCATAGGCATTTGCTGTTCACCTGTGCTTGTGCTGGACCTGAGAGCCACAGAGATCTTCACACATAGCTCCTGCTTGGGGGAGCTGAAGATGTATCACAGAGAAGACCGTAGCAATACCCTTTTGCTGATCCAGCCAGAGGAGAGAACCAGGGTCAGAAGTGCCCAGCCACAGTGCCCACTTAGCAATATGTCTCCAAGGCAGGATTGGGTTTACTTCCGAAAGCACTACCTTCAGCAAGCATCCCCCAAATGGGAAGGACTCTTACAGCTAGAGCTGTAGCAAAGATGGGATCCTGAGATGCACAAACTGGAAAATGCCTTTCTAAGTGTTTCAAAATAGTGCTTTTAATGGAAGGAAATGCTTTAGTTAAGCCCCTCAATGTTGATGATGATGCTAATGATTGCATTTTGTTTGTTTTTAGGGATTTATCTCTTCCAAAGTGCTTTCCCACTTATTACCTAGTTGTCTAGTTAAGCTTGGAGGTATTTCGGAAGTCATTATTAGATAGATGACTGTGCCAAGCAGGAAAAAGCCCTGAGCTTCCTGGCTCCACAGTTTTAGATAACTCACTTAATTCCATCTCAACTTCAGTTTCTCATCTGTAAAATGGGAGTCATACCACTTACATTTTACAATAGCTCTGATGTTTAAATGACATATTATTTCATTCATAAGCATTTGCTGAGCAATTCCCTTGTGCTAAGGAGAGAAAATTGTTGAGTCTTTAGTAAGAAATACCCTCTCAAGGAGCTTGCAGCTTAAAAGGAACTTGAACGTGTTAATAAAACGTTACAAAATAATGTTACAAGTGCATGAAAAGAGGAGCAGTGAAGACATAACAAAGGCAAGGAAGTCACTGATTCTATTTTGAGGAAAGATACCATGGGTTAACGGGCCCAGTAAAGTTTTTGGTATAAAGTAGATGCCAGATGTTTCCTTAAAGAAATGACACATTTGGCCTGGTGCGGTGGCTCACACCTCTAATCCCAGCACTTTGGCAGGCCAGGGCAGGCTGATCACTTGAGGTCAGAAATTCAAGACCAGCCTGACCAACATGGCGAGACCCCATCTCTACTAAAAATATAAAAATTAGCCTGGTGGGGTGGTGCACACCTCCAGTCCCAGATACTCAGGAGGCCGAGGCAGAGGAATCGCTTGAAGCCGGGAGGCGGGGTTTGTAGTGAGCCAAGATCGTGCAGCTGCGCTCCAGCCTGGGCGACAAAGAGTGAGATTTTGTCTAAAATAAATAAATAAAAAATGACACATTCATTCACTTTTCTCCTCGGCCTCATAACATTGAAACACACACACACAGAAACACACTTTTTTTCATAACTTAATTTGATAGCATGCTAGGAAAAAAACTTAAAAAGGCAAAGAAGTGGAAGAAAGGAATGCTATAGAGAGGGAAAGAAAGGGGTAGGGAGAAAGTTTGAATCCTATTTATACTACTTAGTAGCTGTGAATCCTAAACCCTCTGAGGTTCAGTTTTCTCATCTGTAAAATGGGAATGGTAGTGTTCAATTCATGGGATTATCTTAAGAAATTAATACAGTGTACTTGCCAGGGGAATTATTGTCATTTATGAAATTATAGAGCTAGGCTAGAACAAAGCAGTGGTTTGATATATTGGAGGGAGGGAGAGAGAGAGAGAGGAGAGAGGAGAGATCAATTGTAACTAGCAGATATAGGTTAAGTAGAAGAAGAATTTGAAAATAGAATGAAGTAGGAGGATTTTAGATGGTGTTCCTTAAACTTCACAGATTTTTCCCCTCCAAGCAATTGGGTAAGACAACCCTCCTCCTGGCATCCACCCGTGGTGATATCAACAAGAAAGAAAAGAGATAACTAATGATTTTGGCTAGAACTACAAAGGAAGACAATGTCATTTTTATACAAGAAGACTCTGTAGACCGGTGGGCAGAGAAAGAGCTGGGGTTGAATGGGGTCGGGAGAGTGCACTACCATGGCCATTTCCAAATATAAGGGCTGGGGGACAGGCTTGTTTATTGAGATGTGGCTGGCAACACCTTCCTTTAAAAAGGCAAGGTTGTCAGAATTCGAGAGAGGCCACCATATTCTGAACAATGCCATTAGAAATGTTGCCTTTCTGGGAACAGAGCTTAGAGGAGTTGGTGTATTTGCGGGAGGGCACTCAGCTAGGGAGAAGACCCCAAGCCACAGTCTATAAAGAGAGGTTGGAGAACTGACTTAACTGGTCAGGGGTAGTGCCTAGACATTTTAAAGTTCCCCAGGTTATTCTAATCTGAAACCGTAGTTGAGAACCACCCATCTGGAAGGGCTTGAGAATCCAGGGCTATCAAATAAAGGCATTTGAAAGAGCATCGTGAAGCATTAGCCTGGCCATTTGGCCCAGAACCTTAGTTGAGAATTTGGTCCCATACAATCATCAGATAAACATGAGTTTGAGTATGATGATGGAACTTGAGTTTGGAAAGTAAAATCTGTAGAAGTCAAGATGCTATTTGGTGGCATCATTTCCTTTTTTAGGTATTGAGGTAGACAATCCTTAGACTGTTCATAAATGTACAGAGGTCATTTAATAAAGGGCAAAAATGCCCTGAGCACATACGTTTGAAATAGTATTTAGTTTCTTGCAACAATCACTACTCATGATGGTTTTGGAGGCATTATGAGGAGTAAAGTCACCTCCACCATGATTATCTCCTCAGAAATGTGTGTTCAGAAGCCTCTATCCCTGAAGCCTCAAGGGACTCAATGCTTCTGCTGATGAAATCTCTTTCTTAACAGAATAAAAGAACATTGGCTGAGTTGCTTTCTGGAGCAGTTTTTTATTCTAAGGGCTTTGAACCACAGTGCAGAACATTCTAAGAGGGTGGGAATTGGTGGGTATATTACAACCACCCATGTTTTTTAAGTGGAAGAATGGAAAGATTAGTGTGGTCAAAACCCTGTTTTTAATGAAAGACTTGATTTTTGTAAAGATTGTAAATATCGTTTTATTAATGTTGTAGACCAAATTGAGCCTCGAGACTAAAGAAGGCTTATTCTGTTTGGGAAAACAGCTTAGCAACAATGGACTTTTTCAGAAGTGGAGAAAAGCTAAGTCTTCATACTTCATTTCATTCTTCCTTCCCCATACCAATTTTGATTTGGGAATCTACCAGATGAGAATTTTTGGTGAAAAATCTAAGCTCATATCTGGTTGGTACGGGATTTCATATTATTATTTTTTCTTATCTTTGCTTTATATAGCAGAGCTACCATGAAATTGTGGGATCTAAGGTTTTTCCAGATCTGTGGCTGATTTGAAGTATACACATTGACTGTTTTACTGTGATGTGTTTTCCAGCCATGTAGGCAAGGGGCAATTTGCTCAAAAATTGTACTTCTGTAATCTCATCTTTCATTCCTTAAGGGCGTTAAACAGTGCTTTTGCCTTAGCTCTGAATGGTGAGGAAAACAATAAGCAACACCTGGAAGCAGCATTGTAGCGAAAAGAGCATGGACTGGGTTGGGGTTTGAATCCTGGACTTTGCCGCTTACTAACTTAAATTCTCTGAGCCTCTGTTCTCTCATCTGTAAATTGGGGACAATAACACCAAATGTGGGCTGTTGCTGTGGGGATTTACCAGGACAGCATAAGATAATTGAATGCATATACGACATCTGGTTTTTATATCTGGCGCGTAGTAGGTGCTCAGTACCTTGTAGTTATTATTAGTATATTTTATGTTTTATATTACTCTGTCTACTGCTGTTTTGCAGTTTACCAAGTACTTTCACGTAAGTGTTGTGTCAAGAAAAACTCTCTCACACTGCATTTTTTCTCTACTCTCACACTACCACAGTCATCAACATGGAAGAGAATTTCTGTGACCAAATGTATGGGATGTTTTCCCCACACATCAAGCAGCGGACACCAGCTGGGTGTCCTACAATTCAGTTCCTACCTGGAGATAGTGTCAGATCCCACAGGTTAGGGGCTCAGTCCCCATGACTGTTCCCCATTCCCCAAGACACCAGTCACAAGCCTGGGCCTCTGAAATTTCTGTCCAACAGGCTTCAAGTTGGGGTTCCCACAACCCCTTCTTTGGGTTCAACTAATTTGCTAGAGCTGCTAGAGCAGCTCACAGAACTCGGGGAAACATGTTTAATGGTCTATTATAAAGCATATTACAAATAATACTGATGAAGAGACACATAGGGTGGGGTTTGGGGGAAGAGGTATGGAGCTTCCATAACCTCCCCGGGGCACCACCATCCAGGAACCTCCACGCGTTCAGCTATCTGGAAGCTCTCTCTCCAAACGCAGCCCTCATAGGTTCTTAGGGGAGCTTCATAAAATCAGCATTCCTCCCCCTGGGTATGAGGTGGGACCCTCTCAGAGGAAGGTCTTAAGACCCACAATCAGAAAGACAGGGGAAGATGAGAGTCCTGCCTTGGGGCAAGTGAAAGGAAGGAAGGAGAGAGGGTGTATCACCTGAGGCCTTCCCCTGGGCCCTAACACACCCAACATTATAGCAAAAGACTGTAACAAGGAATATGGGAGTTATAAACCAGGCAGAGTGGACAAATCCAATCTATATATTGCATGACACCACAGGTATCTCATGAAATCTTTGAGTCACTCCAATGAGGAAATATTTTAAATGTAAGGAAATGAAGTCTCACCACACTGAGCAGGGGCACAGGTCATATGAAGGAAGAAACCCGTGGAACAAAGATGTGCTAATTACTAGTGCTGTGTTCTCATCATGAATTGAGGGTGGCTGTGGCAGGGATTCTGAAAGAGGCTGGTAAGTATTACAGCCCCTGCCCCAGAGAGAAGCACTTTACAGGTCTGAGTGCAGGGGAAAGATGCAATGAAAGGGTCCAAAGCTAGCCCTTACCCTTTGCTCTAAATTACAATAGAAAAGATGAAAACCAACTGATGTGGTTTGGCTCTGTGTCCCCACCCAAATCTCATCTCAAATTGTAATCCCCATGTGTCGAGGGAGGGAATGGGTGGGAGCTGACTGGATCTTGGGGGTGGTTTCCCTCCATGCTATTCTCATGATAGTGAGGGAGTTATTGTGAGATCTGGTGGTTCTAAAAGTCGCAGTTTTGGCCAGGTGTGGTGGCTCACATCTGTAATCCCAGCACTTTGGGAGGCCAGGGTGGGTGGATCACTTGAGGTCAGGAATTTGAGAAAGCCTGACCAACATGATGAAACCCCATCACTACTAAAAATACAAAAATTAGTCAGGCATGGTGGCATGCACCTGTGGTTCCAGCTACTTGGGAGGCTGAGGCATGAAAATCGCTTGAACCTGGGAGTTGCAGTGAGTGGAGATCATGCCGCTGCACTACAGCTTGGGTAACAGAGCAAGACTCTGTCTCAAAAAAAAAAAAAGTGGCAGTTTCCCTTGCATGCTGTCTCTCTCCTGCCACCATGTAAGATATGCCTTGCTTCCCCTTTGCTTTCTGTCATGATTGTAAGTTTCCTGAAGCCTCTCCAGCCATGCAGAACTGTGAGTCAATTAAACCTCTTTTGTTTATAAATTACCCAGTCTCAGGTAGTATACTTATAGCAGTATGAGAATGGACTAATATACCAACCAAATAAAAAATTCTACCAACTAGCCAGATGCAGTAGCTCATGCCTGTAATCCCAGCACTTTGGGAGGCCAAGGCGGATGGATCACCTGAAGTCAGGAGTTCAAGACCACCCTGGCCAACATGGCGAAACCCCATCTCTACTAAAAATACAAAAATGAGCTGGGTGTGATGGTGCATGCCTGTAATTTCAGCTACTCGGGAGGCTGAGGTAGGAGAATTGCTTCTTGAACCCGGGAAGCGGAGGTTGCAGTGAGCCAAGATCGCACCACTGTACTCATAGCCTGGGAGACAGAGTGAGACTCCATCTCAAAAATCAAAAAACAGAAAACAAAAAAACTCTACCAACTGTATCATTTCTTTAAATATACTCACTGTCCCTAAAACAGGAGCAAGATCATTCGTTGTTTCACAATTGGTATGAAATTTATCATCTACATTGGAGAAATAGGACCAAGATTAAAGAGAGGATACGGTTGGGGTCACGTTCATTGTTTTTTAAATTGGCCTCTTGAGTCCTGCTTAAACTTCATTGAGTAAATTTTTGTCTCTTAACGTTTTTGTTTATAGTATCCTATAAAAAGGGTTGTACCTTGGAGAGAATTTTATTCCAATTTAGTTATAGCAGACATACATAAAAAACTTTATTTAAACAATGTACCTAAGTGATTATGATATTTATACATAACAATGTTTCATGTTATATTTTCTGGACATGTGCGGTTTAGAGGCTTTTTCCCCATTCTTTTTATTAATGTGTTTTATTTTTATTATTTTATTTTTTTGTAGAGAGGGTGTCACTATGTTGCCCAGGCTGGTCTTGAACTCCTGGCTTCAAACAGTCCTGCCTCAGCTTCCCAAAGTGCTGGGATTACAGGCATGACCCATCACGACCTGCCTCCCTGTTCTTTTTTGGAAATAAATGTACAATGGCATTTTAGCTTGTTGATATCCGCAAGCTTGTTAATATCCTGCTGAGTTTCGACTGGGTTTGCATTGAATCTGTAGATCAATTTGGTGAGAAATGACCTCTTAACAATACTGAGTCTTCCAGCTTAGGAACATGTATGTCTCTTTGTTTGATTCGATCTTCTTTGATTTCTTTCATCACCATTTTATAGTTTTTGTCATGTAGGTCCCATGTGTATTTTGGTGGATTTATATCTGAATGTTTCTTTTTTGGGTGCTACTGTAAATTGTACTATTTATGAAAATTCAGATTCTAATTGTTCATTATAAATACACAGAAGTGAAACCGATTTTTATATGTTGAAAAATATATATATATATAACTTTTTTAAAAAGATAAGAAAATAGATATCTCAGATGGGGAAATAATTTCGTTACTCAAAAAAGGCTACTGCATGAACGATGTGTTAGGCTGACCCAGGCCAGGTGCTTAGCAGTGCCCAATATGTGCTACATGTGAGTTCTCATCTGTCTTGCCTTGTCATATTCTGTATTGCTCTAAAAGCCAGGCTCCATCCAATTAATGGTAGTTACAGGACTTAGAACCATGTGATAGTTAAGCTGTCAAGCCCTGGCCTCAGGCAGCCCCGGGTTTGGATCTTGGCCCTACCATATACTAGCTGTGCGATCTTCAGCATGTCTTTCACACCCTCTGGTCTTCTTTTTCCTACACTGCAAAATGGAGATAATACATGATAACATTGTAACTTGACCAGAGCCCAGTGCCTGGCACCCAGCAAGCACTCAGTAAGCATTAGCTATTCTCCTTCTTGTCTTTGTTGTTGTTAAGTTATAAGGAGGAAGAGGCTAGGGAAGTCTAAGGAAGAACTCTCTAACAATGCTTATCTAACACTGGGTCAGGTTGAAAGGGAAGTGGTGAGCCTCCTATCACAGAAGAATGGACAACCCCCTATCTAGAAAGGCGCAGGGGGAGTCAGGCTTCCCTGAGAGTTGCTCTATGTGTTGAGATTATAACACCCTTCATAGCCCACATGGCGTTATAAGCAGAACTAGTTTCCAGGTCTCCCCAGTCCTCTCAGATACTTGACCCACAGACACAAAGTGTTTGAAGCAGTAGGCAGAAATAGTATCCCTGAAAAAACAAACACCGACCAGACTTATCTTTCCATCAGCGGCAGTTTATGATTGCACATTAAATTCAATTGCTTTTCTTTAGGAGGCTGGTGCAGGGACCCGTCATCTCTAACCCAGTGCCATCCATTCTAGCTTTCCCCAGGAGCGCAGACAGACCAGCCGCCTTCCTAGTGTACACTAATTAATTAATCTCATGCTTGTGATTTTATGGCGCTTAAGTGCTGGAGCATTTCTGTTTATTCTTCTCCCTGCAAAGCACCTCACGTTGCATAAAGACCATGAATCTCCATTGCAAACGCCGTCTGTCTTGGGCTGGAGAACAGCCCACCGGCTGTCTGTTGTCTTGCTGGCACTGCCTCTTACAGCCAAAGTAACACATCCATTAATTTATCCTTAATGACATTTTGACATCCCGATCAGTTCATCAGATGTTTCTTTTGCAAGACTTGTCCCACACAGCCGGGCCAGGGTGCTAGGCCACTCTTGATGCATAATGCATGAGACAGTGCACCGCTCAGTACCCTGTGACAGACAGATGCCATCTGCTACTCTAAGACTGTATGTTCCTAATAGCCCTGGCTCCCAGAGTGATTCACACCAATGCCTTCAGAGTTGTTTTCTTCTATGCTTCCAGCTTTCTGTGCTTGGGAGAAGCTGGTCAGTGCAAGGAGAGGGGCCTGGGGTCACAAACATACATGCAACAGTGCTAATAGGAGGGAAAGTAAGGGTAAATCAACCCCTTGCTATAGTCAGAGTTTAGAGAAGTCTTCATTCTAATTCAGGTGGAAGAAGGGCCTAGGGCAAACCTAACATCTTGAATCTTATCATTACTCTGCTACTACTTAGAAATTAGGATCATGAAGACACTCTGATAACAATAATGGATATCAAAGAAGAAAGGAAAATTATCCTTAATATCCTCAATCCAACACATGAGCCATCCGCACATAGATATACTTCTTCATCGTTGTAATCACAATGTAGACACATTTTTATTTTCTAGTTTTTTTAACTTAATGTAATCCAGTTAGCATTTTTCCATGTCGTTACATGGTTTTCATTTTTAATGGCCCTCCATCATTTTAATGGCTGCATAATATTCCATCCAGGGGATGCACTATAATTTACTGAACCAGTTCCCTATTGTTAGACATTTACGAGGCTTTAACCGATCATTTGCTATTAAAGAAAGGCAGCCAAGTTGGGTGAGGAGGAGAGCATGCTCTCAGCAGGCTGAAGAGCTAGGCTCAAATCCCACCTGTTCCCTTTACCTGTTTTACGAGTTTAGGATTAACCTTTCTGGGCCCTGAATTCCTCACCTATAAAACAAAAGAAATAATCACTACCTTGTTAGTGTTGTGAAAATCGGAGCTATGTTTAAAATACTAAGCACATGGTAGTATCTGCTAAATGTTAAACTGTTACATTTACCTAACTATGCCAGTAGTAGGGGCAATTCTGCCTACCCAAAAAGAAAACCATTTTGCAATGTCTAGAGACATTTTTATTGACATGCCTGGGAGTAGGGGGAACTACTGGCATCTAGAGGGTGGAAACCAAGGAGGATGCTACTAAGCATCCCGCAGTGCACTAGGTAACTCCCCAACACATACGTAGCAAATAATTATCTGGCCCAAAATACCAACAGTGCTGAGGTTGAGAAATCCTGGCATAGAGGAAGCTGTGTTTCCAGTGGTACCTACATGATACATGTATATTTTCCTTCTTATTATTTCCTTAGGATAAAATTCTAGAAAAATGGGAATTGTGGATTAAAGGATAGATGGTCTTATGCCCATCTACAGTTTTGGGGTGGAGTGGGGGATGGACGTAATGTTCTGTGTGTGTGTGTGTGTGTGTGTGTGTGTGTGTGTGTGTGTGTGTGTGTATGTTTGAGAGTCTCACTCTATCCCCCAGGCTGGAGTGCATTGGTGTGATCTCGGCTCACTCCAACCTCCCCGCCTCTCAGGTTCAAGTGATTCTCCTGCCTCAGCCTCCCCAGTAGCTGGGACTTCAGGCGTGTGTCACCACACCGGGCTAATTTTTGTATTTTAGTAGAGACGGGATTTCGCCATGTTGGCCAGGCTGGTCTCGAACTCCTGTCCTCAGGTGATCCACCTGCCTCAGCCTCCTAAAATGCTGGGATTACAGGCATGAGCCACTGCGCCTGGCCTGGATGTAATGTTTGAGGTGACTGATGAAGAAAAGTTGGAAGATAAATGGTATGTGATCCCCTCTGGGGCAGAAGATGGCATTCCATAGACCAGTAGTTCTCAAAATATAGAACCTAGCGTCTCCTAGGAACTCGGAAATGAAAAGTTTTTGCACTCACCCCTGATTTACCAAATCAGAAACTGGTGATGGAGACCAACAATGCCTGCTTAACAAGGTGATTCTGATGCACACTCAAGTCTGAGAATCATTGCCATGCACTACCTGCAGAAGAAAGCCAACTTGTAGAATAGTAAGTAGGACCCTGCTTAAATACAGAAATTTGGTGCAGAAATTGATGAAAAGGGTCAAGTCGTAGACACGGGGAAGCTCAAATATGGGACGATGCAACAATAAAGGAATGGAAAGTGTCACTCAATTTATTCATTCATTCCATAAACATGTTTAAAGCTTTTACAACATTGTGGGAAGTGCTAAACTATGTGCTAAAGGAAATACAAATACAATACGCAAATATGTATATTTTGTACCTTGATTATAATGAAAAGTGATGAGAGAAGATAGGCAAATGACTGGGATACAAAACAGAAGCAAGGCCTACCCTATCACGAAGAGATCAGAAAAGGCTTCCTGAAAGAAGTGATGATTTGAATGGGATTTGAAGGACTTGTGATCATCTCTTAATATGTTAATTCAACAGGTCTTTACAGGATACCCGCTTGTTCCAAAATCTATGTAAGGCCCTGGGGAATTGGTAGTGAACAAGGCCAAAAAGGTTGTTGTCCTTGTGGTTATAGTCTAGCAGGGCAATAGCCCTGTAAGTTAGCCATTCAGCAAGAAGGAGATGATGTTTCTAGTTGGCAACTGAAGGTCTAAGATGGGGTCAGGGTGAGAGGAGGCAGTTGTGAGCTGGTGAGAGGGAGATCACCCTGGAGTCCTGGTTTGAGATCTGAGAAGAGATGTGGGCATGTGAGTGTGGAACGGAGAAGGAGGTTCACTCAGCTGTAGGGAAATAGCCATAAAGCCTCAGCAACCAGGAGACGCTGCTTGGAAGCGGTTGCTTGGGATAAAGCTTGAAGAATTCATGGTCATCATCTATCCACATACAGGCTTTGTTGGGATATAGCAGACAGACCGAGGAGGAGCATCTAAAGGGTGAGGCCTTCAGGAGACAGAGTTCAGCTCAGCCTCAGCTCAGCAAGGAATGGCCCTATATAGGGAGCTGCAGTCTGTTAAAGAGCTGCCCACAGAGGTGATGAGTTTGGGTTGCTGGAATTCAGCAGTCGGGGGCTGGATACCCACTGGCTGGGGATGCTGCAAGGAGTCTCCTAGCTAGGGTGGGAAAATGACTGGGAGGGCCTTTCCAGCCAGAGAATCCAAGATTCTACAACTTTTAATGATGTGAAACTGAAGGTCAACGCATGAATAGGGGAAGAGCATCTGCCCCACTGGCTGGTTTGGTTTCGGGTCGTATGAGCAGGATATGGATAGAGCAAGATGAAACTACAGGGAGGAAAGATTAGTCACCTTGGTTCCCTAGAGTGCTCATCTTGGGAAGCAGATCAAACATAAAATTAAAAATGAAAGCAAGGAAAAAGTCATGCGGATTGCTGGGGCAAGGAAGGAGGATAAAAAAGAACTAGCATTTGTTGCATATCTTTATATGCCAAAGACCATGCTAGGGAACTGTCATCATTTATCATTTCTCATCATCACAGTAACTCTGCAAATTAGGGTATATTAAATTCTATTCTATAGACGAGGAAATTGAGTCTCACAGAGTCACAGAAATGGAGACCTGATCATGATTACACCACTGTTAGGAGCCAAGTCAGTCCAGGGCCAGAGCCCATGGTATTTCTGCAACACCAAGAACAGAGGGGCCATCTCCCCAACCCAGGGGTTCAGAGCTCAGACAGCATTCATTCAGGGAAGCTCCCATTGTCTGAACCATGAATTCTGGTCACACTCTGCTTTGAAGCACTTTTTTCTTTCTTATCACCTATTATGTAACAAATGCTTATGTAGAGCTTATTTGGTAGGTGACAGATCCCAGTTAAGTACTTTCATAATTATAAGTTAGTATCTACCTCAAAGCATTGCTAAGAGAATTCATTATAATTATCCCTATTTGACAGAAGAGAAAACTGAGTTATAGGGAGGTTTAGCAATTGCCCAAGACTATACATCTAATAAATCATGGAGCCAGGATTTCAGTCTAGGCAGTGTGGCTCCAAAGTCAGTGCTATTCCTAGGCTCTGCTTTAGGGCCCAGGGGCCAGTATGGCCATGTACCCAGAGGGAGGAGGGCCTCACCTGTGTTTCGGGCTTTCTGCTGCTCTGATTTCACTGCTGGGTGCAGAGAATGGTCCAACAGGGTCTGACTATTGCCTAAGTGGAAAGAGTGTGATTGGTAGGAGAGCCCATCCAGGCCAGAGAGGTAGTCACAGGCAGAATAAAGAAGCAGAGATAGACAGATAGAGGCACAGATATGGACAGCAAGATAGCAAAGCAATGGAAGTAGAAGACCAAGTCCTTTGGCCTTTCAAATTGTCATGACGTCTGTTGCTGCTGCTGTTGCTGCTGCTGTTGCTTCTGTAACTTTGCCATGCTGGGGGATTCACAAGCCCTAGATGAGGGTGATGGGGCAGGAGGGAAAGGACCCACCAGCTATGCCCCAGAATTGGTACCCAACAGAGGCAGTGAGCAGACAGGATGCTCATTGCCTGCAGGACATGAGTGGTTGTGAGTGAGTTTTCTGGCCGCAGCTGTCTATGCATGTATGTGCATATGTGTGAGTGTGTGTTTGCCTGGGGAGAAAGGGAGACAGCTGAGAAAGCTTTAGGACAAGGGGAGATATGTGATGGCTTTTTGCCTAAGCGTGACATAACAGGGAATCTTAGAGAACATTTAGAAGCCTGACTGGAGGGTTTGAATCCTAGCTCTGCCTCTGAAAGCCTGGGTGGCTTTCCATGGGTTACTTCAACTCTCTCTGCCTCAATTCTTTTATCTGTAAAATGGAACTAATAATACTCCTGGCCTCACGGTGTTGTAGCAGAATTAAGGAACTTAATACCCTGTTTATAAAGGCCTTGAATAGTGGCTGGTATTCAATAAGTACTCTATAATGTTTATTAAACAAATAACATCAATTTAGGAATTATGGTCATTTTATTAGTTTCCTCAGGCTACTGTACCAATGTCTCACAAACTAGATGACTTAACCAAAATTTGTCCTCTCATAATTTTAGAAGCTATAAATCCAAAATCAAGGTGTTGGAGGGGTCAGGCTCCCTCTGAGACTCTAAATAGAATGGTGCCATGCCTCTTCCTGGCAGCTGGTGGTGCCCACCAGTCCTCCGTGCTCCTTGGCTTATGGCTCATCACTCCCATCGCCACCTTTGTTGTCATGTGGCATTCTTCCAGTGCACTTCTGTCCAAATTTCCCTCTCCTTGTAAGGACATCAGTCATCTGGGAATCAGAGCCACCCTAGTGACCTCATTTTAACTTCGTTACGTCTGCAAAGACCCTATTTCCAAATAAGGTAACATTGACAGGTACTATGGATTAGGACTTCAACATATCTTTTGCGGCCAGAGAGTGGGTGAGTGGAACACAGTTCAATCCATAACAATCATTTTAAAAGCATCAGTTGTTGCCATGATTCTTAGATGCCAACTCCCCCACTATAGTGAAATCAATACACAGAGAGGGGAAAGGGAGTGTTCACGGCAACTCAATGAGATATCTGGAGATCTGGACCCGGCACCCGGGTCTCTTACCTTCTAGTGTTCCATTTTCAAGAATGAAACTTTACTAATTCAGACCTGCTGAAGAGTGGGCCCACCTACTTCGGTGGTTCTCAAACTTTGGCATGCAGTAGAATTGCTTGGAGGGCTTATTGATCACCTAGAGTTTCTGATTCAGTAGGTCAGGGCAGGGCCGGTGAACTTGCGTTGCTAATACATCCCCAGGTGAAGCGGATGCTGCTGGTCCAGGGAAACCACACTTGGAGAACAGCTGTTCCGCATCGGTGGTGCTCAAGCTTAGTGGCACACTATAATCACCTGGAAAGCTTCTGAATGCCCAGATGCCCAGGCTGCACCCCAGACCAATTAAATTAGAATCTCACTGGTAATTTTTAAAGCTCCCCAAATGATGTGCTCAGCCAAAGCTGAAAAGCATGGCTCTAGACTGCATCAATGGAGGTTTTTAAAGAAAAGTCATTATCCAGGGCATCCACTTCAAAGTATTCATATTTAATAAATAATGAGGTTATTTAAACTAACATGGATTTTTTTGTATTTAAAATATGATCATACCAGAGAGCATTTATTGAGTGCTTACTGTGTGCATACCCTGGGCAAAGTGGTTTACCAGCAACATACCATTCAATCCTCCCAACAGTCTGACGGGGGAAGTACTACTCTAATCCGTGTTTTACAGGCAGGAGGAAACTGGCATGCAGAGGGCTCAGTAACTTGCAAGAGCTTGCACAGCTAGTCTGACATGGAGCCAGATTTTGATGCCAGGCTGTCTGGCACCAAAGCCAGTATATTAACTGCTATGCAGTCCTGCCTCCTGATACGAGGGAAAACAGTGCATTCTCCTTTAAATGCTGCACACATCCATATCCCTATTTACACTATTGATTCTTTTTTTTTTTTTTTTTTTTTGAGAAAAAAGACTAATTGGGTCATCTTTATTTTCCTAGCACTAGCATGGTACTTATACTTTGTGACTTCCCAACACATTGAACTCTTTTTTTTTTTTTGTCTTTTTTTTTTTTTTATACTTTAAGTTTTAGGGTACATGTGCACATTGTGCAGGTTAGTTACATGTTACATATGTATACATGTGCCATGCTGGTGCACTGCACCCACTAACTCGTCATCTAGCATTAGGTATATCTCCCAATGCTATCCCTCCCCCCTCCCCCCACCCCACAACAGTTCCCAGAGTGTGATATTCCCCTTCCTGTGTCCATGTGATCTCATTGTTCAATTCCCATCTATGAGTGAGAATATGCGGTGTTTGGTTTTTTTTTCTTGTGATAGTTTACTGAGAATGATGTTTTCCAGTTTCATCCATGTCCCTACAAAGGACATGAACTCATCATTTTTTATGGCTGCATAGTATTCCATGGTGTATATGGGCCACATTTTCTTAATCCAGTCTATCATTGTTGGACATTTGGGTTGGTTCCAAGTCTTTGCTATTGTGAATAACGCCGCAATAAACATATGTGTGCATGTGTCTTTATAGCAGCATGATTTATAGTCCTTTGGGTATATACCCAGTAATGGGATGGCTGGGTCAAATGGTATTTCCAGTTCTAGATCCCTGAGGAATCGCCACACTGACTTCCACAATGGTTGAACTAGTTTACAGTCCCACCAACAGTGTAAAAGTGTTCCTATTTCTCCACATCCTCTCCAGCACCTGTTGTTTCCTGACTTTTTAATGATGGCCATTCTAACTGGTGTGAGATGGTATCTCATTGTGGTTTTGATTTGCATTTCTCTGATGGCCAGTGATGGTGAGCATTTTTTCATGTGTTTTTTGGCTGCATAAATGTCTTCTTTTGAGAAGTGTCTGTTCATGTCCTTCGCCCACTTTTTGACGGGGTTGTTTGTTTTTTTCTTGTAAATTTGTTTGAGTTCATTGTAGATTCTGGATATTAGCCCTTTGTCAGATGAGTAGGTTGCGAAAATTTTCTCCCATTTTGTAGGTTGCCCGTTCACTCTGATGGTAGTTTCTTTTGCTGTGCAGAAGCTCTTTAGTTTAATTAGATCCCATTTGTCAATTTTGTCTTTTGTTGCCATTGCTTTTGGTGTTTTAGACATGAAGTCCTTGCCCATGCCTATGTCCTGAATGGTAATGCCTAGGTTTCCTTCTAGGGTTTTTATGGTTTTAGGTCTAACGTTTAAGTCTTTAATCCATCTTGAACTGATTTTTGTATAAGGTGTAAGGAAGGGATCCAGTTTCAGCTTTCTACATATGGCTAGCCAGTTTACCCAGCACCATTTATTAGAGAGGGAATCCTTTCCCCATTGCTTGTTTTTCTCAGGTTTGTCAAAGATCAGACAGTTGTAGATATGCGGCGTTATTTCTGAGGGCTCTGTTCTGTTCCATTGATCTATATCTCTGTTTTGGTACCAGTACCATGCTGTTTTGGTTACTGTAGCCTTGTAGTATAGTTTGAAGTCAGGTAGTGTGATGCCTCCAGCTTTGTTCTTTTGGGTTAGGATTGACTTGGCGATGTGGGCTCTTCTTTGGTTCCATATGAATTTTAAAGTAGTTTTTTCCAATTCTATGAAGAAAGTCATTGGTAACTTGATGGGGATGGCATTGAATCTGTAAATTACCTTGGGCAGTATGGCCATTTTCACGATATTGATTCTTCCTACCCATGAGCATGGAATGTTCTTCCATTTGTTTGTATCCTCTTTTATTTCCTTGAGCAGTGGTTTGTAGTTCTCCTTGAAGAGGTCCTTCACATCCCTTGTAAGTTGGATTCCTAGGTATTTTATTCTCTTTGAGGCAATTGTGAATGGGAGTTCACTCATGATTTGGCTCTCTGTTTGTCTGTTGGTGTATAAGAATGCTTATGATTTTTGTACATTGATTTTGTATCCTGAGACTTTGCTGAAGTTGCTTATCAGCTTAAGGAGATTTTGGGCTGAGACGATGGGGTTTTCTAGATATACAATCATGTCATCTGCAAACAGGGACAATTTGACTTCCTCTTTTCCTAATTGAATACCCTTTATTTCCTTCTCCTGCCTCATTGCCCTGGCCAGAACTTCCAACACTGTGTTGAATAGGAGTGGTGAGAGAGGGCATCCCTGTCTTGTGCCAGTTTTCAAAGAGAATGCTTCCAGTTTTTGCCCATTCAGTATGATATTGGCTGTGGGTTTGTCATAGATAGCTCTTATTATTTTGAAATACGTCCCATTAATACCCAATTTATTGAGAGTTTTTAGCATGAAGGGTTGTTGAATTTTGTCAAAGGCTTTTTCTGCATCTATTGAAATAATCATGTGGTTTTTGTCTTTGGCTCTGTTTATATGCTGGATTACATTTATTGATTTGCGTATATTGAACCAGCCTTGCATCCCAGGGAGGAAGCCCACTTGATCATGGTGGATAAGCTTTTTGATGTGCTGCTGGATTCGTTTTGCCAGTATTTTATTGAGGATTTTTGCATCAATGTTCATCAAGGATATTGGTCTAAAATTCTCTTTTTTTGTTGTGTCTCTGCCAGGCTTTGGTATCAGAATGATGCTGGCCTCATAAAATGAGTTATGGAGGATTCCCTCTTTTTCTATTGATTGGAATAGTTTCAGAAGGAATGGTACCAGTTCCTCCTTGTACCTCTGGTAGAATTCAGCTGTGAATCTATCTGGTCCTGGACTCTTTTTGGTTGGTAAGCTATTGATTATTGCCACAATTTCAGATCCTGTTATTGGTCTATTCAGAGATTCAACTTCTTCCTGGTTTAGTCTTGGGAGAGTGTATGTGTCAAGGAATTTATCCATTTCTTCTAGATTTTCTAGTTCATTTGCGTAGAGGTGTTTGTAGTATTCTCTGATGGTAGTTTGCATTTCTGTGGGATTGGTGGTGATATCCCCTTTATCATTTTTTATTGTGTCTATTAGATTCTTCTCTCTTTTTTTCTTTATTAGTCTTGCTAGCAGTCTATCAATTTTGTAGATCCTTTCAAAAAACCAGCTCCTGGATTCATTAATTTTTTGAAGGGTTTTTTGTGTCTCTATTTCCTTCAGTTCTGCTCTGATCTTAGTTATTTCTTGCCTTCTGCTAGCTTTTGAATGTGTTTGCTCTTGCTTTTCTAGTTCTTTTAATTGTGATGTTAGGGTATTAATTTTGGATCTTTCCTGCTTTCTCTTGTGGGCATTAAGTGCTATAAATTTACTTCTACACACTGCTTTAAATGTGTCCCAGAGATTCTGGTATGTTGTGTCTTTGTTCTCATTGGTTTCAAAGAACATCTTTCTTTGTGCCTTCATTTCGTTATGTACCCAGTAGTCATTCAGGAGCAGGTTGTTCAGTTTCCATGTCGTTGAGCGGTTTTGAGTGAGATTCTTAATCCTGAGTTCTAGTTTGATTGCACTGTGGTCTGAGAGATAGTTTGTTATAATTTCTGTGTTCTTTTACATTTGCTAAGGAGACCTTTACTTCCAAGTATGTGGTCAATTTTGGAATAGGTGTGGTGTGGTGCTGAAAAAAATGTATATTCTGTTGATTTGGGGTGGAGAGTTCTGTAGATGTCTATTAGGTCCACTCGGTGCAGAGCTGAGTTCAATTCCTGGGTATCCTTGTTGAATTTCTGTCTCATTGATCTGTCTAATGTTGACAGTGGGGTGTTAAAGTCTCCCATTATTAATGTGTGGGAGTCTAAGTCTCTTTGTAGGTCACTCAGGACTTGCTTTATGAATCTTGGTGCTCCTGTATTGGGTGCATATATATTTAGGATAGTTAGCTCTTCTTGTTGAATTGATCCCTTTACCATTATGTAATGGCCTTCTTTGTCTCTTTTGATCTTTGTTGGTTTAAAGTCGGTTTTATCAGAGACTAGGATTGCAACCCCTGCCTTTTTTTTGTTTTCCATTTGCTTGGTAGATCTTCCTCCATCCTTTTATTTTGAGCCTATGTGTGTCTCTGCACGTGAGATGGGTTTCCTGAATACAGCACACTGATGAGTCTTGACTCTTTATCCAACTTGCCAGTCTGTGTCTTTTAATTGGAGCATTTAGTCCATTTACATTTAAAGTTAATATTGTTATGTGTGAATTTGATTCTGTCATTATGACGTTAGCTGGTGATTTTGCTCGTTAGTTGATGCAGTTTCTTCCTAGTCTCGATGGTCTTTACATTTTGGCATGATTTTGCAGCAGCTGGTACCGGTTGCTCCTTTCCATGTTTAGCGCTTCCTTCAGGAGCTCTTTTAGGGCAGGCCTGGTGGTGACAAAATCTCTCAGCATTTGCTTGTCTGTAAAGTATTTTATTTCTCCTTCACTTATGAAGCTGAGTTTGGCTGGATATGAAATTCTGGGTTGAAAATTCTTTTCTTTAAGAATGTTGAATATTGGCCCCCACTCTCTTCTGGCTTGTAGGGTTTCTGCCGAGAGATCCGCTGTTAGTCTGATGGGCTTCCCTTTGAGGGTAACCCGACCTTTCTCTCTGGCTGCCCTTAACATTTTTTCCTTCATTTCAACTTTGGTGAATCTGACAATTATGTGTCTTGGAGTTGCTCTTCTCGAGGAGTATCTTTGTGGCGTTCTCTGTATTTCCTGAATCTGAACGTTGGCCTGCCTTGCTAGATTGGGGAAGTTCTCCTGGATAATACCCTGCAGAGTGTTTTCCAACTTGGTTCCATTCTCCCCATCACTTTCAGGTACACCAATCAGACGTAGATTTGGTCTTTTCACATAGTCCCATATTTCTTGGAGGCTTTGCTCATTTCTTTTTATTCTTTTTTCTCTAAACTTCCCTTCTCGCTTCATTTCATTCATTTCATCTTCCATTGCTGATACCCTTTCTTCCAGTTGATCGCATCGGCTCCTGAGGCTTCTGCATTCTTCACGTAGTTCTCGAGCCTTGGTTTTCAGCTCCATCAGCTCCTTTAAGCACTTCTCTGTATTGGTTATTCTAGTTATACATTCTTCTAAATTTTTTTCAAAGTTTTCAACTTCTTTGCCTTTGGTTTGAATGTCCTCCTGTAGCTCAGAGTAATTTGATCGTCTGAAGCCTTCTTCTCTCAGCTCGTCAAAGTCATTCTCCATCCAGCTTTGTTCCGTTGCTGGTGACGAACTGTGTTCCTTTGGAGGAGGAGAGGCGCTCTGCGTTTTAGAATTTCCAGTTTTTCTGTTCTGTTTTTTCCCCATCTTTGTGGTTTTATCTACTTTTGGTCTTTGATGATGGTGATGTACAGATGGGTTTTCGGTGTGGATGTCCTTTCTGTTTGTTAGTTTTCCTTCTAACAGATAGGACCCTCAGCTGCAGGTCTGTTGGAATACCCTGCCTTGTGAGGTGTCAGTGTGCCCCTGCTGGGGGGTGCCTCCCAGTTAGGCTGCTCGGGGGTCAGGGGTCAGGGACCCACTTGAGGAGGCAGTCTGCAGGTTCTCAGATCTCCAGCTGCGTGCTGGCAGAACCACTGCTCTCTTCAAAGCTGTCAGACAGGGACATTTAAGTCTGCAGAGGTTACTGCTGTCTTTTTGTTTGTCTGTGCCCTGCCCCCAGAGGTGGAGCCTACAGAGGCAGGCAGGCCTCCTTGTGCTGTGGTGGGCTCCGCCCAGTTCACCCAGTTCGAGCTTCCGGGCTGCTTTGTTTATCTAAGCAAGCCTGGGCAATGGCGGGTGCCCCTCCCCCAGCCTCGCTGCCACCTTGCAGTTTGATCTCAGACTGCTGTGCTAGCAATCAGCGAGACTCCGTGGGCGTAGGACCCTCCAAGCCAGGTGTGGGATATAATCTCGTGGTTCGCCGTTTTTTAAGCCCGTCGGAAATGCGCAGTATTCGGGTGGGAGTGACCCGATTTTCCAGGTGCCGTCCGTCACCCCTTTCTTTGACTCGGAAAGGGAACTCCCTGACCCCTTGCGCTTCCCAAGTGAGGCAATGCCTCGCCCTGCTTCGGCTCGCGCATGGTGCGCGCACCCACTGACCTGCGCCCACTGTCTGGCACTCCCTAGTGAGATGAACCCGGTACCTCAGATGGAAATGCAGAAATCACCGTCTTCTGCGTCGCTCACGCTGGGAGCTGTAGACCAGAGCTGTTCCTATTCGGCCATCTTGGCTCCTCCCCCTGCTACACTATTGATTCTTATGTGATGTAGCTCAGCCTTTGCCTCAATTACAGTAATTCTGAGTCAGTGGGGGCATAGATGAATAAAGTTTTGCTGCATTTGTAAGACACTGGAATCATGTGTACCACAGACTGAATTTGCCCTTCTAATCTGGAAGGGCAAATCCCTAGAAGAAGCATGGAGGAATGTGGAGCAGGTGTCCACATTCCTGAACTGGCAGGCAGAAAGCAGGGCTTGCATCCTACATGCTGTGCATCTTAGCTAAGGGACTACTCTGTCCAGGCCTCAGTGTCTTGTCTATGAAATGAGAAGATGCTATAGTTCCCTTACAGTTGCGATGTGTAACTTTAAGCTGAGATCTAGTCATGCCAGCAGAGCATCCTGGATTCAAAGAGGACAGTGCCAGCTTTTAGTAGAAGCAGGGCCTCACTTGTGAATTTTTTTTTTGGTCCACTTCCTATGGCTGAGATCTCTGACTCCAGGATTTCAATCTTCATGGTTTCCAGGAAAGTTTATCTGGAGATTGCAATGGAGGATGGCCCAGAGGAGGAGCCCTATGGGGAAGAGGAAGAGTGCCTGATCAGTGTCTCCCCAGGAGAGTGGGCATGGCTCCCACATTCAGGGAAAAACTCTAGGTGGAACCCTGTAGACTCCTGCCCCCACCAGTTGGCTGGATGGTCCTGTTCCTAGCCCAGAAGAGAGTCAAGGGTTTTGCAGAGTCCAAATCCTGGGATCCTCCACCACCTCTTTTCTAAGTGGTTTCCCAGTCTCTACTTGAACTTCTCCAATAGCAGGGAGCTGAGTACTTGCAAAAGCCAAACAGGGCAGGATTCCTGTCTTGTTTTTCATATCATCATCTCCTTCCTTCTAACAGCCACAGATTCAACGTACTTGCTCATTAACTATTTGTCCAACAAATTAATGAGCAAAGAGGAGGGAACTTCTAACTTTGGGAAGGAGGCAAAGACTTCTAAGAGTAGGGGACATTTGAGTTGGGCCTTAAAAGGTGAAGAGAAGGTTGCTAAACCAGAAAAATTGGGGAGGGGAATTCAGGCGTTAGGTGCTTCCAAAAGAGACCTAAGCAGTTCTACTTTGCTAGAAATTCCTTCGTTGTGCCATGTTGGTGTGCTGCACCCATTAACTCGTCATTTAACATTAGGTATATCTCCTAATGCTATCCCTCCCCCCTCCCCCCACCCCACCACAGACCAACATGGCACATGTATACATATGTAACAAACCTGCACGTTGTGCACATGTACCCTAAAACTAAAAGTATAATAAAAAAAAAAAAAGAAATTCCTTCGTTGTATCAAGCCAACCTGGTCCTCATTCTGCCCCTGGGACCATAGAGACCCAACCATCAGATGCATGAAGAGAACGTTACTTTGTATTCCCTCTCCGTGAGAAATGTCCCTGGATGTTTCACGCACTCCTCCTCTCGTAGCATGATTTCCACACTTTTAACAGCCCTTCATTCCTCTCCCGTGAGCCATTCTACCTGCCAGTATCCCTTGTAAAGAGTGGCACTCAGAACAAATCACAGGACTCATGGTCCATCCTGGGCCCATCCCCTGCCACCTACCCCTCCCTCAGCTAACAAGCGAAGGTCAGAGAGAGCTCAAAGTGATCCGTTAGAAGGAAAATGCCAAGAGCTATGGCCGCGTCACCTCGTCCTCACCTGTCAGAAGCAGTAAACTTTGGATTGCTGTGTCTTAAAACAGTCTTCAGCTTTGGAAATGTTCCTGCAAAGGAATAAACAGACTTATGCATACTCTCTTTTTATCAGCTTTTGGTACCCCCTGCTGGCGAAATTGTGTGACCCAGTTGGCAAAAATCTCAAAGCAACTACAGAAAAAAATCCTCAGTTCAGAAAGTCATAAGTACTTGAGTTTTGAAGGCTCTGAGAATTCCATGAATTATATGATCATCCCATGAGTCATATGACTATTGCATGAGATTTTTTTTTTCTTCTTCAACATGCTATAGCTGCAGCTATTTTGTGGGCTCTGCGGGGGAAATCTCTGACTCCCATGAATATTTTGTTAATTCTGCAAACATTCCAAGAAGGAAATGCTAAGTTACCGCCCAAAATATTTCTAGTTACGAATATTCCAGGTCACCAGCTAATTTTATGCAGGCGTTTCCTTCTCTTTCTTTGCACGTATCTACTTTTAAAGTGGTTGTAATTTGTGTTCAGAGTAAGAGGACTATCTTTTCTAGACTCCAAATTGCAGACTTTTAAGTATAAATTCGTGCAACAAGTTTATTGAGCCATGTGCCAGACACTCAGCAAGAAATTGGAGTAGGTGCAAAGAGTCAAAAGCCCTTTCCCAAGAAGTTCTTGTCGTAGTAGGTGAAAGAGTTGAATCACTGCAATTTGACTCAACAAGTACGTAGCTAACATGGCACCAAAACCCTCCCTGATCTGCTGCCAGGGTTCAAACCAGGTTCTAGCTCTTACATAGCAACAGGTATTTCTTCTTGGTGTTCATCGTCTTTGTGATTTTTGTCTCTGTATTTATCTGTTTAATGCCCGTCTTTGCCATTAGTCTTCATGTTCCATGTGGATTAAGGTCAAGAAGACATGATCTTCTAGTATTTAGCAGAGACTTATACATGTACATGTTCAATGGATGAGTCAAGCAAGAGGAGAAAATTATAATTCTATGTAGAAGAGCAGGGAGAAGCCTCAGAGGAGATGTGACACTTACATTGAGCCTTGGAGGACAAAGAGGAGGTGACCAGTGGAGAAGAAGAGGGACACATCAAGGAATATGGAGTATTGAGAAATAGTGTGGTGGGAGGAGGTAGTTGATGTTTTCTGAAAGGGGAGGATAAGGTTATGTGCAGAGAATAAGACTGAGTTGAAGCCCAGTCCTTAGTTTAAGGGTCTTGTTTGCCCTATTCACAGATTTGGGTTTCTCTTTCGTTGAGAGAGAAAAATAATGAGGTAGTAAATTAAATTATTTGGCTATGGAGATGAATGTCAATTTTTCTGTGTTACTGAGAGGTCTTTTTAACACTTAAATTCAGAATTCTGAAAGAATAGATATAGATCCCCAAACTGTGGTTTTGTGTTTTATTTCCTTCCACAAATACCCCCTCCATTTCCACCTTGTAGCTGTCTTTGCCAATTGCCATAACATCTATCCATACATTAAAATGATTATATAACATTATTATCACCATGAAAATACAGAGTCAGCCATCAGCTTTAAATACTAAGGATGTAATATATCTGATATTTTTACAATTCAGTTAGCTTTCCAATTTTTAAATATGTGTTTTGGGGATGCTTAGTTTTTCTTTTTTTAATACAGGTGTTCAGAGCTACCCAAACATTTCTATAAAGTACCATTTTTCATAAAAGCAGCAAGGCTTTCATTATTATTATGATTCCTTTGAAAACCAATGATCTGTGCCTAAGACAACCCTTTCCATATTACTTTACCCTGAATGGAATGAGATTGGTTGAGAGTTCTGCCCCTAAGGAAATATCAAAGCCTCCGAAACATACTCATTTATAGTTTTAAGTTAACTCTCTTATCAGATTTCCTTTTATTTCCTGCTGGGGCAATGTGAGCAGAGCTCAGATAGAAGCAAAGAATCTGCTATATTTCTTTTCAAATTTATGATTAAGAAGGTCACATATACATTTTTAAACACACTCCTTTTTGATAATAAATGAAGAATAAAATTTCAAAATGTCATCAGAAGCAGAATTGCTCATTTTTCTTTCGTTGGCATTCCCCCGCCCCTGTCTAATTGTCTGACCAATCCAATGCTTCATTTCTTGTTGTATATCTGCCTGGAATCATTTTACTGGTAGAACAGTGTGCCTGTGGCCAAAGCATTATAATGAAAAGATGCATTCCTCTTCCTGAGTGCCTTTCTTTCCCCGAGCCAACTTAAAAAAATTAGTGAATAAAGAATTCCATTTTAGGCTACATGTTTCTCCAAATTATGGCCAAAACGAGACGTATAAAGAAACTTTCTCGGCTGGGCACGGTGGCTCCCACCTGTAATCCTAGCACTTTGGGAGGCCAATGCAGGCGGATTGCCTGAGCTCAGGAGTTCAAGACCACCCTGGGCAATATGGTAAAACGCTGTCTCTACTAAATTACAAAAACTTAGCTGGATGCGGTGGCAGACACCTGTAGTCCCAGCTACTCTGGAGGCTGAGGCATGAGAATTACTTGAGCCTGGGAGGCAGAGGCTGCAGTGAGCTGAAATCGCACCACTGCACTCCAGTGTAGGCAACAGAATAAGACACTGTCCACACATACATACACACACACACACACACACACACACACGCAACTTTTCTCTTCTTGGTTGGGATTCCTGGATCCAGTTCCCCTTTCCACCTTTCTCTACTGTGCTCTCTGCTTCCAGAGTGCATTCTGTATGAAGTCTGTCAAAAAGATCACTTGCCACTTCTGACTTGTTGGGTTCAGCTAGTGAGAACTGCCACAGGCGACCAGAGGAAGGGCATAAGGTGTAGTCAGGGCATTTTTTTTTTTTTTTTTTTTTTTTGCCTCTGGTTCTCTCCCTGTCAGGTTGTCTATGACTGGCTGGGCCTTTCAAGAGAAAGCCGCTGCTTCTGTTCAGGGTACCTCCTTTTCACAGCTCTCTTCTTTGGGGCTCTGGTTACTGCTTCCTCTATTTGTTCCTCTGGTCCCATAGGTAATAAACAGCTCTCCTACTGAGGCACTAGTATATTATGGGTCTCTATACATTTGTCACCTTTATCAGCAGACCTTTTATAAATAAACCTTCCTCAAATTGTCCTCATTTGAGTATGCCCTCTGTCATTCTTCTGTGAAGTCTACACCTAGAGCATGAGATTCATGTTTCAAGGAGGATGCTATCAAACTGGAATTTGTCCTATGTGAACTCCTCTAAAACACTTCTAAGCTGAGGTTTGGGTCTTTCTTTTCTTTTCTGTTTTTTGTTTGTTTGTTTGTTTGATGGGGTCTCACTCTGTCACCCAGACTGGAGTGCAGAGGCGTGATCTCGGCTCACTGCAGCCTCCACCTCTTGGGCTCTCAAGTGATCTTCCCACCTCAGCCTGCTGAGTAGCACAGGTGTGCACCACCACACCTGGCTAATTTTTGTAGAGATGGGGTTTCACCATGTTGCCCAAGCTGGTCTCAATTCCTGGGCTCAAGTGATCTGCCCAGCTCAGCCTCCCAGCGTGCTGGGATTACAGGCATGAGCCACTGTTCCCAGCCTAAGTTGAGGTTTATCCTTTCCTTTTATACTTCCTCTGGCAGGGAGATTGTTACCTCTTGAAACTATCTGTTTCATGATCAGTGGGGCTCAACCTTGGAAAATTATTCCCTGTATTGCACTGGATTTGACCTCTCTGGGACAGCCCTTTTTGTGTGTTGAGACAGGACAGGAATGACCAAAATTGAATTTGAAGCCTACTGTTGTGAAGGATGGAGTAAGAGACTTGGAGAAATTTACTCTCAAGATATCTGATGTTTAACCTATAGCCTTTCATGTGATAAGACTATAACAGCTATATTTCGATGCATATATGTTGGAAAAAGAGGGACCATGTTCGCTTTTTCGAAATATTTGAATAACTCTTATATGCAAGAGGAGTTAGTCATATTTTTGTATCTCTAATGATATATCTGAGACCTATCCAGTTAAAATTTAAAGGACATAGATTTTAAATCCATAGAAAAGAACTTTTTAACTTTTTAGTTCCTCAGTGAGGTCAAAGTCCACATCATTTGAAAGAATTCAGGGAGAGATGGGATCCCACAGTGGGGCTGTTGGGGAGGGAATTCCAACATTAGAATATAGTTGGATCCACTGGCAATAGTAGAAAAAACAAGAATAGCAACTGCTAGGTGTCTAGTGTCCACTATGTGCGAGGCACTGTGCTCTGTGTATTTTATGCATTGTCTCATTTAATCCTCACAACCCTATAAGGTTGGTCCTGTCATCTGCCACAGTATACAGAAGAATAGTTCAGGATTTAGAGTAAGAAATTTGCCCTGGGTCTTGCAGCTAGTTGGCAGGCAGCAGAGGTAAGCTATGAACCTGAGTCTGTCTGACACCAAAGCTGATATTTTTAACCTCCAGTGGCTGGTGTCAGAATAACTTGGGGAACTTGATGGCCATGTAGAATTCTAGGTCCTGTCCTACTTCAATGATCCTGAGCCTCTGTGTGTGTGTGTGTGTGTGTATTTTTTTGTGACTCTTCAGGTGATTCAAATTTACACCAAAGTTTGAGAAGCACTGCTCTACACTATTATTATCATAATAGTTATATTATGATAATATCCGTCTGGTTCTGAGGGTCTTTTATTCCCATGGGAATAAGGTTGCATCAATTCAGCTCTAAATTTCCTTCTTTTGAGCTGTGAAACTAACCCGCACACTCATCCATTTCCAACCACCAGCCCCTGCTTCACTCTACTATTATTTGGTAGGTTTTTGATGAGCTCAGTTCCTGAGAAAGACAAGCCTCCATTTTTAATCTCATTCAGAGCCACAGAAACAGAAAGGCCAGTCTAGCCACTTCCTCCCTCTGAAAGGAGACTTAGGGAAAGGAATACAAATCTTGTTGATTTCCTCTGAAAGGAGAGTGGGGGAAGCATTGTACAAGTCTCATTGATTTCCCATTTTAGGCTCAAACATAGAACACATGCATTGTCGGGGGTGAGGCAGCAGCGTGAGTCTCATATTTCTGAGTAAATGGAAACCATTCATGGTTTGTTCTGCCTTGATTCTTTTTCTGGAGAATGAACCAGATTTGGGGGTTGAGGATGAGCATTGGGGAAGAACAATCTACCCAATGCTTTAATGCAACTGGCACCATCTGACTGTGGTTTTTTCCCCTTGCACATGTCCCAAAGGAAGCTGGCCAAGAAGCAGAAGGAGACCCAGAGTGGAGCCCAGAGGGAGATGGGGCCTGTGGCCTCTGCCGACAAACCCACCACCAAGCTCAGCGCCAGCCGCAATGATGAAGGCTTCTCTTCTAGTTCTCAGGACGTCAACGGATTCAGTAAGTAGAGCCAACAAAGGGGAAGGGGACATCCGTGGTCCAGCTCAGCCCTAGTACTTCTGCTGTGAACCCCACACATTGATCAGGTGCTGCCAGGCATAGGGTATGGATGCTTGCCTGATATGGACTGGGATGAAGGTTCTCCCTGACAAAGACTTGGGGCAGTTCATCCTAAGATGAAAAGGAATATTTAAAAAATCTTCCCCAAATCAGATGGAAATGGGAGCAAGTCATCCTAACTGCTTGTGGACATAAATAGAGACAGGTTAAAAATAATAGCAGTAAAAAAGAAAGAGGAGGAGGATGGTTATGTCCTTAAGGAGAAAAATATGCCACACTGAATTGAGTGGCTTAAGATTTTCAAATCTGTGTTTCATATACACCACATAAGGTAGGTGAGTCACAGATTATGACTGTCTCCACTCTGAGTGGTTAGGAAACTGAGGCTCAGAGAAGCAACTTATCTAAAATACAATGGCTGATGAGTTACATATTTAGATTGGAAGCCTCATCCCTCAAACATTTGCCAGTTCCACCACAGCCAGTGTTCCAAGTAGCATTGGTCAAGGGCACCTGAGTCCTTGTGCAGTGTTAATAAAGGATCCCAAGATTTGGGTGGTTAAGATATCAGGGTTAACCCTTATCCTAAGAAGAACTCCAAGACTGCCAACATCTAAGGCTTCCTTGTGGACAGACTTGCTTCTGTTCTTACAGCCATTCTATCAGACAGTTAACAGACTAGATTTCCCAGCCTCTTCCCCAAATTGGGTAATGCAAGAAGTCTCAAAGAATCTGTGCATAACACAGATGTCCTCCACATACCATGTAAGCTACAAATGGAAGAACCTCCATTTTGTAAAAAATCACTCAAGAGATGATCAGTTTGGGATGATGGGGATCTATGAGAGGATAAAGAAAGAAAGAAAAAATTTATCCCCTTCTATAATGTAGACACTGTCTCTCATCCTCACCATAGTCCTGTAAGATCCTTAGTATTATTGTTCCCATTTTATAGGTAAGCTATGCAATGCTAAGTGTGTTTGGCCAGCCATCTCAGAGCCACACAGCTTGTTTTTAATGGATCCAGATCTGAGAGTAACTCAGGCCCATGATTCCTAAGCTCCAGTGTAGCACAGAACCTACCTGGGGAGGTTTTCAACACATCCATATCTGGACCCCACACCTTATCTCCTGAATCAAAATCTCCTGGGGGATGAGAGGTGGGGCCCAACTGAGGGATATGGATTTTGTAAGTCATTCAGAGAGTTCTCATAGGCACCCAGATTTAGAATACAGCACTTGGACAGAGGCAATAGCTATGCTTAGATACTGATGTACTGTCTTTGGGAAGAGAGATTAGTTTAAACCTACAAAAATGTTGAGAAGACAGCAAAATGAATACTCATATACCCTTTACCTAGATTCACCAACTGCTACCATTTTGCAACATTTGCACTTTTGCACTTGGCTGTACTCACCCTCTCTCTCTTTCTCCCCTTATCCATGTTTTTTTTTTCAAAATTTTCTGAATCATTTAGAAGTAAGTTGCAGACATCATGACACTTTACCTCCAGAGAATTCAGCATGTATTTCCTAAGAACTAGGATACCTCTTCAACATAACCACAATAAAGTATAACCTTACTTCAGTGATCTAATATACCAGTTCATAGTCAAATTGCCTCAATGTCCTCCAAATGTTCTCTATTGCTTATTTGTTTGTTATTTTAATCCAGGATCCAATCAGAGCGCTCACATTGTATTTGGTTTTCAGCTGTCTTTATCCTCTTTGATCTAGAACAGCCCTCTCAACTTTATTTTTTCTTTCAGGATACTGACTTTTTTTTTTTTTTTTTTTTTTTTTGATGGAGTCTCACTCTATCACCCAGGAGGGAGTGCAGTGGTGCGATCTCTGCTCACTGCAAGCTCCGCCTCCTGGGTTCACCCCATTCTCCTGCCTCAGCCTCCCAAGTAGCTGGGAATACAGGTGCCCACCACCACGCGTGGCTAATTTTTTGTATTTTTAGTCGAGACGGGGTTTCACCGTGTTTGCCAGGATGGTCTCGATCTCCTGACCTCGTAATCCGCCCGCCTCGGCCTCCCAAAGTGCTGGGATTACAGGCGTGAGCCACCACACCCAGCCTTGACATTTTTTTAAAGTCTAGGGCTGTCGTCCTGCAGAGTGTTCCACAATCCAGATTTGTCTAATTTTTTTCATCATGATAACATTCAGGTTACACATTTTGGCAAAAATATGACATAGCTGATATGACGTACTTCCCTTTACATCCTATTAATGGACATATCATACCGCTTTGCACATTACCAGTGATGGTAAGTTTGAGTTCTTCTTAAGGTTAGATAATGGCTTTTAAAGACAAAGTCTAATGGCACATACTGATTATGAGCAAATATTTAACATCTGTTTTTCTTAGGGATCAGAGCAAATTTGCGGTTTGCCTAACCATGAAGCCAGTCCTTTTTTTCCCATTTTCAATCCAGATAAATCACTGAGACTCATACATTTCCTAGAAGCAGGGAAATTGGTTGTTGACATAGACCAGGGTTGACAAGAAAATGGGCTTGATTTTTCCTTAAAAGAAAGGAACATCCTAGCTATAATTTTGCATCTGTAAACCAACCTCTGTTGCAAAATTACAGGTAGCTAGGAGGAATAAGTTCTAATGTTCTATTGTACTGTAGGGTGACTATAATTAATAACAGTTTATTGTATATTTTCAAATAGCTAAAGCAGTGGATTTTGAATGTTTCTAACACAAAGGAATGATAAATTTAGAGGTGATTAATATATTAATTACCCTGATTATTATACATTATATACATGTATCACACTATACCCCATAAATATGTATATAATTAGTGTCAATTAATAATAATAGAAAAAAAGAGAAAGGCTCATCAGGAGCTCACTGAGTCTCTGGCTATGCTAAGTTGTCACTGGATCCCCTGCTTTCGGCTCTGGGGCAGAGAAGTTCATTTGCAAGTTCATCTGATTGAAAATACTGGTCAAGTAATACCAATTCATCCTTTTCTGTCCAGTCCAGCCTCTTGTGCACTTTTTTCCATTTGTAAAAGTACCCTGGGAGGACTCTTAAAAGCAAAATGATTATGGCCAAAACTTCTTGACAATCATTGTGACCCTGAAATTTTAGATATTGGTTCTCAATCTTTCTGATCTCAAATGCAAACCTGGGTAATACTGATTTCTTATGTTTCAAAGGATAACATTGTCACTGTTCGCTATGGGCCAAAACTTAGACCCTTAAGATGAAAACACCCAAGACTGAAATAGTTTAACTTGCCATAAAGGAAGAGGAGAAATATCCAGTGAAATCTAATTAGATGTTTTAAAGGCCAGGGACAAACTTTTCAAATGATTAAGGTGTGTATGTATGTGTGTGCATATGTGTTTTATATTTACACAGACACGTAAATATACAGAGAGAGGTATAAACCTACACAGTCATATATACACAAATATACATATATGACTGTATATATGCATTCATCATAACAATATTGCTTTCTAAAATATTTAAATAATGATTGACTTATTATACTCAATTATTAGAAAATTCTGCATTAGTCTGAATCACTGAATACGTTAGGACTCTCTATGCATCTGACGTCCTCAGGCTACAGCTACAAAAACACTCTCAGGATCTTTTGACTGCCCTAGAATGCATCAGGTACCTTTAAAATGCCCTGTGGAACCACTGGGATGAGATTTGAGGGGGAAAAATGTAAGTAATGCTTACACTGGAGATGAGAAATTGCTTCTGAAATCACCCTGATGTATGTAGAATTGAATCTATTTTTGTGGCATTAGGGAAGTGACTGTCTGGCCTCTGAATCGGTGTCTTTAGGAGGCCCTGAGATTATGTACAAATGTTGAGGCAGCATTGAGAGGTAGGGCACAGAATAGTTGTTACATTGCAAAAGATTACAGAAGAACGTGCCTTGAGCAATTATTTCATTATTGACCAGGTAGGCCCTAGCCTAATTCAAATTCTACCTGTCCCTGCATAGGTTTATTTTCTGGGGTTTTCTTTTTTCTTTTTTTTATTATGCTTTAAGTTTTAGGGTACATGTGCACAACGTGCAGGTTAGTTACATATGTATACATGTACCATGTTGGTGTGCTGCACCCAGTAACTCGTCATTTAACATTAGGTGTATCTCCAAATGCTATCCCTCCCCCATCCCCCACCCCACAACAGGCCCCGGTGTGTGATGTTTCCCTTCCTGTGTCCATGTGTTCTCACTATTCAATTTCCACCTATGAGTGAGAACATGCGGTGTTTGATTTTTCTATTTCAAGTGACTGCTAAGTTCTGTGACATCTATTCAATCAAACCTTCTAATATTGTATAGGAACAATGACCTCCAGGGCTCTAGGGTGATGGGGCTTTGTCAGATATGGGCCATTGCTTTGGAGTGCCTTGGTATTCTTGAAAAAGGAGTACGTGTCACATTTCAAGGACAAACAACGTGCATTGTTTTCCATTTAGAGAAATGCTAGCTTTTATTAAGTAATCTGATTTTGATCTTACTGCCCTGTGTACTTGTTATTTTTCTCTGCGATCTTTTGCTCACTGGGATCATTTTCTGGGTCTTTCTTCTGGTGCTTAAATCTTCTTCTTTATCTCTTTTGTTCACATGTCATCTTCTTGTTCATTTTCAGTCCAAACAAAAATGCTTCAAAATAAATTCCTTTTGAATTCCTGTGATATGGGGACTTGGTAGTCTGCTCTTCCCATAATGGCATTTGACAGATTAACTTGCCTACTGGGTACCATGAGTTAACTCCGTCCTGATTTTTATGCTTTCCCTCTATTGAATTATTCCATGTCTGGAAGGTAAAGGCAGTCCTTCTCTAAGGGTCATCAGACAGACACTGGGCCATCTAGCTCTCTGCTAAGTGTCACCTTGGAGCTGGGATTTAATGGACTTTTTCTCAGTACATGCCTACCCCTGTGCTGTAAGCCATGTGGCACGGTCTGGGGAGAGAGGTAGTTTCAAAGATGAATAAAATGAGGTATTATATCACAAATAATACATGGTTCTACTTGTAAGCCTTTCATAGTTTACGAAGTCTTTCTGCAAAACGCTCCACTGCAGCAATAGTTCCTTATTCCTGTAGGAATAAGGTAGCTAGTAGGTTTTTAATTATTCCCATTCTACAGATGAGGAAACTGAGGTTCAGAGAGCTTTCATGGCCCAAATCATACATATATTGCAGAGTCGTAATGAGAATACATCTCTCCTGATTTCAGTTAGAGTCTATCCATCTCATTCTGCAAAGAATTTGGGGATATATCCAATAAAAGAACCTACAATTTAAAAAATAGTGAGAAAAATAATCAGTATCAGGAAAATGTGAAGGTCAGGACCAGGATATATTGAAATATAACTATATTACATTAAAATGTAATCTAAAATATGCGCTCTGATAATTTTAAATTCCACTTTGGCTCTGGGATTTCTAGTAGAAAATGCCCAAAGAAGAAGATAACTTTTATTGGGCACCTACTATGTGCTAAAACTTATGCTTTATATAAATTCCACTCTGAAGCTCCCAAGGAACCCTATCATTAGATATTATTCCTATTTTGTGAATGAGAAAATTGAGCTTCAGAGAACTGAAGTAAATAAGCCCAAAGTCACACAATGAAGAAAGAGTAGGGATAGAATTAGAAGCAAATAAGGCTCTCTGACTCCTAAATCAGTGTTCCTTCTCCTCTACTGTGGATGGTAGCCCAACATTCACCAGTCTCACAGAGGAAGGTCACTGACAGCCGGGAGAAAGGGAGAACTTCACTTCCTTACTGATAGGTCAGCTGGCTTTTCTACCATGTGGGCAGAAGCTGCTGCCACAGCTGTTTTCTGAACAGAGGCCTGGGGCCAGGTACTGGCATGGAGCCTAGCAGATTCCCACAAGGTGCCAGGTACTATGATAAGCATGCTCAAATATGGAGTCTTAGTCATTCTCTCAGTAACCCTGTATAGTCCATATGATTATTATCGAATTCATTTTGCAGTTGAGGAAACTGATGCTCTCAGATATTAAAAGATCTTCTTGAAGTCATATGACAAATAGATAATGGGCCCTGGACCCCAGAGCAGATATTCTACTTTCAAAACCAAGCAACTTTGTCTTTCCTTTGACCTTTAGCGGTCTCTCTACCATGAAGGCGAGTGAAGGAGAGACAGGAAATCAAGGTGAAATAGACTTTCTGGCTGGGAGAACAGTGCTTCTTACTGGTTCCTCTATTCCCTGAAACTCCTGCCTCAGGAAGGCAGCTGCCAAGTGGATGTACGCACAGACAGGTTCTGCCGGAATCATCCTACTAGGACCCTCTTAGGAAAGTGGGACTGCAGACCAGTAGTCCCATCCTTACGCATCCCAAAGCTAGACCAATCCCTGGGTAGTTATAGAGAGAGAGGAGCAAAGAATGGCCCCTGCCTAACAGAGAGCTTGCAGCCTGGCAGTGGAGACAAATGGTTCAAGAAAGAGAACCTTTGTTACAGGACTTTGTGCAATGGAAGCCTACACGAAGAGCCACAGGACCCTTTCCCTGACTTTGTACCTCCCAACATGACCAAAATATACCAGGCAGCCAGCACACAGTCACCTTAAGAGGTATTTTCTGCCAAAGAGGAGGGTGGACCCTGAAACCTGATATTCTTCCTGTTCTTTACCACACAGACCTCATAAAAGGGTTTCTTTGTGGGCAGTTCAGAGAATGTTCAGGCTTGGTACTCCCTTGGGATGGTTCAGTAGAGATGAGGCAGGCAGAAGGAAGTACCAGGCAAAATTTTAGCCAGATTATTTTAGGAACATGTTATATAACTAAAGCAATTCAAATAGGGAAGACGGATCATGGCTTTTAAAACAATAGAGGCTGGCTGGGGTGGTGGTAAACTCTTTGTAAAGATTCCTTAACCCTTTCAGGAAAATGGCCAGCTGGCTGGGAAATGGGTCTCTGGGAAAACTGGCCTGACCCTGATCTTCTCTGGCAAAAACTCTTGACTTGATGGTGTGTGATGTCAAGGATTGCTACATTTGCTTGGGACTCTCTCTGGGTCAGTCATTTTGCTAGGTGCTGTTCACATATTGTCTCTGATCCTCAAAACAATGCAACCAGTTAGGAATCATTATCTTGATTTCATAAATGGCATAATTGATGACCCCAAGCTAAGAGCTGTATTAAACACTGCATCCTAAATCCCCCACCCCTCATTGTTGTTGATCAGTACATAATGACAGTTGCCCAACTCTCTGGCCCATCAGATACTCATTGAGTACTTGTTTGAATATATGAATGAATGAATGATGGAGCTGGAATTCACACTCAGATCTAGTTCCAAGCCCAGACCTGGTTCCATCTTTTCTCATAATGTATTCTCTCTTCAATTAAGCCAAAATCTGTCCTCTGTAACTTCATTCATTCCTGCTTTTGTACACAACCATGTATTAGTCAGCAACCACGTGCTGGCCTTTGTCTGCCCTCTGGTGTCACACAGGGTAATGGAATCAGTGCTTCTCTTCCTGCAGCACCCACACCCTCCCCAGCTATTTGACTGCAGCTACCTCTGTGCCCAGGTCCTTCCCTCAGGCTAAACAGTCACTGCATCAGCCATCAGCCCTCCTCGGAATAAATTTCTGTTTTTCAGTCTGCTCAAAATCTCTTTTGACCCTTCTGTCTCCATTTGGTCCATGCCCACGGAATGTGTGGTTTCCAAGACAACCATGACCCTCTACATTGGGCTGAGTCACTGGGAGTTCAGAGAGCTACCATCACCCTCACTCTGATCCTAAACCTGGGTTTAAAATATATCACTCATGTTTTAATTAACCTCTAAATATTCATCACGTGACTGCCTAATGTAGAAATCATGGCTTCCAGCTAGGGCTGCCTCAGTCAGCCCAGATGAAGATGACTTTTGGGGCCCAAATCAAAGATTTTACATTTTGTCTGTTCTGTTTCTTGTTAGGTTTGACCCTGCTTGCCAAGCCTACAGGGCTATTTTTTTTTTTTTTATTTCTGGTTGTGTCAGCCAATCACTTAATCCTCCTAGTCTGGGGCCTTGAAATGTAGGAATTACTACATTGTTAATATTTATGATCCTAGTTATTATATACAGAGCATTAATTATATGCCCATTTACGTGCTGAGTGTTTTATATTGTATAAGCATTCTTATCTCATTGGTATGGTGGGAAAATTAAGTAAGTGTTATGATTATACCTGATAATTTAAAGGTGAGGAAACAGGCTTTAAAATAGTAAGGAATTTGCCTAAGGCTTTGTAGCTTTAAATGGCAGAGCTGGAACTCAAACCTAGGTCAGCCTGACACCCCGAGGCCCTTAGTCCAAGACTACTCCTCCATGCTGCCTTCTGTAGATGTTATTATTCCCATTTCATAGACAAGGAAACTTAAGGCCACAGACACTGAGTCATCTGCTCAAAGCAGTGGTTCTTGAAGCATGATCTCCAGAACAGCAGCATCAGCATCTCCTGGGAACTTGTTACAAGCAAATTCTCAGGCCCTACCTCAGACCTACTGAACCCAAAACTCTAGGGTTAGGGCCAAGCAATCAGTTTTTAACAAGCCTTCCAGGTGATTCAGAGAATCACTAGCTCAAAGTAATGCCCAGGACTGTCAGACTCAAGCCCTTCTTCTTTATTTGCAAAGCTGTCTTTCATGATAGTAGAATTATGGCCTCTCTGGGAGAGGAAGGCTCTAGCTCACCTCCCTGGGTAGATGAACTAAGAGGTTATTGCCATAGGAGTACTGGACCTGAAGGGTGCTAAAGCCCATTAATAGTTATGAGGGTCCCCGAATCTGGGAATCTCAACCGTATCTTTGATTTTGTCTCCTTTTGTCTGAACAGTGAACAATCTAAGAGTCAGGATGGAAGGAGTGGAAATTTACAAGGAAAAGCAATGATGAGTCACACACTGAAATCGAGAGCTCAACAGAGCATTGTGAAAAAGAACTCAAAGATGCAAAAATCCTGTTTGCAGGAACAATTATATTTTCAGGTTGCTCCAAGATTAAATTGAATCTGGGAGAAGAATTGAATGTTACAAGCTTGCCCCCTCCAGTTTTATTGAATATCTTACAGGAATTATTGAATATTTTGCAATCATCCACTTAGCTGACAGATTAAAGGACACACTTATTAAGTTCCTGGCAACCCAAAGTTGAATGGAATTGTTTATTCCTTAGCAGTTACAAAATGGAAATTTAGGCAGCCTTGAGAAAGTTGACCAATTTTCCATCACAAACACTAAGGAGTTAAATTAAGACAAGTTTTAGAGAAGAATATTAGACTCAAAAAAGATATAATAGTTATACATAATCAAACTAAAACTAAAAATTACCTTAGATGTTATTGATCCAAACTTCTCATCTTAAAAATGAACATTTGAGTTGCAGAGAGTTTTCCCAAGATCACTCAATGAGTCACAAGTAGAACCAGCTAGAATTGGGCCCGTGGCCTTTAATTAGGGACACGACCGTTCTAGTTTTGTCCCACGGTACCCTTCAAAGGAATGAAGTACAGTCAACAATGGTTTGTCTTCTATGTAATATTTTCTGTAGACTCCTAATCTGATTTCTGCATAAATAGAACCTTCTCAAATTGAATTATACTTTTCATCTCCTGGTTATGGGAGTAGCTGAGGTGTTCCTTTAAATATTCAATGAATGCCGACTCTATGCCAAGCATTTTAGGGATTGTAAAGATAAATAAGACATGGTCTCTGCCTCCAATGATATTACTGTCCTCTAAGAGGAGAGTTGTAAGTGGATTAGTTTCAATAAATGTGATAAATGATAGAGAAAAGGTGTGTATAGTGTCCCAGAAACACTGATCAGACACCCAGCAAGTGATTAATTCTGGCTAAGTGATTTGGAAAATACGATGTAAGGAGATGGATTTTGATTTGAAAATAGTGCAAGAGAACAGATTGACCCAGGTGGAAGGGGCAAAAGCTTGGAAATATGAGGTGTGAGGTCTGGTGGACTCAGAGAAGTGGGTTTGAAGTCCAAGATACTCTGTGTCAAGAATGTATGGCCAGAGACGAAGCTGGAATGGTAGCTGGAGCCTCCTTGGAAAGGACTTCACATTTGTGTCCCATTTAAATTCACTTTCCAGGAAGGGTAACCTGCTTGGGAATTGGAGTGATCCCAGTGTCAGCTGTCCTTGTGTGATTTTGGAACCCAGCTTCATATGCTCTTTGAGTTGTATAGATCCAGCTTTCTATTGTAGATAAGCAGAGTGCATTTTATCAGTTACAGACCTTCACTGTCATTGTCAGCTGGCCCAAGCATTCCTCAATACACTTTCAAAGAGACCTCAGTAAAGTTACAAGGCTGAAGTTGCTTTTTGACAATTTATCCTAGGCCACTACATCTTGAGAAGAAAATAGAATTGTTCTCTACACCTCACAGGTGGTCTTGAATTATAACAGAGCACTTAAAAAGTGCTTGTTAAAGTAATCAGGGATAAAGAAGTGATGTTGACGATGTAAATATATAGTTGCTAGGTAGCAGAATAAACTGAGCTTAGAGACCAATTTCCCCCCCTCTGCTCAAAGCTACAGACTTGATGAGTTGAAAACATAGATAATAATTCTACTAGCTAACATTTTGTGAGTAATTGCTGGACAAAGCACTTTCTATGCCTCATTTCATTTAATATTCTCAACAATGCTATGAGGCATGTTATGGAAACTGAGGCTCAGAGAACTTAAGTAACTTGCTCAAGGTCACATAGCTACCGAGAAACCAAGCCCAGGGCTTGAACCTAGTTTCACATGATGGACCTATCACGCAGCCCCTCCTTCTGGAAACATTTTCTTTGCTTGACTTTTGCTCTCCTTGTGTTTTGCCTTCCTCCCCAGCCATTTCTTCTCATTCTTCTTTACTGGTTCTGTACTTGCTCCCAACCTCTAATCATTGAAGTGTCCCCGGCCTTAGCCCTGAAGCTCTTCCTTTCTGCTCATACTCACTCTAGGTAGGTGGTGATGATGCCAAATGAGATAGCACAGGAAGGGGCCAGATTTGAAGCAGAAGAGGGGGACATTTACATCTAGGCCAATCGATTTGAGGTGTTATTGAGTCATGGAAGAGATGCCAGGTTGGCAGTGGACTCTGGGGCCTGGAGCTCAACAGAGGAGCCTGGCCTGGGGATATAAATGTTCACTGCATTTTGTATACAATGTGATTGGAGACTTTGCCATGAATAGGGAAACTGCGGCCCACAGAGGTGAAACTCATTGCCTAGGATCACTCAGCAAGTTAATGGAAGAACCAGAACTTTGAGCCAAGACTTACATATAGGAGGACCTATAGAAAAGCCATCAGTTAAAGCTCAGGGTATAACATCAAAACAGTGGGCTATAAATGGGGCTGTGTAAATGTGGTCCAAGTGCAGAGCATTCTGGAAATCACCTGGATCCTGGGATGGAACTCAGAATGTGTGAAGGAGCTGATGGATTAGAAGACCCCATCAATATCTACTCAGCTGGATTGTGATAGGATCTCTACATTCAAAGTAGAAGTTTACGGCAAGAACCTGAGGTCTGGTTTATGTATTAATGGTTGGGAGTGGATCTAGGAAAGTCAATGGAAGAGCCATAGGGCGGACTATCACAAAGATTGAAAAGCTGCATGTGAGGTAGTAGAAGGAAATAGCAAAGGGCCAAGGATGGGCAAAGCCCCTATGCTCAGTGCATCACCATTTCCATAATTCTCTGGGTTGCTTCCTACATAATTTTGAAAAGGGTTCCATGATGTTTAGTTACTCAGCACCGGTTGACTTTTAGTGAGATGCTCTTAACTAGGTGGAAAGAACTGCCCACCCCACCAGACATCAAACACATCTCAAATCTACACTCACCTGTAGAATAGACAGATGTTAAGTGAGCACAAGATTCCACTAACCAAAATAATAACCATTAGTAGCATAAGAAATGGCATTTCTACTCTCAAAAAGCCCATGAAATAGGGAACACAGATAATAGTTATATGACTTGGTATGCCCAGTAGAGGTGTGTGTAGAAGCTGCCAAGAGAATGTTGTCCAGTGAGGGTGGGGGAGCTGTCGTGATCCATTAACCTGTGATTCATCTCTGTTCAGATGATTTACTTTTCACCTTACCAATCATATGAGTTGATATCCTAATTATATGGGGCTGAAAATGAAATAAAACTTCAATTCCCCTTAATAGCAAGGATACATTCAGGAGAGATGTAACATAGATTAATCTTGACACGTTCCTCTCTCTCACCTCCCACATCGAGTTCAACACCAAGTTTTGATGAGTCTACATCTTCGATATATCTAGAATCCATCTATTTTCCTCTATATCCACTACCTCCATCCTTGTCCAAGTCATCATCATCTCTTACCTGAATAAGATCCACAACTCCTAAATAATCCTCATATCCATCCGTGTCATTCTGTAGTCTATTTTTTCATAGGAGCCAGGGAGACCTTTTCAAGGCAAATCTAAACACGTTGTACCACTCATCCCTGGGTTAAAACAATTCTTTTGCTTCTGATTGTTTATAAGCTAAAGATCAAAGTCCCCATCCTGACTTCACATACAGGTCTTGTCCTTCTGACCTTCCCCAGGCTCTCTCATCTCACTTCCCCTTTCTCTGTGAGCTCCGTGACACCATAATCTTCTCACAGTACTTAAACTTTGTCACACTCCTTCTACCACAGGACCTTTGACTGTGCTATTGCTAGACAGAGCAATGGCATGGTCAAAGGTCCTGTGGTAGAAGGAATGTGGGGTGGAAGTGTGGTAGAAGGAATGTGGTAGAAGGAGCGTGGGATGGGAGGCCCATAGGCCAAATCCAGTGCACTCTGTCTTTATTAGAATAAAGCTTTATTAGAACACAACCATGCTTATTTGTTCATGCATTTCCTATGGTTGCTTTTGTACTACAATGGTAGAGTTGAGTAGTTGCCACAGAGACCACCTAGCCCACAAAGCCTAAAATATTTACTCTCTGGTCTTTGACAGAAATGTTTTCCAACTCCTCATCTAGATCACTGGCTATACCCATGCTTTTCTCCTAATTGATTCCTTTAGACCTCCATTCTTACATTTCTTCCTTTCCTGACCCCCTTCTCCCTTCACCAGATTGGATTTCTTTTGTTAGGTGCTATGACAGAATTGTATTCCACCTTTTTTCTCAGCAACAACTGCGGTTTGCAAATGTGTTTAAGACTTGACCCCTCTACTAGATGGGAAGCTGAAGAAAGGAGGACCATGTTTTTGTTTACTACTGTATCCTCAGCAGAGTGCCTGACCCCTCTGTTAGATGGCAAGCTCGAGAGGGAAGGACCATTTATTTTCTGCTTATTACTGTATCCTCAACATGTGGCACAGCATGTGGCACAGAATGAATACCTGAAACTCTTGTTGACAGATGGGTAGATGAATAGTTGGATAAACAGACAAGACTTAGGTATATAAATCCTATATACTCAGAGAAAACTAAAAGGAATATTTAGAAAGCTCAGTACAACTGACATCACACACTATTGTCCTGTTTTCAGCGTTCAGAATTGAATAAAGGTGGATAAAGAAATCAAGGGATGATGCTTTGCCAGTCAGATGCTATCTGGATCTTAGCCTCTCTCCCACTCCTGCCATCACCCACTGTAGCCAACACTGAAGGGAATTTTACAAAGCCCTTTTTATGGTTCCTACAAAACCAGAAGCTGCTGCTCAAAATATCCTCAAGAAGTCAACCATTTGGATCTGGGAATCTGATACAATTAGTCCTTCAATCATAGGAATAGGAAGAGAAATCAGCTGGTGATCTTCAGACCACATACAAATATAGGCAGAGATTCAGATAGGCTACTATATGGCCCTCCCGATGGAAGAACCAAGAAAAATAGTAAAGGAAAGAAGCATATATAACAACAGATGTGATTCTTGATTGGATGGATGACCCTACAGGTAGCCATGGGGACAACAGTATTCTGAGGAGGTTCTGGGAGATGATGGGCACCTGTTACATGGGTTTAATCTATGTGGTCATGGATACCTGGCTTTTCCACACCACTTGTCCTGGCAGCCAAGATGTTTCTCTAGTTATTGAAACTCCGAAGTAAAAACTGTGAGGTAAAAAGGAAGATATTTGGACCATGCTGGTTTTCTAGGTGAGAGGAAGCCACGATGAGTTGATAGGATATCAAATTCTTCTAGGTGAGAAGCAGCCAGGATGAGTTTAATACCAGCAGGAATGAGCTGGGTGCAGTGACTCATGCCTGTAATCCCAACATTTTGGGAGGCCAAGGTGGGTGGATCACCTGAGGTCAGAAGTTCGAGACCACTCTAGCTAACATGGCGAAACCCCATCTCTGGTAAAAATACAAAAAAAAAAAAATTAGCCGGGTGTGGTGGTGCATGCCTGTAATCCCACCTACTCAGGAGGCTGAGGCAGGAGAATCACTTGAACCCAGGAGGTGGAGGTTACAGTGAACCGAGATCATGCCACTGCACTCCAACCTGGGCAACAGAGTGAAACTCTATCGAGAGAGAGAGAGAGAAGGAGAAGAAGGAGGAGAAGAAGAAGAAGAAGAAGAGGAAGAAGAAGAAGAAGAAGAAGAAGAAGAAGAATAAGAAGAAGAAGAAGAAGAGGAAGAGGAAGAAGAAGAAGAAGGAGGAGGAGGAGGAGGAAGGGGGGAGGAAGGAGGGAAGAAAGGAAGGAGTGGGGAGGGGAGGGAAGAAGGAAGGGAGGGAGGGAAAGCAAAGGAAAGGAAAGGAAAGAAATACCAGCAGGAAATAGAATCCTTAAGGTACTTCAAGGTGATCAAAGAAAACATCATAGAGAAGTTGAATCTTAAACACTGTGTGGTCAGAATTAGTCAATGCAGAAAAGAAGAAATAAGTGACATGGTGTAACACACCATATCACAACTTAACAGTGTAAAACAACAACCATTGTATTTGGCTTCTAATTCTTTGGGCCAGGAGTTTGGATAGGTTACAACAGGGATAGCTTGTGTCTGCTTGAAAATGGGGAGCCTCAGCTGGGATGACTTGAATGGCTGGAGATGACTGTGACAGCTCTTGTAGGACAACATGTCTGGGACCTCAGTTCTTCCTTAGGTGGCATCTGTCAGGGATGGAAGGCCCAAATGCCTCCCTCATTTGCATATTCAACCCCTATGCTAAAATGACTGTAACATCTAGGGTAGGCTGGAATCACTCTCTCCCTATACATCTACCTTAGGCTTCCTAGCAACAGGACAGACTCATGGTAATTGTACTTCTTGCATGATAGCTGTCTTCCCCCAGAGCAAGTGTTTGAGAAAGCCAGGAGAAATGCTAGTCCTCCTAAAAACTAGGCTCAGAACTAGCCAGCTTCACTTCTGCTGTGTATCATTATTAAAAGCAGTCACATATTAGCCTAAATTTAAGGGAGTAGAGGAGCAGACTCAACCCTTCTATAGGAAAAATGGCATATGCATATAGGAAGAGAAGGAATCAATTGTGGTCATCCTGGTAACAAGCTATGACATTATTCTAAAATAAAAGAATACATATACAGGGGCATAGAGGTGGGAAAGTCTACTTGGCTAATATAGTCAATAATAGGAATATTTTCAAAACCTCCATTTTCCACTTGGATTAGCGTGATAATTCTGCTATTACAAGCAAGTAGTTTTGTGGTCTCTGCACATTTTACAAATCTATAGCTTTTGCTCTCTTGTACAATTCCTTGTGAGTATAAATGTATTCCCTAACATCCAGAGTCCAAAAGACATCAGTAATGTTAACTTCTTCCTATATCCTGAAAGACAGGGTGAAGGGCAGGGGACGGTGTTAGCGTCTCTGTCCATGGTGTTGGTCTTCCTTGCTGTTAGGTTCCCAGGAAGACCCTTCCTTATGTTGCACTTAAAATTATAAGTGGATTGGCTTCTCTGTAGTACTTGAAATATTAGAACCATAGGATTAAGTGGTAAAAGATGAACCTGAAGAGGTAAGCAGGAACTGGGGTCTCGAATACTAGGGAGTTTGAAATGTATTATGTTTCTGCAAGGAGCTAACATAGATTTTAAGAAGTAGAAAGGAAGGATTGAGTCGGTTTTAGAAAGATCATCTTGGTGATAGTGAGGTAAAAGTTTTGGAGAGTGGGAGTGGATAAAGCTTTAAGTAAGTATTGTTTCTGCCTATATCAGACTTCAAGGAAAGTGACAGCACAAAATGCTGGTGCACATGGAAATCTGATTACACACACACACACACACACACACACACACACACACACCCCTGCTTGTAGGATTAACAGTCACTACAACCCAACGGGTATGGCCAACTCTCTGTAATGAAGCAATGGTAGAGAGAAGGTGTTCTACGGCATTCCATTCTTGAAACCATTTTTAAGCCGAGTGTATTGACTAGATCTCCCTGCTTGCTCCATATTGTATTGATTAGTCAGTATTTTGAGGGTGTGATACCTGGAAATTTTTGGACATGTTTGACTTTGAAATGAGTGTTCTTATTCAGTTAATGTCTCATGGGACCAGTTGAGTTTTTCCAAGGTGAAACCTTTTATCTTCAGGATCTTTGATCTAGGTTAGATGAAATTCCCACTGATGTACAGACATGACAGAGGCTCAGAACATAGGAGTCATTCCAAACTAACAGTCACTTCTGTCTCTTCTGCAGTGGAGACCCAAATGGTCATCCAGTGAATCTTCAGCCAGCTGTGTTCTAGCAAATACACACACTTGCAAATCTGGTCCCTGTCACCCTCTCTGTAACCCTTCTTATTCTATCCCATCATTCTCCTTTCATATTGATCCATCAGCAGAAGTATACCAATAACTCACTATCTTTGTTATGCTTTATTTATGAAATAGCCATTTGCCTAGCGTGTTCTTCAATTTTAAAAAACAAACTCACAATGCCACTGCTCAACCAAAAATCCGTTATTGGCTTCCCATTGCCCTCCAGATGAAGTAAAAATTAACCTCGTGGCCTACAAGGCTCAGAATGACATGACTTCTGTCAGCATCTTTAGTCTCATCTCTGGCTACTCTCTGTCTTGCTCAATATACTCCAGTCATATTGACCTCCTTCCTATTCTTTGAAAACACTAAGCATTTCCCAAAATATGGCTTTCACAATTCTGTTTGCTCTTTCCAGAACAGTCTTCCACTCTATATTTCACTGTTTAGCCACTTTTTATCCTTCAGGTCTATGATTAAATGTCTTCTTTTGAGGGATTCCCTAAATTGTCTATCTAAACAGTGGCCACTTGTTGTTTTTTTTTAATTTTACTACATTCTAGTCCCTCTTAGCATGTGTCAGAAATTTCTTGTATGCAAATGTTTATTCATTTAATAATTTTTTGGCTAATGTCTGTCATCTTCACCAGACTTTTAAACCATGATTGCATAGACAACTTCTGTCCGGGCTTCTACTATATCCCTGGAGACTAGTATGGTGCTTGGCCTATGAATACGATTGAGTGGTATTTGTTGAATGAATCATTATGCTAATTTTAAGTCAGGATAGATCACAATGGTTCACTTTCACTATTCAGTATTCAGTCAACTGATCTTATGCATTGCTGGGACAATGAGGACCTGCAGACATAGCGATGACTAGGGTTACTCTTAGATTTTAATCCCATAGAGGAAGGTTGAGGGAGGAGGACAAGGGAGGGGACCATTGCACTAGTCTGGGAGAGATATATGGTGCACTTTGCACCTCCATTTCTTAGAAAGTCCTAATCCTTGTATCTTTGTCCTAGTCATCAGTTCTAAAGGCCCCATCACCAAATACTGGCTTCCTTGGACTCTCTACCACTCAGTGTAGCCCTGGAAAACAGAGGGAACACTCTTCAGACCCACTTTGTGTCCCCTACTGCCCCTACCCTTGTGATCTCCCCTCTCTCCTCCAGAGGGCTCTAGGCTTCTAGCCTTTTACACTTCCCCAGTCACAGCTTACTCTTCTCCAATTTCATGCCCTTGTGAGCCTTCCCAATATCTGGCATAATCTGAAAAGTCAATTTACTCTTATGTATTAAGGGATGTATCATATTGTATTTAAATGGGAAAGTACAAGAAACTAATATTTATTGAGCCCTAACTGTGTGCCAAGGACTATGCTAGATGCTGTGCATACGTTATATCATTTAATCCTTAAAACCTATGAGTTGATGATTATTGTTGGTACTAGGCTTCTTTCACACATGTGGAGATTGAGGTTCAGGGAGATTAAATAACTTGCTCAAGGTCACATAGCTATTAGTAGTAGAGCTAGGATTTAAACTTAATCTTTCTCTTGCATATGATCCTACTACTATAATGTACTCCCTCCCGAATAGTGAGAAATATGCGGACACCTCTGAAGCCACTAAGTAAGAGGATGGCATACTGGGACAGTGGTGTCTTAAAATCAGAGGATATAGGCTCTTGTTTACTCCACTGATTTCTAAGATTGCACTACTCTCTTCAGAGGTTAGAGTGTAACAAGCTTCTGAACATGCTGCCACTCATTTATTCAACAAGGTTTGTTGAGCACCTACTATGTGCCTGACATATTATGCACTTTTAATATACATCAGTGAAGAATACAGAAATTAAAAATTCCCTGTCTTTCTAGAGCTTACATTCCATTGATGGTAGGAAGTGGAAAGAGAGACAGGAAATAAGCAATGGACAGCAAAAGATAAGTACATTATATGATATGACATAATAACAAGTGAGGGTGCACTGAAACAATAGAACATGCTGAATGGGATCAGGAGTCATAAGTGGAGGAGGATTGCAGTTTTATAGAAGATGACATCTGACTAAAGACTTTAAAAAGGTAACAGATGTGAGCCATGTCAGGAAAGAGTGTCTCTATTAGAGGCTCCCAAGGCAAGCATGTGCCTGATATGTGGAAGCTAGAACCCTGTTCCAGCTGTAAAGGTCAGTCAAAACCAGTGGAACCCATAAGAAATATGGACTTCTCCTCTAAATTTAGATCCTTTCAGAAGGTACCATTGTAAATTAAATGGGTTGAAACCATGGTGCTTCCAAAAAATAGTGAAGACCCTTGTGCCTATGAGAGCTGAGTCTCACCACTAGCCTAGCCTTCTGGGGTAAGGAGAAAACTCTGTAATCTTTGACTTCCTTGTTTATGACAAAACACGTCTATCTGCAGGAATCTTCCCGGAGCCACCGCATCCAGGATCTGTCCTTGGTGCTGACCCTGATCTTCTTTAGCTCAAGATGATCTAGCATTGATTTCTGCATCTTCTTGCCCATTGCTGGGTTCTGCTATTACTACAGCTGGCTATACTTGGCTATTCCATGCCTTTCTTTAGGCTAGTCACCCATACTATCATCATGGTGATTGCTCCAGCCCCCCAGATTCCGGTACACCTACCCCATTCAGACTTAGTCCCTTGGCCCTGCTTGGCAAAGAGCCCAGTGTAATACTGTTAAGGATGTTAGCTGGCACAGTCACTTCTGTCATTGTTTTCTGAAAGCATCATTGCTTTTTCAACTGACCCTAAATGTGGTGAGGGTTTAGTCACCATTCCAAATCATTTATTTAGCATGAAAATTTATTAGTTAGGCCATTGTTTAGCAAATTCATCACATTATATTTTTTACTTAGCATTATCACTTAATTAGCGTTTTATTACTGGAATTGGCTGTCAATTATGTGGCTAATTCATTGTCTTAGGGAATGGATTTTTTATCTGCGTAAAGCAATTGAAAGTACATTGTTAACTCTTTAACGATTAAAGATTGTTGTCAATGGCAATTCATGTGATAAGGAAAATTAAACCATTTACTTTCCTTGAAAAATCAGATCTTGGAAAACTCTTTGGAAAAGTGTAAAGAGGGTACTTTAGAAGCTTTCATGAATTAAAAAACTTTTATTAAGTGAATGCCTTGGAATACTTGGCAAAGCTAAGCAAAGTCAGCTGGAAGATTTTGACTGGACTCCTTGGAATGAATTATTATAATATACTCTCATATGTGTATATTTAAATGTTCTTTCATCGACATTACCTCTTTTGGTTCTCACAAAAACATTGCAGAATGATATTAGGATTTGTGGTTGGCAAACTTTAAGATGGCCCCAATGATCCCTGCCTCCTATGCCACATTCTTATATAACGCCCTTCCTCATTGCAGCCAAGATCTAGTGACTGGCTTCCAATGAATAGGATATGATAAAGTGATGAGATGTCCCTTTCAAGATTTGTCTTTAAGAAGACTGTGGCTTTTATCTTGGGTGCTCTCTCTCACTCCCACTTGTCTGTTCCTTGGGAAGCTAGCTACTATATTGTAAGTTGACCTATTGGCAAGAAATCGAGGGAGATGCCCAGCCAACAGCCAGCAAGGAACTGAGTCCCATACTGCAGTAGCCCATGAAAAAATGAATCTGTCAGTATCATGTCAGTGATTATGAAATCAGTTAACTTGAATTCTCTCCCAGCTGAGTCTTCAGATGAGATCATTACCACAGCGGTCAGCTTGAGTGCAACCTCACAAAAGACCTTGAGCCAGAGATACACATCTAGGCTGCAACCAGATTTCTATCTGCAGAAACTGAGATCGTATATGTTTGTTATTTTAAGCTGCTGTGGTTGGGGGTAGTTTGTCAAGTAGCAGTGGATAACTAATACATGGCTTAACATGTGAGATGTTAATTAATTTGCCCAAAGCCTTTGACTAATAAGTAGTAGAGCCAGGATTTAACCCTGGTTCTTCTGATGCATTTCAATAGACAAGAAGATAGGAATTACAGTCCAGACCTCTCATTGCAGCTGCCAGGGATCCTCAAAGCTTTGACATCCCATAAGGGCAACTATTCAGGGACTGTTTCCCTGTAACATTGACTCCCTTATGACTTGCACACCTTTATTACTATGAGAATCACTAGGATTCTTCAGAGGCTGGCAAGCAGGCTTGAAAAACAGATCTTCTGGCTGGGCACGGTGGCTCTCGCTTGTAATCCCAGCACTTTGGGAGGCCGAGGTGGGTGGATCACAAGGTCAGGAGTTCGAGAACAGCCTGGCCAACACAGTGAAATCTTATCTCTACTAAAAATACAAAAATTAGCCGGGTGTGGTGGCAGGTGCCTGTTATCCCAGCTACTTGGGAGGCTGAGGCAGGAGAGTCGCTTGAACCCAGGTGGCAGAGGTTGCACTGAGCCAAGATCATGCCACTGCACTCTAGCCTGGGCGAAAGAGCTAGACTCCATGAAAGAAAGAAAAGAAAAGAAGGAAGGAAAGAAGGAAGGAGAGAGAAAGAGAGAGAGAAAGGAAAGAAAGAAAAAAGAGAGAGAGGAAGGGAAGGGGAGGGGAGGGAAGGGAGAAGAGAAGGAGGGAGACAGACAGACAGAAAGATCTTTACCATGTTCCCAATAAGGAATTGGGTCAAACTTACCATTCTTCTTCCCTAGGTGCTATCCTGCCCCCCCATAAAATGGTTATAACAGTAGTTCCCAAAACATGACTGGCCCCAAACTAAAGCCACTAAATCCTTATGTCTAGAATATGGAGCAAAGGAATCTATATTTAGTATGTTCTTTGAATGACTCTTGTACGGTACTAGCATTTGGAATCTACTATATAAAACAAAGTAGTTTGGCATTTCAGTGATCAGCCTCTATAATTCAGCACCTGAGGATCAGCCAGGCTGAACCTTGATGGGGACACACTGCTTTATTCATTCTTATGAGAGTGTTAGGTATCTGTTCTTTCCAGGGTTAAGGCCATCAGATTTAATTAGTTGCATTTTTTGGTTGGTTTTGAACAATACTAAGCTGTACTACTTCATTCATTCAGTAAGAGCAGAAAGAATAATGTTTGCTTTTTTAAGAGAAATTCCAGGACCTTTAAAGAACACATTGTATCTTTTAACTGGAAGCTCCCTTAGAGACCACCTAATCCCTCACTACTCAAGGTGTGGTCCATGGACCAGCATCATCAGCATCACCTGAGAGCTTGTTACAAATGCAGGCTCTCAGGCCACACTTCAGCCCACTGTATTAGAATCTGCCTATAGAAGATCTCTAGATATGTACATTACACCTTGAGAAGCATTGGTCTAATTCAGCTGCCTGGTTTTAAAATTAAGGTCCACAAAGGTGAAGGTAATTGTGCAAGATAATTTAGTGGTAACACCAGGATGAAAACTCAGGTCTTGTAACTCCCAAACTGTGTTCTTTCCATTGTCTTAATGTCCCGTTGTCTTTGTAGTTCATAATATCCACAAACTCAGCCTAAATATCCAGGGCATAGTTTGAAATGGAGAAAGGAAGCTTTTATCCACCCACAACAATGGCAAACTCTTTCAAACATCTGTTGCACATTTAAATTTCATCTTTCAGACAAGTTTAGTTATTTCATTTTCTCTTTCTTGCACATCAACAAAAGACAAAGTCACCTGTCAGGCTGAAGATTGTAAAAACCTGTCAAAATTGAGTTTTTCTAGTTTAGCTAAGTATTACTCTGCAACTATTTTGCATTCCTTAGTCTTATTATAATTTTTATGAATGAGAGATAGAAAATAGGAGCAGTCTGTATTTTCAGTGTGAGGCATTACTTAGTCTTTTCCTTCTATCACACATCTTCCCATAAGTGTGCAGGTTATGGAGTTTGGTGATATATACATAATACAAAATTCTGGGCCAGTTGTTTTCAGTGCACATACAACCCTGGAGCCAATGAGAAACTCCAAATCATGTCCAGTCCCCTGGAGCCACAGTGAAGCTGAACATTTTCACTCTGAGAGAAGAGCTTCGGATCTGAGTGTAGTTAAAATCACCAGAAGCCCATCAGGAGAAGATATGCATTTTGAGTAAATGTGGCTTATCAACCTCCCCACACTCACCAAGGCAAATGGAACTGAGGCAGGAAATAGAGATCATGATATCCTCACCAAAAGAATTAGAAGACATGACAGATGAACCTTGAAGATAAACAAACATTGTATTTATCAACAAGGTGGAGGGTGGATTTCAGAGAGCAAGGTGTACCTAACAAATGAGTGTTTCCAGAGTAGGCACTAGATTCTGGAGATACACGAGTAAACAACACAGATATGATACCTGTCTTCATGGAGCTTACAGTCCGGTGAAGGATAAGATACTAATCTCACTATTATTCAATAACTATAGTAATTCATGAAGACGATGTATGTTCAGGAATATACATATATTGTAATTCATGAAAATGATACTGTTAGGATATAACATGGGACCCTCAGATGGGGATGGAGGCAGACAGAGATGTCTTCCTTGATATCTTCATTCAGAAAAGTTAAAATACTTTTAGTGACCAGTCATCCCCTAGATTCTACTATTAACATTTTACTATATTTATTTTATTACCTATCTTCCCATCTATCCATCCTTCAATCCATCTTAATTTTTATGCATATCAAAGGAAATTTTAGACATCACTACACTTCCCTTTCCTCCCAATATTTAACTGTACACATCATTAATGCCGACTCAAGAGTCTGGTTTTTTCCTTTGAGATAAAATTTACTTGCAAAAAAACACAGAAATCTTAGGTTTTCCATTTTATGAGTTCAACAATTGCATACACTTTGCAACCCAGCCCCCTAGTAATATACAGACTTGCCAGGAAGATCCCTCATGCCCATTCCCAGCCATCCCCTGCCCCTACTCAACCCAATTGGTAACCACCATTCATTCATACCACAGATGGGTTTGTTTATTCTAGAGGAGGAATTGACTTGAGCTGAGTGCTGAAGGATGAATAGGAGTCCACGTGGCCTTGGAAGTTTGGGGGAAAAGTTATAAACACTCCAGGAGAATAGCACGTCCTGTACAGATTCTCAGGTGGGCGAGAATTCAGTGAGGAGACAGTGTGGCTGCAGCCTAGAGGGGAAAGGACAGAGAGACACAAGATGAGGCAAATGAGATTGGTGAGAGCTAGACCAATCATAGCCTTGAAGCCATATTAAATATCTTAAATCTGGAACATAGCCAAAGGACAGTGGGCATCCAATAAAAAGTTTGAGCAGGGAGGTGACATGCTCAGCTTTGGCCTTTGAAAAAGTTCTCATGCCTTATTTTGGAGAAAAGAACATGGAGAAGGAAGAGGGGATTCAAGGAGTTGTAAGGATGTTGTTTCAGCCACTATGGATAGGGAAAGAGAGGGGCAGCAGATTTGAGGATCCTGGCCATGGAGAGAAATGACTATCTCTTCTTCTGTTGTATTAACCTCTGATGTGTTGAACTTCTAACAATTATAACCTCTGATGTGTTGAGCTTCTAACAATTATAAATCAGTGCTTGATTTTCTCTTTCTATCTCCAGTTTTCAGAGATACTAGCCATAAAGGCTTTGCAGAAACTGGTTCAGAGAGATTGAGTAACTTGCCCAAAATCACACAGGCAGTAGGTGATGGTGTCAGGGTTCTCACTCAGCCCTATTCATGTCCAAAGTCTGTACGTGTTAGACCACTACCCTGTCTTCAGAGAGTATTGTGTGAGCCTCTCAGTCTTTCCTATTGGACTTGCCGTTTTCCTCAATATATCAGATTCTTCAAACACTCTAGAATTTTCAAGGCAGAAGACTGTCCGAGTTGCTGGCAGTCCCTGTCAACACAGGGCCCCACTTTGAGGATAAGTTCACCTGCCCAAGTTTTCCTTTAAGTGATGGTTTGAGAATAGGGGCAGGTGAGTCCACATGGATCTATCAATACCGGGTTTTATTTATGCTGGTAGTGGCTCTGTGAAACACAGAACTGACATGCAGAGTCGCTTTCCATTTCTTGTGCTTGCTGCCTCAATCAATCCCTTTATCTATAACTCAGATCCTTCCTCATTTAATCCCAGTCTTTCCTTCCATATAAACTCCTCTCAAATGCCACACCCTTATCACTCCCTTCATGCTTGCAAGAATATTAAAACTGTGTGATTTACCTTTCTTTATTATTTATGCTTTGAGTAACTTACTGACCAAGACATGTTCTTCTAAGTTCTTTTGCATATGCTATTTATCTTAACAAGCCATAGTCACATGCAGAACTTCTTACTGAAAGCATGAAGTAACTTTCCAATAATATTAATCTTTCTAACACTAAGCCACCTTACAGTTTCATCTACTTTAATATACTTCATTCTCTTCTGAAAAATAATACACTCTCTGGGAATCCATTCTTTGCCAACCAATATTTGTACTCTACTTTATCATCAGTTTATAAAATTCTTTAGGCGTATATTTCAATGTCTATTTATGGGTTATTCTTCTACCGGTCAAAGTTCAGCATTTTTTAAGGCCATTATTTTCAACAACAAGTGTCTCTGAAAGTATAAATGGATGGTGAATATGCAAGAATTAAATAATCAACCTACATGTTACCAAAAAGGGCTTATATTTCCAGTGAGTTAAAAGACTTAAAAAGTCCATAATTATATCCCTTCTTCTTTGTGGTGCAACAAAATACTTCCAGGATTCCATGCACGCCCCTCAGCTTTATTCCCTCACTTCCTAGTTTGATCACTAAGTGGTTAAGGCCAGCCACAGAGAATCCCTATCACTACTAAACATCTGTTGCTCTGGCAAACTCAACGACCTTTCATTTTTTTTCCAAATGTATTGTTTATACAACCTATGCTGTGGAACACTGGTATCAGCATTTTTGCTGCCTCTTTCCTCACTGATTTTGATAGAATTTTGACAAAAAGAAAAAAATTATTTTGAAAGTTTTTTAAAAAATAGTGAAACCCTTTTTTGAACAAAATTATACCTAGATGTTTATTTTCTAAAACAGATAAAAAGCCATTTATATCTGGTTGGAGAAGAGGTAAGGGAAAACTCACATGCTTGCCAGGATACACACACTCCCCACACACATGACATGCACAAAACCCTTTATTGTGGCCCAGTTCACTCCAGACACATAGAAGAATCTCTGAACAGAGGTCTCCTTTCCTAACTCTGCCTCAGCTCTTAGGGAACTAAGTCCATAGACTGATGCTTTGCTTATTGCTTCCTCTCTAGACCAGATGGGTGAAACTTTCCACTTGATTTACTCAAAATGAAAATAATAACCGCTAGTCACTGGAACAAGTCAAGATTGATGGCCCTTGTAGATCACAAGAGCAAGGCCGTCAAAGGAATGACACCCTCTAAAATTGAACAGTGCACAGCATGTATGACCAGCCACATATTGTGGTCCTGTGGAAGCCTGGATTAAAGGAGCATCAGGAAAGATGGGATCCCAGTTTGTCGATCCCTAGCGGAGTTTGGCATTTCACTGAGAGACAATTCTTTTCATTATTGCTGCAGTCTCCCAGAATCTAGTAACCAGGTCTTAGTGTAGAAAGAAGAAACTCAGCGCTAGTGTTCCATTGCATGAGAGGTCCTTGTGATGTAACCATTTCTGCATCTTGACTGTGATGGTGGTCACACAGGTCTACACATGGGATAAAATTGCATAAATTAAACATACACACAAGCGCATGTAAAACTAATGAAATCTGAATAAGATCAGTAACATATATGTCAATTTTCTGGTTATAATATTGTACTATAGTTACACAAGTGTTAACATTGGGGAAAACTGGGTGAAGGGTATTTAAGACCCGTTTATGTTATTTCTTACGATTGCATGTGAATCTGTAATGATCTCAAAATATGACTTCTTTTTTAAAAAGCTAGCACCCAGGTGATGGGCTGGTGTTTACCAGCTGACCCTGACCACGTCCATCAGAGTCTTGAGATGTGTCTCAGGGCTTCTCTGGTCATTAATCATTCTCCAGTCTAAGCCTGGGCTAAAAATGTTCTGTCAGTCTCTAACAACTGTGAAGTGGCTTATTTGTGTCTTTTTTCCTTAATCATTTTTTGGCAGAGGTTTGTCTAATTTGTTGGTGTTTTCAAAGGAAAGAGCCAGCTTTTGCTGTTTTTTTTCAGCTCCTCTGCTGTATCTTTAACTTGTGTTATGTTCCATGTCTGTTCTTATATACATATTTACTTTCTTTCTATTTTCAATGACTATGTTTTTTTATCTCAAGAAGTTGAATGTATATTTTTCAAACCCACCTATCCTTTTTCTGTCATGTGTGCATTATTGCAATGGTTCATATTCCTTCTTTTTTCTCTTTAATCAATCTAAATGTATTTACTTAATAGTCTCTTTGATTGTTTTATTATTTTCAATTCTTGAGAGGTGTATTTTTCTGTGTATGATGACTTCTGACTCTCTCCTATGGGGATAAGATTCCTTACAAGGCTCTTGTCATTCTTTATAATTTATTTTTTACTATGAGTTCGTCTTTAGTGGAGGCAGTTTTGTTCTGTGGGAATTAATGTGCCTTGGATTATGAAAATACCTCTACAGGATGATTTCTCATTTGCTTGTCAGGACAGTGTAGTTTTCAGTGGTATTACACAGTTTTTTTAATGTTGATTTCTATGTTGGCAGGTGCTTCTATCAAACAAGTAACAAAATTTGGATGCCAGATGCACTTGTACTAGAAGTCAGGGTTTTCTTTTGTTTTGTTTTTTTATCTCTATTTGAATCCTGTTCATTCTTCTTGTTATGCTAGTAGTTGATGCCTTAAACACACACACGCACACATGCACACCTCTACAGTACCCTGTACAGTACATACACATTCGCTTAAAATTGTGTTCTTCAATTAAGAGTGTCAGGATTGAAATAGTACACATTGAATATCCATTATGAAAGGTGAAGAAGATAATATACTTTTATTCCTAGTGATGTATCAGTCACCCACTTCCTGGTTTTTGTTAATACAATTGGAAATTTTAGCCAAGAATTTTTATATTAGATTTTTAAATCTGATTTCTCTTTAAGCATTACCTCTTATAGTTCATTCTGTTTTGATTCACATTTATTGTGATTTTTACACTCATATCTGTGTTTACCAAATCAACTTTTTTTATAACAAGACTTCTTCCATTCTTGTGGATGTTTTTTTCTCTATTTCTGGACTCACATCCTTGACTAGCTTTATCAGCTACCCAACCCTCTGGAAAAGAATCAGAGCCAACATAACTTCTTATTCTTTATGTGTCAGGGAATGCCTTTCTGTAGCTTCGCAAATGAAAAACTATTTACTGTATAATTTTTTAGCCACATCATTTTTACTTGAAAAATTTTGTTTCATTGTTTTCTGGAATTTAAATTTGGGCAAGAAAATGTATGAGTAACGTAGTTTCTGATTTTTTATACATAGCCATTTTCCAGCCTAGATGTTTATCTGAGTATTTCTACATCAATAATATTTAAACAATTGTATCAGAATATAGGCTCTATTTTTAAGTTGTAGGTGGAGAACTCTTTACACGTGAAGATTTAAGTTTTTATTTTGCCAATGAGTTGTTTTAATATTGTGTCCTGATAAGAAAGGACACATAATGTGCTTCTGTTCCATTTATTCTGTTCTTCTGTAACAGCAATTATGTCTTTTATATGTTTGTTTTCTTTTCTCTAAAAATGTCTTTTTGTTCCCTTCACACATGAACACACATGAGCAGATGATATATACAAAGGAAATATACATTGTATTGTTCTGCTTTCCTTGCGTTTTAATTTCCAAGTTTTTCAAATTAATTCTCCACAAGCCTGTTGCTTATTCTCATTACAGATTCCAGTGCCCATTTTAATTCTGGTATTGCATTTTGGTTTCTTTACAATTGTTTCTTACCTCACCCAGTAAATATTTTTTCTAGCTACTTCTTAACTTGATCTATTTTGGGAAAAGTCTGTTGTCTTAGTCTTATTATTTCACCTTTAATTTCCTTTATTCTTCTATCTTTTCTCGCATTTCGTTTTCAATAAACTTCAAGGAACCTAAAATGCACTTCTACTTTCTGTTGTTTAGATTAAGATACCAGTAACAGAAAAAAAATGAATAAAAATGGCTTAAGCAGCAAGTTAATGTATTATCTTCTAGAACAGGAAGTCAAGTGTTAGAGTTGGTTGAATGAGATGCCCATGAATGTCATTGAGGACCCACATTCTTTCAAGCTCTCCTCTTCATCCTCTTATCTTGGCATGAGGGCAACCTCAGCCCAGCTCCCCTCATGGATGCAAGATTGTTTCAGCAGTTCCAGGCATCACACACAGACATGGTACTGTCTGGTGGCAGAGACGGGCCACTGGATTGTCCTTCTTAGAGATAAGAGAACCTTTCCTAGAAGCCTTCTAATGGAACTTCCCTCCCATATCATATAAAAGATTTTTATTTAACTTGCAAAAGGTATCGGAACACCTTGATGGCGTAGGGACATCAGAATTTGTCCCTTGTTTTGGGAGTAGGGTCATTCCCTGCCCCCGCCCCCACCAAGTCATACGGTGAACTTAGCCAGAAAATAACAAGACAGGGGATGGCTCTTGGGTCAACAGTCAATACTGACTGTTGTGTGTGTGTGTGTGTGTGTGTGTGTGTGTGTGTGTGTGTGTGTGTGTTTGAAAATTGTACTTTTCACGGTATCCAGGCTATCACTTTCCTTACTGTTAACATGGTGGATTTTCTTCTAAGACCTCATATTATCTTGTTTCTGTTTATTTAACTTTAAAGGAAGAGAAGTCTCTCCAGACCTGTTGCTTGCCAGTAAATAGAGGAGGTAGATCCTCATCGTTGCCTCACTGTCCAACTAGTTATTGTTGGAATCCTTTTATTCCATACCATCCTGGCATGTGTGATGCTGCTATAATTCATCAATATTCCTCCCAAATTCTGGCAGTGGTTTAAGCAAGAGGAGCAATGGATGTTTATAGCCCCCATCCCTACATAGAGTGTCTAACACCATCCTTCCATCTGGTGTGAGTGCTGTGAAAGAAGGAATTCATACTCTCCCCCACAAGCAGGAGGATTGATCTCTTTATCAGAAACAGTAAATGAATCCTAGAAGCATTTTCCCATGACTGTTCCCATCACAATTGCTTCCTAACACTGAATCTGCGTCTCGGAAACAAAGATACCATCTTTTGTCTTTACCATGTCAAAGACCCCAGTGATGGAGGTTTAGGAGGAGAAAGAGCTTGGAAATGCCCCAACCCTGCTATATGGTTGATACAGTCTTTGATTCTCTGAGCTCAGGAATTAAAATGAGAAAATTGGAAGCATTTCTTTTCTGTTCTTCAGGCCATTGGGTTTGCTTTATCCCAAGTAACAAAGTCTATCAAAGTCAATTGTATCATGTTTGTTTCAGCTCCATAGAAAATGGCACAGTGGAGTGGCATTCTATTACTATTAGTTCTACAAGTTCAACCCTACTATGTGTTTGGTCAGACATAAGAAAGATGGGAAAAGGTAAATCCATCTGTTGTTACATTGAGTAAGAGGATGTGAATCTACTGTTCCTCAGGGGTCACAAATCTCATACACCTATGCTAGTGCAAGTCTAGAATTCAGAAACACAGAACAGAGCATTCTTACAACATGACTCCTAAGCACAAGCCAACTGCTTCATCTTATGCTTCAACAAGGAAATGTAATCACTTCCAGCGTTGGAGGGGAAACTACCTGTGGTTGAATCAATTGAGAGATTATGTTGAATCAATTGAGAGAGGGATTTTCGAGAAATTTTTAGCAGTTGAAATATATATCTTCCTGCACATGGGATGTGTGCTGCTGCAATAATAAACAAGTTTTCTTCCCAGATTCTGGCAATAGGTTAGTGGATAGACTTAGATTTCAGAGCTGTTACAAGTTTATTATCTTGAGCCTTTTCTAGTATTTTGTGAGGGAGAAGAGGGGAGGCACTGACTGCCAGCCAGGTTCCACCTTGAGATTTCTTCCAGTGGAATCACATTTAACCCTTGCAACAACCTTCTCAGAAGAAGATGATGATGATCAATCATGATCATTGTCATCACCATCAGCAATTACAAATAAAGACCTTAGGCTCAAAGTATGGTTACCCTTGAACAACATGGGTTTGAACTGCACAGCTCTACTTAATATATGAATTTTCTTCTGACTCTGTCACTCCTGAGACAGCAAGACCAACCTTTCTTCTTCCTCCTCCTCCTCCTCCTCCTCCTCAGTCTACTCAATGTGTAGACAATGAGGATGAAGAACTGTATGATGATCCACTTCCACTTAATAAATAGTAAATATATTTTCTCTTCCTTATGATTTTCTCAATAACATTTTCTTTTCTCTAGCTTACTTTACTGTAGGAATACAATATATAACACATATAACATACAACATGTGTGTTAATCAGCTGTTTATGTTATCAATAAGGCTTCTGCTCAACAGTAGGCTATTAGTAGTTAAGTTTTGAGGGCGTCATAAGTTATACATGGATTTTCAACTCCACAGAGGGTTGGTTCCCCTAACCTCCATGTTATTCAAGGGTCAGCTGTAACTTATTTGAGGTCCTATAGCTAGAAATCTGTGAAGATCACATTTGAATCCAATGTTTTATCTTCAGAGTGAGTCTGTGCTTTGACTCTGATACCTGCTGTTGCCACAGTCCCCACAGTGTTGGTTCCAGTTGCATCCCCACTCTGTGCAGGTGACCCAGCCTCCTCTTCACCTCAAAACTTCTCTCCTCTTCCAGACTCTCTCCTCTCAATGAGCAGTCGCTAGCTACTTACACATCACTCTTCATACTCTCCTGCCCTAAAGAGCACATGGAGCTAGGATGAATAGTGATAGAAGAAATACATTGATACTGGTAAGGAACTACAGGAATTTGATTAGCTAGTTAAGAAATTTTGTCTTGACTCCCTGAAGACTTTTGCTAAGAAAAATGACTTGATCAAAGCTCTGTAAAGGGAACTGTGAAAGAAGGAAGGGCCATCAGGAAACTGATGGAGTAGTCCTGTCATGAAGACCTGAATGAGGGCAATAGCAGCAGGAATGGAGTAAAATAGATGGCTTTGGGGTGTGTCATAAAGGAAAGCAGAGAGGAGACAAGGAAAGGCGAAAGAAGCCCTAAATGACTCCCTAGATGCCATCTCTAGTGTGTGGATTCTCATATGTCCAATATGACATTATGCACAAATTCATCAGAACAAATACTGGTTTTTACTGCTTCCTGGATACCAGACACTGTACTGAGCACTCAGCATGCACTATCTCTTTGAATCCTTACAACATGTGTTTTCTCTGTATTATAGATAAAGAAACTGAGATGCAGAAAGATTTGTCACTTGGCCAAGGAATGATCCAAACCCCATTCTATCTGATTCTGGGACCCAGACTCAACATTTCTCAGGGTGCAGATTGAGTTCCCCTCATGCAACATGAACAGACCCCCCTTTTTTTTTTTTCTAAGATGGAGTCTTGCTCTGTCACCCCTGGCTGGAGTGCAATGGCACCATCTTGGCTCACTGCAACTTCCACCTCCCTGGTTCAAGTAATTCCCCTGCCTCAGCCTCCCAAGTAGCTGGGATTACAGGTGCACAGCACCACACCTGGCTAATTTTTTTGTACTTTTAGTAGAGATGGGGTTTCACCATGTTGGCTAGACTGATCTCGAAACTCCTGACCTAGACAATCCGCCCACCTAGGCCTCCCAAATTGCTGGGATTACAGGCATGAACCACCGCACCTGGCCCCGACTTCTTCTCAAATAGTTATGTAAACATTTTAGTGAGCACTAAAACAAAATTAGCACATCACATTCATGATTTTATGTTGCACTATCATTCATAATGAGGCAAAGTTAAAAAAAATAGTTGAGAGTTTATCTGAAGAAAAGTTTTGAAGATGTAATTGTGTAGATCTGCATTGTTCAATACAGTAGCCACTGGCCACCTGTGGCTATTTAAATTGAAATAAATCAAAATTAAATTAAACATTCATTTCCTCAGCACCAGTAGGCACATTTCAAAGTGCTCAATAGCCACAGATGGCCAGTGACTACCATATTGAACAGTGCAAATATAGAACATTGGTGTCAATGTGTAAGGTTCTTTTGGATAGTGCTGGGTGAGAGCTGTTTTACACTGGATCAGTGTCTTTTTATTTAGCATTTACTCCAGCTCTAAATTACCTCTCTTTAGAACTTGATCTGGCTCTGGATAAGTCTGTGTGCACCTGCATTGTCCCATACATTAGCCTACCATTTACCAGTGTCTGTTGAATCCTGGAAATATGGCCAGTCTGAATTGAAATGTGCTGTAAGTGTAAAATACACGTTGGATTTCAAAGCTTTTGTGTGAATAAAGAATGTAAAAATATAGCATTAATAATTTTTGTGATTATATGTTGAAATATTATTTCAGACATATGGGGTTAGGTAAAATGTATTATTGAAATTACTTTCATGTGTTCTTTTTCGCCTTATTTAATGTTGCCACAAGACCATCTTAAATTACATACATGGCTTGCAATATATTTCCACTGGCCAGTGCTATTCTAGACCTCTTTGCCCCACTGTGTGACTCTAGAACTCTCTTTCTTTCCCTATCTCTTTCTGTATATCTGCACTGCCCAATATAGTAGACATAAGCCACCTGTAAATATTTCTATTTGAATTAATTAAAATTAAACAAAATTTAAAATTCAGCTCCTCTGTCTCATCAGCCACATTTCAGACGCTCAGTAGCCACATGTGATTAGTGGCCACCAAATTGCAGAGCATAGATGTAGAACACTTCCATTGTTGTGGAAAGTTCTATTGGACAGCTGTCACATAGATGGTACACAACTATGGCAAGAGACACAGAGGTGGATCATGAATGCCTAATGCTTGGAGAATGTTTCCAGATTGCCAAACCCCATGGCACATCCTTCTTCCATCTCTTAGGGGCCTGTCTCTTCCTATCTTAGGCTTATTCACGCACACCTTATATTTTCTTCTCCCCTCCTTCAAGGGCTGTGGCCTGCTTATTTCTCCCTGAACATACCTCCCTGCTGTATGAACACAATATCTAACGTGCATTGTACAGTATAGGTACTCATTAAATATTTCTTAACCAGTTGGAGTGGCAATTCCCAGTAAGTGATGGAAATATGTGACTAAAGGTAGAGGGAGATCTATATGGCTGGTAGCAGTGGGGCAGGGGATAAGGGTGGGCAGCAGCGGTGATGAATCTAGGATCCCAAGGAAGAGGAGGAGAGAGCAGGAAGACAGCAAAGAGGAAATCAGTGAGACAGTAACCCAAAATCTCATACACAGCACCAAAATCCTTCTGCCCATCCCACAAGCTCCTCGCGGGCAGTAACAAGAGTTACTGCAGGGGAATTCACAGGGTTAGGTAACAGCTATATAAAAAGTGTGAAAGAAATCCAAAATATTATTGCACGATAAATAAACATACCAAACCCATAAATCAGAAGAAGGCATGAGAATTAAGGGGCTGGTGAGGAGAAAAAATGAAAAATCCTCTGTCCCTGGGCCAGCTGGTGTGAGTTACATTTTATGAGCAGCGTGTGAATTCCAGTGCCCTTGTTGAATTAGCAGCAGAATCGCACATTAGTTTTAAGGCTCCCTCTTGAACAGGAACATCATAACGTCTTTTAATTGGGCCTGATAAAAACGTAGCATTACTTGTAGGTTCCTGAGAGAAGTGAGTTGTGAAATTGGGTTTTCATTAAACCTAACGATGGAAAATTAAGTATAGTGCGTCTGGTGAAATGGAGTGTGATAAAAGACATCACTTCTGCATTATCAGAGGTTAATAAGGGAATAGGTGAGGTAAGATACTTTGGAAAGGGGAGTCTAACCCGTTGGATTAATAAACCTTGAAAATCCCTTGGTTCTGAGTCTTCATAGCATCATTAGCACTGGCATTGACATTATTGCAAATGTTACAGCAATACAAGTTGTTAAATTTCAATGCATTTATTTTCCATTCCAGTGTTGGTTTTGCTGACACCAAGTTTACAGTCTGTCTAGCAATGTGTTTAGGGAAAATATCCATATTGACAGCTATTTGGTTTTGGAAACATTTGACATTTCTCACACACATAAAAAGCCAAGTTCCCATTCCTAGGAAGCCTGTCTTTCCCAGGCAGCTGGTCTCCCATGCAGCCCATGCCCCAAGTTCCTCTGGGAGACTGTGGGTCTCTGAAGACAACTGTCCCCATGTTTGATGGTAGCTTTGGTGGGAAATACTCACAGGCCTCCTAGCATTGACTCAGCTCATCCTTTCATAGAAATCATAGAGTATGGCATGACTCCAAGCTTTAGGTATGCAGCATCCATACCTCTGTGGCTCTTGCCATAGCTTTGTACCATCTCTAGATGAATCAAACACAAGTGCTCCCTTCCTCTCCATTTCCAATCACACCATCACAGGAGTGATATTCGCTGGAAGGATGCCTTCGATGAGAGCTATTCATGACAGCTGGGACACCTACAAGAAACAGTGTGAGTCTTTAAAGAAGGAGATTCCTCCTAAAACCCTTCAGCAGGTTCACACTGGCTTCAAGGGTCTTGCACATTCACAGTCTCTGGATCTGCCTTGCACCATCTGTTACAGTGTTGCCCTCCCCTGACATTTCTACCCACAGCTTTTACTCCTTATCAACCTCCTTGTTCTTAACTACATGTGCCTTCATCTCTCAGGCTCTGTCCTTTTTCTTCAGTTGATTCTTCTCGTCTATTTCCTTGCTAGACAGTCAAGCCTTGAGGGTGGAATCAGTATTTCTGTCTGCATTGCCACTGCCTACCATAGTCCTTGGCACAGAGTGGGTTCTCAGTAAGTCGAACTCATGAAACCAAGGGGTTGATGGAGAAAGGGAACACCCCCATGTTTGCCAAGTGGTACATTTAAGCAATGCCAGTGAACATGTACTAGCTATTACCTAAAATCCCGGGAGAAAAAGTAAGCAGTATTTCTCTGTGCAGTCAGGAAGGTTTTGCTAACGACTTGCCTAGGCCCTTCTTTCTTGTGCATAAATCTAAATCTTAGAAATCTTTCTGTAAGCAGTCCAGGGGTTATTTGGCTGGTCCCCAAAGGACAGTCTCTCCTTTGGAGATGTTTACCTACCACCCTGAATTAGGAAGTTTTAGAGACCACACTCTGCCTACGATGACCCCACCTACTAATTAGGTACGACCCCATCAGTGTCTCAAAGTCAGACCAGTCAGATTAGTAGCCTCTCCTCCCTTGGTAGGTGGAGGCAGGCAGAAGGCTGCAAAGTGAAAAATTTATCCCCTACTCCAACCACAGATATAAGTGAAAGCATTAGGGTGACCAACCATTCCTGTGTGCCCATGACTGAGAGGTTTCCCAACAGCTGTACTTTCAATGTTAAAACTGGAAAATTGTCAGTCAAACTGGGACAAGTTGGTCACCTAGAAAGCAGGAAGGTCAGGTGTTCCCTTCCATTATCTTTCCTTGCCAGGAACAGGCTTGCCGATGCTGCTGCCGAGAAGTAGAGTGTGCATTCACACACAGGATCCATGTCTGATGGAGTATTCCAACATGACAGGCAAATAAGCTGAAGGGCACATGGATTTTGAAAAGACAAGTTGCAGAAAATTGGGAATATATGCTAAACCTCCCAGGGAATGAGTATGGCATAGGCCGAGTGGGTACCTGCATAGGTGTTTTGCAGGGTCTGAAAACATCTGGGGGAGACACATTAACTGCTGCAGCTGGCAGTTCTCATCTCTTGCATGCCACAAACAAGATGGTCTGGGGCATAGACTGTCCATGTCTTTGGAAGGAGGTTGGGAAGACCAAGCCTAGATGGTTCTGGGAAAGGTAAACTGGCCCTGAGAGATCAAGAATGTATGCCTGGCAGGGAGGTGGTAAGCAAGAAATTGGTTCTAGTCGTCCAAGGGGAACAGAAGAATTCAAACCCAATCTGACCAGGCATCAGTTTTCAGGGTGACCAAACTGACAGAAGGCAGTTAAAGCAACTCATTGGATGAAAAGGTTTTTATCAAGAGAGAATATAGATCCTACATCAGGGAGAGATTTTATGAAGGCGATGAGACATAGCATCCAGGCCCGGGGAAAGTAGCTAGCAGCACTGAAGGAAGAGGCCCAGGCTTCCCTATCTGCAAAGTGGGTTCAGTGATGCCACTGGATTAATAGTATTAAGTGATGGGGAAACTATACAATAGCAAGAAGGTGGTCACTGTGGCAGAGCTCATAACTAGAGAGAGCAGCTGGGAGGGTCAGGGTCCCTGCTAGCTTCTGGCAGTCCAAGACTAGCCCCAATTCTTCCCAGGGTAAAACTCAAAGGAAAAAAAAATAGTAGAGAAGCCAGGTCACAGCCATGCAGGCAAATAGACCAGAATTATACATGTGACTCCAATCTTCGAGTACCTGAGGCCACCTGAGGCTCTCCTCCCCTGCAGACAGGCATCAGGCACTATTTCCAGCCTCTCTGCTTCCGAAACAGGAGGGGGCTCCCAATAAATAGCCTGCCTAGCTTCTTAGTGGTTCTGCCCAACAAAGTCTAAACGAAGGACTGAGACAGACGGGGATGATGAACAACCTGGAACTTTATCAGTCTGTGCCCTTGAAATGTGTTGTGGTCATTGGTTTGCTTGTGGGTTTGATACTTAGATCTACCAACACAGCCAGGCCAGGGAAGGAGTGTATCTCCAATCCTTTTGCAGTTTCCCTATCAGTTGAGTCCCAAGTTGGTTCCCTCTGCCCTCCTCAGGCCAAGCTGGGGGAGACAGGGAGGACAAAGGGCAAAGCTTCTATAGGTGATGATCTGTTCTGCCTCCTTCTTTTCGAAGCAGATGGCAGCCGCGGGGAGCTTTCCCAGCCCACCCTCACGATCCAGACTCATCCCTACCGCACCTGTGACCCTGTGGAGATGAGCTACCCCCGGGACCAGTTCCAACCCGCCATCCGGGTGGCTGACTTGCTGCAGCACATCACGCAGATGAAGAGAGGCCAGGGCTACGGGTTCAAGGAGGAATACGAGGTAAGAGACCAGCCTGTGGGGAAACTTCCTGATAGTTTCAGAGGCTTATTTGGGCACTAAAGCCTTGCTACAAAAAGTATGGCTCCCTGGCCAGCAGCCTCAGTATCACCTGGGAGCGTGTAGGAAATGCAACATCTCAGGCCCCATCCCTCCCTACTGAATCAGAACCTGCATTTTAACCAGAAACTAGGTGATTTGTATACACATTAAATTTGAGAAGCACCATGCTAAATAATTCTAAGACATCCTTTTTCACTCTTGTTTCTCTCCCCTTCCCCTTTCATTATCCAAAGTTTCATTACCTCCAACGTTTCTGCACTTTGGAGTCTCACCTCCATTCACTATGCCAGAATGGCTCAAGCTCCCATCCCACATGCTGTAGAAAAGCCAGCACATCTCCCCTGCCAATGATTTCCAGCATGCATGCTTGCCCTTGGTCACCTCTTGTCTCATACTCAAGCTTCTGTGGTATTCTGGTCCCCGCTCCCATCCCCCGAAGGCAATGCTTCATCTCCAGTGACCACAGTTCCCTCTTTCTGCACCATCTCTTCACCCTGCACTGGGCATCCCTTTCCCATCTCCCCAAAGCATCCCTAACACAAAGGATTTGCAGGTAGTGGTTGTTACCGAGGTTTGGGGAATAATAGAGAAGGACTGCAGTAAAGGACAGGCAGCAGCTCAATACAACGTTGTTCTTCTTATAAGTTCCTTAACCATCTACATTGCTGGTAAGGCCTTCTAAGGTTCTGGTCTCCTGACAGGTCTCTATCTAATTTCTCCTCAAAGTCTTCTTTACTGTCTTCAAAACTTCCTCCACCCCCACCCCTCAGCATCCAGACAAAGGGCACCACGTTCCTCTTTTATTTTGCAGAACAATTTAGCTTTCTTTATCTCACTCTTTTTGTTTCAAATCCTGCCCATTAGGCCTCACGTTTTACAAACAAAAAGCAAAATAAAATAAAAGGAAAATGCATTAAGACGTTTTTCTGAACCAAAGAGCAGCTCACTCTCCAAGAATAATTCTGCAACTCTCCTGGTTGCAGTTAGACTCCAGCTGCAGCCAGCTTTGAAAACAAGAATTTCTTTCTTCACTTTTCCTTTCCTGTCTCTCCCTTCCCTCCTTCTTTCCTAAAATATCTTTTGAGTATCTTCTGTGTACCATGGTCTGAGTTATATGTATTTGTGGTTTTTTTGTTGTTTGTTCTTTTTTTTTTCTTCACATGCAGCGTGTGCCCCAGCTATGCTTGATTCAGTTTTGCTGTGTGCAGTAGAAAACTCATTGGCTCAGACTCCACACATTTGGAATTCTTAATATTGCAGACTAAGTTTATCCCTCAGACTATATTCTGAGAAAGAGCTTACAAAGCAATATTTCTGAAGTCGTATGAGGTCATGAAATTGTGCTAAACTGGGGGTGCAGACAGCTGGATTCCAATGTAGTAAGCTGTTTGATTTTAGAATTTTGCTATCTGAGTTTTAAAATTCTTTATTAGTCGAATGAAGAATTTGGATAAGGTGATCTCTCAGGACCTATCTGGTCCTAAAACTTTATGAGAGTGTAAAACATGGTGACAAGGGGCATGTTTGACATATTTATAAGAACAAAAATGTTTATGTCAATGGATGTAAGTAATTACAAGCTTGGGAGAGCTAGCACTTAATTTCAAAAACGGTCTAAGTAAAATAGCACTTTTCATATTCTCATCTACAAATCTTGAAAGGATATTCGAATTAGAGTTGAAGAAGATGATCTCATCACTACCCATCCCTGGATCTCATTTCCTAGGGGGTTGAATGGTCCCAGTCTCTGGGACATAGGGTGCATGTGAGCATGCTTTCTGTGTGTGTATGCAGACCTGCTTGTTGAACAAATGTCAGGAAGATTATGTTATTTGGTACCCTAAAACTTAAAGTATAATAATAATTAAAAAAAGAAAATATTTTCAAGCCATATATCCAAGAAAAAAAAAACAAGATTCTATAGACAGCATGGCCTTCAGAGGATGGGTTATATTTTAATAATTAGCAAGAAAGTGAGGAAGGCAACATAGGATTGGGAAAACAGCCTCCAGGTGGCATATCTCCCAAAAGAAACTGGAAGTATGGGAGGTGGATAATAAATAGCTGTTTGGGTGAAAAAAAAAAAAGAAAGAAAGGAAATGGTATATTCAACATTAGTCATAACAATTTGATTAAAAATTTCAAATATCATTAAGGGAGATATGTGGCTTACCAAAAAAAAAAAAAGGGACAAGTAGCCAAATGCTGAGAAACACATATGTAAGAACTTGCAATCTGAAATTTGAAGACAGAATTACAAGTGTATTTGACTACTTTCATGCATTTCGTTCTAGATTAATATTTCTTTTAAAGCATTCATCCCTGTGTGGTGAGTTGCTTTTCAAACTTTCTTCGTTGTACCCTTTTGTATTTTCCAAACTTTCTAGCATGGAAATGAACAGCTTTTATAATGAGAAAACAAACAATACATGTTATTTCATCATTTGAATCTCAACCAGAAATCTAACTAGGCTAGCCTTGGCCTCAATTAGTCCAAATTATATTAATCAGCAAGCTGTAAAGCTTAGCTTCTAGTTAACATTATTTTCTGATTAACTGAGGGTTAATTGGAAAATATTGCCTGATAAAAGTCATTTCACAATGTGCTAGCCCGCAATGTCCAGCCCAGAATACAGCTGGATTGCTTTGATCATCAAGGCTCCTGTGATATCTCGGTAATCCTCCTGAGCATAGGAGTCACAGATCTGCTAGGAGAATCATTGTCCTATTGCAGATAAAAGACTCCTGAGCCTCCAGTGCTACTCTCATACCAACCTGCTCTGTGCTGTTTGTTGCCTGTCACTTCTCTGCTCTGTTCAGTGTTTTCATACACATGAGTGGGTTTGACAAGTTGACATCTAAGGGACATCTCAGCCATAGCAAGCTGCATCAGAAGACAAAATTCAATTCAGTTGAATAATCACTTAAAATTTGTTCAGTAAATATGTACTATTTACTATTCCCAGGGACAATTCTAGGTATTTAGGATACAACAGTGAATGAAACAAAGATTCTTGCCCTTCTGAAGCTTGTATTCTAGAAAGGGAAATAGGAAATAAACATAAGCTTAAAAAAATAAGCAAATTATATAATGTAGTGTGTTAGACAGTGAGAAATACTGTTTGCTATGTTACAAACCACTCCAAATTTTAACAACATGAAACAACCAATCTCTTGCATTCATTGATTCTGTGGAATCTGTGCAGGGTACAACAGGGACAACCTGTTTCTTCTACACAGTGTTCAGAGCCTTGGCTAGGAAGTCTCCAAGGCTGGGGGCTGGAATCATCTGAACATGTCTTCACTCACATGTCTAGTGACTGATGCAGGCTTTCAGCTGGGATTGTCCACTGGAAGACCTACACATGGCCTCTTCAGTGGCCTGGGCTTCTTCACAGTGTAGTAGCCTTGGGATAGGTGGACGATTTCCATGGTGGCTCAGAACTCCATAGGTGAGCTCCCCAGATAACAAGGTGAAAAGTGCATCACCGTTGTGGCCCAAACTTGGGTATCACACTGCATTATTCCTACCATGTACTATTGGTTGTAAGCAGGTAAAAACTCCCCACTTTCTAGGAGAGGGGAATTTGACTCTATCCCTTGATGAGGAGGAGGGGCAGTTGCCAGATTCTAGAGGAGCATGCAGAGCAAGAAATATTGGGGGGGGAAGAAAATCCCAGCACTTTGAAAGGCTGAGGTGGGTGGATTGCCTGAGGTCAGGAGTTCAAGACCAGCCTGGCCGACATGGTGAAACCCCTTCTCTACTACAAATACAAAAATTAGCCAGGCGTGATGGTGGGTGCCTGTAACCCTAGGTACTCTGGAGGCTGAGGCAGGAGAATCACTTGAACCCAGGAGGCACAGGTTGCAGTGAGCTGAGATCGTGCCAGTATACTCCAGCCTGTGGGACAGAGTGAGACTCCATCTCCAAAAAAAAAAAAAGAAAAAGAAAATCTTTGGATAATAATACAGTCTGCCACAAGTACCATGGAAAAAGAAAGAATAGAGCAAGGAAGGGAGATTTGTTCCAGGGACATGAAGTAGAGGAGGTTCCAATAGTAAAAAGGATAAAAGGATAGTCCTTAATTAGATGACGAAACTTGGAATATAGACATGGTGGAAGATATCTGGAGGAAGAGAGTTCCAGATCCAGAGAGTAATATATCTGGCATGTACAAGCAGTTGCAAAGAGGCCAGGGTGGCAGAGGAAGAGTGAGCAAGGGATAAGAGTAATAGGAGATTCGACTGGAGAAATAAAGAGGGACCTGACCATGCTATGCATTACAAGCCGTTATAAGGACTTTGGCTTTTACTCTGACTAAAATGGAAAGCCACCTCAGAGCTTTGAGAAGACAAGTGCTAATGATCTGACCTTACTTCCTTCTAGCTACTGTGTTGAGAATGGAACTTAGGAAGGCAAGGGTGAAAGCAAGTTAAGAGGACATTGCAGTAACCCAGGTGACAGACAACGATGACTCAGGGCATGGCAGAGGAGGTGGTGAGATGTGGTTGGATTCTGAATATATTTAAAAGATGGAGCCAACAGCATTTCCTAACACATGGTGTATGTTACAAAAGGAATTAAGGGTAACTCCAAGGCTGTTGTTTGTGCCACTGGTAGGATGGAGCTGCCTCTAATGGAAATGGGGATGCTCAAGTAAAGCAGAGCTGGAACAATCAGTAGTTTCATGTTAAATTGAGTTTGCAATGTCCATTAGACATATTAGTGTCTCCATGTGGTGGCAAGAAGGTAGTTGGATCTATGAAGTTGGAATTTGATAAAGAAGCCTGGGCTGGAGAGAAAGCTTTGGGAGTTATTGGCCTATAGATGATTAAAGCCACAAGACTGGGTGAGGTCACCAAGCAAGTGAGTATAGACAGAGACAAGGACCTAGGACCAGGCCTTTCAGAATTTCAACTTTAAGATATGGGAGCATTTTCCAGGGTACAGACACTGTACTAGGCTCTGGGAACTAAATAGAGCCCTTGCCTGCTAGGGAATGTAGAGCCTATTCTGAGAGCCAAAAAATGCCACCATAGAGGTATATCCAGAGCTATGAGAATCCTTGGGGGTGGGATGCATTAACCCAGCCTAAAGGTAAATAGCCAGTGGCTTTCTGGAAGACATGAAGCCTCAACCGAAGCTTGAGAAGTAGGAAGAACCAAATTAAAGAAGGGAAGGGCGTTCCAGGCAGAGCGGCTAGCATAAGCTATGGCACAGGGGTGGGCACAGCAGGTTGAGTGAGGGGAACCAGAAACGGTTTGGGAGGAAGCATGGAGGGAGATGGGGCTGAAACTGTCAACAGGGGCCAGGATGAAGCAAAAGATGAGTGTTTGTTACACTAATGACTTTGGATTGTAATCAAGAAGCCACTGGAGCCATCGAAGAGAGCAGGACTTTCTAAAGTAGATTTGCATTTTAGATCTTGTAGAGATCAGAGCAGGGACAACAGAGGCAGGTAGGCGGCTGGGACAGTAATTCAAGGAAAATATGGGGCTGCCCAAACCAGGAGACTGGGCCCAGAGCCCAGACAAGCCTACGCACTTTTTCTGCATGTAGAGCCATAAAATCAGCTTGTTCTCGTTGGCATGAAAACTTGAGTCTCTCAATATATATTTTAAGTTCAATTATTTGAAATAATGTATGAACTATCTTGAATTGAAGAGTCAAAATGCCTGGAATCAAGTCCTATAACATTCATTAAGTATTCAGGTGACCTTAGGCAGGTCACTCTCCTCTGGGCCTCCATTTCCACATTTATGCAGTGGGAGCAAAGGGGTTTGTCAAAGTGATCCAAATAACCCTTCTGTCACTGATATTCTGGGAGTCTAAATAAGAACCAATTGGCCGAGCCAGCTGGGCCTCCCTCCCACTGATGGTCGCATGGGACCTCACTATCTGGGGCTGCCGCTTCCATGGTTATGTCTCAAGTTCTAAAAACCACAATTGGCCAAGGGCCTTGGGCTCCTAGGAGCTCAAGGAGGCCCAAGACAAATTAACTTCACCTGCCAGATAGATCTGAGCCTCAGTCAGAGGCCTTCAATTTGGGTTGCGCATTAGAGTTACCTGGGGAAGTTTTAAAAAACACCAATGCTCAGGCCACATTTCAGATCAGTTTCACTGGGGGTGGGATGTATACTTCAGTGTACAGCCACATTTCAGAATCACTGGGGGTGGGATATATACTTCAGTGTTTTCTAAGCCCTCCGGTTGATGTGAATATACTTTTAAAGCTGAGAACCACTAAGAAAACCCATGGAGTCCCCAGCATGTGCCCACACACATCCCCTGGCATGCTCTGCCAACCCTCAGGTCTACTCCTGCTGATGAAAGGGCATGTGATTCTGAACCATATACCCTTCCTATTAAAGTCAAGAGCATGTGATTCTGAACCACAGCATCCTCCCTCCTCCCCAGCCTGCTTCCCCCCCAGCTCCAGTTCTCCCACCTTCCCCTGTTACACAGCAAAACCCTAAGCATCACAGCAAAATATAAGAGATGTGGGCTGGAGAGCCGAGTTATCTGTGTCCCATGTAACTGCTGCCATGGTAGTCAGAAGAGCAGCAGGTTTAGGGAAGAAAAGGGAGAATTGGAAGAGGTGACTTTGTGATGGGAGAGAAGGAAGAAGCACATTCATCCCAGTTCAATCCAGACAGGCTGTCGCCATAATGAATGGAACCAGCCCAGTAGGGCAACCAGAAGGTACTGGTTATTACAGCTCCATTAAGACTATTTAAAGCAACAAGGAACAGCTGTGAGGAATATGATGCAGCCTAATGAAGAGCAAACATTTGTTCATTTTCCAGCTCAGGACGGACACACCATATGTATGGCTTTTGTGGGGAAGGCCTGTGTTGCCATCTTGTTCTTAGTCATCTGTGGGTGATGGGGTGATGGCAGGCAGGCAGCTTTTGAATGGGGTATAACTATAGAGATGGAAGTTTCAGGTCACCCCAGGTGCTCCCTTCTCTGCTCAGAGCCCCCTGAGCAGTGTCTGAGGACACCTCTGCTTCTCCCACAAGGTTTGTTCTCCTCAGTTGGTAACAGAGTGATGACAGAATATCCCACCACAGGCAACCCCAGAAAGGTTCTGGTTCAGCTCCTCAATTTGCAGATGAGCATGGTTCTAGGGAGGGGCATGAGGAATTACTGGCCCACGCCCAAATCATGAATGGGAAATCCATGGGGTTCTTCAACTCTGGGAACTCATAATGACCAAAACAGGAATACCTGGGCTCCACCTGCTCGTTTCACTCCACTCCACCCCACCTCCAGATTGAAAAAAGACAATAGGCCATTATAGGGAGTGGCCAAAAGCCATCAGTGACCGCTGTGGTTTCAAACTTGAGAGTTTTCCAGCAGGAAAGAGCTCACATGGAAGAGACTATGGTTATGATCATGGAAGAGTTACCAAGGATCTTGGAGGGATCTAGGATCTTGGAAGAGTTACCAAGGTTATGATCATGGCCCCTGGCAGTCTGCCTCTTCACTGTAGCTGGCTGCAAGTGTAGAGAAGAGTTGCTGGCCTAGAGTCAGCCACCCAGAAGCTCATGCATGACCATGGAGACACGTGTAGGCAGCTGGAAGTCTGTAGCCTGAAGTGAGTTATGGGGATCCCCAAAATTGTAGGCTCACAGCTGGGAGGAATAGAGGTACCCTCGTGTGAGATTCCCCATTAAGGGAAAAGGGAAGAGACTCAGTCTTTCCCTTTTAGCCTATTTTTATTGTTCTACTTACAATATTGTTTCTAACAGAGCACATGGTGGGTTTTTTGTGTATTTAATACAGGATCTCCCCCAACCAAGTGAGCAATTTTCAGGTGGTACTATAGAAAAATCCTTTGACCAAGAGTCAAAACCTGGTCCTCAATCTGCTCCTGAGACTCTGGGTGGTCTTGGGCAAGACTCTTCCCTCTCTGGGTCTCATTTTCATCTGTGAAATGTTTGACTACAGGCTTAGCATGAAATTCTAAAGGCTGATAGTATATGCTTCTATTTTATGAACACTAATCTGGCCAGAAACACTGACTGAGTATTTATTGTGCACCTAACACTGGGCACTGGAGATAGAAAGATAAATAAAGAAAATAAAGATGCTGCTTTAAAGAAAGCTCGTGGTCTTGCCACACCATGTAATGATGTAACAGAACTCTAGTTCAAATGCTTTGGAGACACACTTGCTTTTTGCCACTTCTTGTTGCCAAAAGCTATCAGAAGTTTCAGAAAAGATAAGACTCCGAGTTAGAGAAAAGTAGAAGAAGATGGGTAGAGGAGAAGGTTGTGTACAAGAGGGAACTACATGTGCAAAGCTTGGAAGCAAAAAACGAAATGATTAAAATGCTGCAGCCAATTTTTTTTTAGGAGAAACAAAGATGCCTGCCTATGAAAGGAGAAATGAAACTAGTTGGGGAGATTTAATAGGAATCTTACACCCGTTGCACAGTTTTCTTGAAAACAGTTACCAAGGTTATGATCATGGCCCCTGGCAGTCTGCCTCTTCACCATAGCTGGCTGCAAGTTTAGAGGAGAGTTGCTGGTCTGGAGTCAGCCACCCGGAAGCTCATGCATGACCATGGAGACGGGTGTAGACAGCTGGAAGTCTGTAGCCTGAAGTGAATTATGGGGATCCCCAAGATTGTAGACTCACAGCTGGGAGGAATAGAGGTACCCTCGCGTGAGATTTCCCATTAAGCTATAGACTTCTTGAAGGCAGGGAATTTGTCACCTAAAGGAGAACTTGTAGCTTTTAATTGGGCCTTTTAAAGAGTGTTTTGTGAGTCTACATGCAGACATGCACTCAACTTCTCTGCCTTGATCAAAGTTCCTGTCACAGACAAATACCCCCATCTTGCTGCAATCTGATTTTCTACTTAGCTTCACCAGCAGAACTCATAAATTACTGTCTATTTAGTGACATGGTATGCAATAATATTTGCTCTCCTGATGCCACTCTGAATAGACGTCATTAGTCATCCTCTCCTGCCTTCTCTGTCCACATTTATAATCCCTAAGTCTTGTGCTTTTCAGCACAGAAGATGGAATTTGTTGAAAGCTTGGCCTCTGCCAAGGCCACCACTAACTCCTACAGCACCTTAGAGTGAAATAACAAAAGGTGCACCTGTCTCAAGATATTTGGCTGTCACCTTCCAGAAAATGTTCATAATAAATATGGAAACCCTAAAATTTCTGCCGTATGCATGGTGCTCCCATAGATGCAATGCTCTTCGATTGTGCACAACCTGCAGAGCTGTGATTCCCTTGTCACCCACAAGCTGACCATCGACATCAGTAAATGTGTTAACTGAACCCGTGGACCACAATAGAGACCAGACCTTAGGCTCCCAACAGATTATGAAACGTTCCCATTCCCTAAATGCTATTTTACCTATACCTAGAGGGACCAGCTTATCCCAATTTTCCCAAAACGGTCCCAGTTTTAAAACTGAAAGTCCTACATCCTGGGAATCCCTTTGGTCTGAGGCAAACCAGAATAGATGTTTCAGAGATTTCCCATCTTTGCCCTTGTAAGAAAAAAGAAACTGGATGTTTCTACCATTGTGAAAGACAGTGTGGCGATTCCTCAAGGATCTAGAACGAGAAATACCATTTGACCCAGCAATCCCATTACTGGGTATATACCCAAAGCATTATAAATAATTCTACTATAAAGACATATGCACACATATGTTTACTGCAGCACTATTTATAATAGCAAAGACTTGGAACCAACCCAAATGCCCATCAATGATAGACTGGATAAAGAAAATGTGGCACATATATACCATGGAATACTATGCAGCCATAGAAAAGAATGAGTTCATGTCCTTTGCAGGGACATGGATGAAGCTGGAAACCATCATTCTCAGCAAACTAACACAAGAACAGAAAAGCAAACACCACATGTTCTCATAAGTGGGAGTTGAACAATGAGGACACATGGACACGGGAATATGACACCCCAGGGCCTGTCAGGGGGTGGGGGTGGGGACAAAGGGAGGGAGAACATTAGAGCAAATACCTAATGTATGCGGGGCTTGAAACCTAGATGATAGGTTGATAGGTGCAGCAAACCACCATGGCACATGTATAGCTATGTAACAAACCTGCACGTTCTGCACATGTATCCCAGAACTTACTTAAAGTAAAATTAAAAAAAAAAAAAAAATCCTTGATGTTTTTGACTGAAGATGGCAAGAGAATGATTTCTACAAGTGGACCAAAAAGGCTCAATATTATATCCCTGGGAAAGAGGATATGGAAGATGGAAGATTCTGGGCACCTACTGTGTACCAGGCATTGTGCCAGGTGCTATGGGTATTGTATCGGGTAGTCACTAATCATCACAAAATTCCGTGGGGTGTGTTATTTTCCATTTTTTAAAATTTACATAGTATAAAATTAGTTTTGGGAGAGTGTACAGTTTTATGAGTTTTAATAAATAGAGTCGTTTAAACACCAACACAATCAGGACACATGAGAATTTCATCAACCAAAAAGTTACCTTGCGTTACTTCTGTATAGTTAAATCCTTCCCCACCCATAACCTTCAGGATGTATTACTGACTCTTTTCAGAAACGTTTATTGACACTCGAAGTGGTGAACTTATTTGCAGTAAAAATATTCAAACATTTTAGTCTGTCTGCCTTTTGCAAAGCTCTGCCTTTTCCCTGACTCGCATACACAGTTAGTGTGCAAGTGTATTTCTTGACAAGACAAATGAAGGAAAGACCCAGGTAAAATGGTGCCTCCTTGCTGAAGACTCTCCAGAGTGTTCCCTGCACCAGGAGAGTACAGTGTTGGACAGGGGTGTGGAGAAATCCTGGCAGGCTGGACTGAACATGGAGGCGGCAAGCCCTCAGCTGTGCCCTGGAGCATCAGCCAGGAACTGCCTCATCAGCGATCCCTGGCCTGGTTTTGCTGCACCCTAGGGCATAACATATCCAATTATCTCCAGGGATACAGTCAAGCAAAGGAGAGTGAAGGGGGGCATTGCAAATGACAGAATCTGCTGAGGATAGGAGGTAAATGGGTAAATGAAATGGGCTGACACGCCCTCAGCCTTGAATTGGGAGTGAGCTGCTCTAGGAAGCTTTGTGTTTTGACATCTTACTATTTTAGGCATAACTCAGAAGGGCTTAGGTGCAAAGAAGAGTGTCTAAAGAAGGATGGCAAGCTTCTGTTGGTTTGGCTCAGTAGAACCAGGTAGAAGAAAAAATCAGCCACACAGGCATCAGCGATCATTCTCAGTTCTAGCAGAAAATGAACGTACTAAGTGGGACATTGAGGTAGGTTTCATAGTCCTATGGACTGAGTCAGCACAGCAGAACACAAGAAGTCTGTGACTTGTGGTCATGTGGTCTGAGCCTCCCATGGGCTCAGCTCTGTGGATAGGAGGGTGGGTTGCACTCGCAGGGAGAGTTAGTCTGGGGCGGGTACCAGATGATAATTTTATTCTAAAATCTATAAAGCATATCATCAAGGATAAAGAAGGTTCCAGTGACAAGCACTGTCTGCCATTTATCATGATGCTGGCACTAGCTCAGCCTACCCCTCTTAAAAAGTTTCTGGGTCAGGCGCGGTGGCTCACGCCTGTAATCCCAGCACTTTGGGAGGCCAAGGCAGGCAGATTACCTGAGGTCAGGAGTTCGAGACCAGCTTGACCAACATGGAGAAACCCCGTCTCTATTAAAAATACAAAAATTAGCCGGGTGTGGTGGCACAGGACTGTAATCCCAGCTACTCAGGAGGCTGAGGCGGGAGAATCACTTGAACCCAGGAGGCAGACGTTGCGGTGAGCTGAGATCATGCCATTGCACTCCAGCCTGGGCAACAAGAGGGAAATTCCATCATCTCAAAAAAAAAAAAAAATCCAAAACTTTCCCATTGAATTATAATAAAACTCACGTTCTTGTCCTTGGTCCACGAGACCTTGATTGAACACCCTGCCCCAACCCCAAGCCAAATCCACATTATTTGTCATCCTCCTCTTATTCTCTCTGCTCTGGAGAGCCTCCCTTTCTAGAGGCTCTAGAACACAAAAAGCTCATTCCATCCCAGGGCCTCCGCACTTGCTGTTCCCTCTGAATGGAACATTCCTTCCCCAGCTCTCGCCAAAGCTGGCATCTGCTTATCATTTAGTTTTTAGCTGAAATGTATTGGCCAGAGATCAGCAGGGACACACCTCCTGGAGGTGAACAAGTTGGGTTTATCACTTGTTGCAATGAAGTGAATGCATACCTGGAAGTGTGCATTCCTGTGGGACATTTCAGGAAGAGGATGTTAGGAAGGACTCAGAATGTGGGCTGTGTTTGCTGATTTGAAAGAGGCCCTAAGGAGGTGAGGCTTTGTTTTAGGTTGGACACACTGGGAAGTGGTATGATTGGATATCTTAATACATCTTACCTATAAGAAGGGAAGATCAGATAGAGGCTAGAGCTGTAATTGGCAAAGAATCAGGCCGCTCATATTAACCAGAATATGGGGGTGTTTGGTCATTTTTTTGGCTTGGACAATGTTCATATCTTTGTCTGCATCCAGATACAACTTGCTTTTGTCTTGTTCCATCGTGGCCTCAGAGCGGCCTTGCCTGTGGTTGGTCTTCCGTGCAATTGTCCACGTTCAGCAGGAGAGCACCAAGGCCTACCTGTGAGTGCCAGGTCAGCTCCCAGAATTCAGGGGCTGCTTTTCTCCCTCTCAGATCTCCCCTTTTCAGAGTTCTCCCCACACCACCCTATCTAGTCCCTTGCCCGGGTCCCTGTCTATCCCAGCACCTGGCATCCAGATGGTCACTGGGGAAGGAAGGAAGTGAGTGAGGGAGGGAGTGGGGACAGACTCAATGTATATTCTTGGGCAAGTCATTTCCTGTCTCAGGACCTCACTTTGCTGATCTATAAAATGAGTCAATAATTTTCTCAAAAGATCCTTCCAAATCTGACTTTTGAGGATTCTATAAATACCACGGCGCAGCTCTCCAGGGATAAGGACATCCCCAAATACATCTTTTGAACTAAAAAAAAAAAAAAAAAAAAAATGACTGCCTTGGAAAAACAACACTGTTGAAGAGTAGGAAACATTTCCACACTCAGAGAGGAATGTAAAAATAGGGCCCAGCACTCTCAGGAGAAGAGAATGAGAAAAGGAAAGCGGAGATTGATAATGGATGAATATAATGAGATGGCAATTTTGGTTTCAAAAGAATGTGATTAGCGCCTAATGACTGCCACCATTCCCTGGTCAATCTACTGTAACTAGCCACTAATGGAAAAATAATGCCCTTAGCTTGCTCACTTTGAAGATGGAAATGAGTCTCTCTTTCATACTTTTCCCCCTCATATTTTTTTTGCTTCAAGAGATTATCCCTTATTAGATTGTAGCTCCCTAAAAAGGGAAATGGATGTGTGATCAAAGTCTGCCAATTACGGGGTCATTACCACTCCCTCCCAGAGGCTCTATTAGGCATCCCTCCTCTGCTTTTATCAACATCATCACAGCCCCCAGGCCTACTCGGTCCCCTTCAGCCCCCACTAAGGGAGACAGAGGCTCCCAGGACCATGACAGGGCCTGTGTGGTTTCCCACGAACTGCCACCCACTTATCACAACTGTTTTGTTCGGTTTAGGATTGTTGAGGGATAGGTGCATGCTGGGGTGTCTCCTGGAAGGCATGGTGTTTGTTGATGGTGAGAGGACCCCAAACTGCCATTCAAGGATTCTGGGAGTGAATACAAGAGACTTTCATGAAATCTCTGCAGGATGTCACAGGACAGAGAAAGGGCACACATTTATTCTGTGGGGCCCCATGAGATGGCATAGGCAAAGTGCAGTGAGGTTGAGTAAAGAAAAAACTCTGGTGAGTCTGTCCAAAAGTGAGGCCAAAAGTTGGAGAAGTGGTGAGCTATCTGTCATGGAGGTTATCCAAGTGATAGATGCTATGGATCCACTTATCAGCTGCTTGGAAGGCCATTGTGGATGGGAACACAACTAGGCAATTTTCAAGGTCACTGACACCTCTAAGATCCCAGGATATTTGCCCTCTGAAAGCACAGAAGCCACCTCATTCACTAATTATTCCACTCATTCATTCATCCTAAATAGGTCTTTCAAGCACATCTGAAGTATAGAGCCAGCATCGGGTTCTGGAGATACAGTCGTGACAAAGATGCTACCCTTTCCTTGAAGAAGCCTATGACCAAGTTGAGAAATAGAGTTAAATTATTAGATGCAAAGAAGTCTATCTAATAATAGAAGTAACTGGCTTTACCTGGGGATGCAGTGGGGTGAGGGAGAGTGAACAGAGAAGATTCCACAAAGAAGATGCTTACGCTGAGTTTTGAAGGACATGTAGGAGTTTGTCAGACGGACTCAGGTGGAAGGGAATTTCAGGTAAAGGGAACAGCATGCGAAAAGTCTTATAAATTTTAAACACCTTATAACTGGTAGGATAGATATAAGAGCAAGAAGTGATGCTGCAGGGGCATTTGGGGTGAAGTCATTAAGGATGTTGCACTAAAGAGTTTGAAATTTATCCTGAAGGCAATGGCAAGAGGAATCACTGGGTCCTATTCACATTTTAGAAAGATCTTTCTGATTACAGTGGAGAATGGATTGGAGGGGACAAACCCAAAACAAAAGGAACCAATGAGGAGACTCATGGGAAAATATTTTAAAGTCACTATTTGCAAAAATTATGGCTGCATAGTAGCATCAGCTGGGGAGTTTTAAACACTACCAATGCCTATGTCCCACCCCAGAGAGTCTGACTTCATTGGTCTTGAGAAGGACCTTGGCTTTGGGAGTTGTAAAACCTGCCCAGGTGATTCTAATGTGCAGTCATAAAGAGACCTTAAGCTAATGGTAACCCAAACCCTGGCACATGGCAAGTACTCAACGCAATTATTTTTTCAAAAAATTAGTATGAAAACAGTCATGCTATCCTGCTTTTGGCTTCACCCCACTTTCAGGGGGACATGTTTGGTTGAACAATTGGCTTTTATCACAGAGGGTTTCAGGTACAAAATCCACCCTCAATAGATCAGCTTTGACATCCAGAAGTCCAGTGCTACCACTGAGAGCAGCAACCTCCCTTCACATACAGAGAACAGACCTGGCAAGTTGCCTGGAGGAGATGGAGTTACCTGGCTGGGATAGAAGAGGAGGCTAGGGCTGGAATCTGAGTTCTAAGAGTTACCTGCAGTAGCTAGAAGCATCTTCCACCTAGAGATGGCCTAAACTGGTGGCAATATGGATGCAAGGTTTGGTAGAATGAGGAGCAAGAAGAGAAATACGAAAAGGAGAAGAAGGAGAAAGAACAAGAGGAGAAAAGTGAGAGATAAGCCCCACATTTGTGAAATGAGCACTTACCTATCCTTATAACATTTTTGCCATACCCAGATTTAGGTCAGAGATTGGTGCCCAAAACCTAGCACCTGTATTGCTTCTCTTCCAGGATGTTTGTCTAAGGGCGTTGGACACAGAAAGAACAAAATTATGACCCATTAATAGCTAGGAAGGCACTTTATTACCCGAATCTAAAACCTAAGAAAGGCTAAGTTGTAGAACATGGCTCAGCCTGAGAAGCCCAGGAAAGGAACTCCTTCCTGTGCCCTCTAATGAATCTTCAGTTGCTAGGTAGCAGAATGAGCACTAATTCCACCTACTCAGCCACTGCATAGATGAGGATCATAGTCATGCTTCTAGAATAAAGGTCAGCAAGCTATAGCCATAGGCTAAATCCAGCCCAACATCCATCTATCTATCTATCTATCTATCTATCTATCTATCTATCTATCTATCTATGAGACAAAGTCTCACTGTCACCCAGGCAGGAGTGCAGTGGCGTGATCTCGGCTCACTGCAACCTCCACCTCCTGGGTTCAAGCAATTCTTCTGCCTCAGCTTCCTGAGTAGCTGAGAGTACAGGCATGTGTCACCACGCCCAGCTAATTTTTGTATCTTTAGTACAGATGGGGTTTCACCATATTGACCAGGCTGGTCTTGAACTCCTGACCTCTTGATCCACTCACGTCAGCATCCCAAAGTGCTGGGATTACAGGCGTGAGCCACTGCGTCTGGCCCCAACACCTATTTTTGTAAATAGAGATGTATTTGAACATAGCCATGACCATTTGTTTGATTTTTATATGTGACTGTTTCCACTCTACAACAGTAGAGTTGAGTATGAGTTGTTGCAACAGAGACTACACAACTAACAAAGCCCAAACTTCTTTCTAGTTTGCCCATTACAGAAAAAGCATTCCAACTCCAACTCTAGGAAAAGACTCACCCAGGTTGACTTAACACTTGAGAGACCAGATGCAAGAAAGGTAGAACCATGCATGAGCACTGGCCTGTTAAGAACCTGCCAATAAAACAGGGCTTATTGAGGGGCTGAATTTCTGATCAACCTGGTTCAGGTTCCTCCTTGCTTAGGATAGACCTAGTAAGGAATAGATGGGCAAAGGCAAGGCTGGTGTATTAAAATGAATGGTGGGTTCTCCTCCTGCACTGCTGACAGAGAGCTGTGTAGACTGAAGGTGTTACAAATTCAGTCTCAGAAGCAATGAAAGGGCATGAGCAGGATGTTCAGCCTATTCTACTAAATTTAGGGTAGAGAGAGTAATCAAAACATGGTCTGATAATCATGCTTCTGCAGCTTTTCTATAGCTGTTCCCACTCCCTTAACTGCCCGTCCTCCCTGTCTGTGAAATAACTGACTGCACCCTTCCCTGTGTTTCCATACCACTTGACTCATAACTCTTGTAAATTGTCTCATGTTTGTTGACTTGTCTGTCTTATCGGTGGTTGCCATCCTCTTAAACTGATTGATGACTTCTATCTCTTCCCTATCCCTAAGCTCTGGGTGTCCATGTCCAACTTCCTATTCAACATCAGCTTGGATGTCTAATGGACATCTCCAACGTGGCTGCCATTTTTGTTATTTTGAACATGTTTTTAAAAAAGTGTGCAGTATTCAATGCTAGGCACTCTACTAAGCACTTTATGTACCCAAAACACAACACTTAATTCTTACCTCCCCAATCCTGTTTCTAACCCAGGCTTCTCCATCTCAATAAATCACATCTCTCCCCCCTCAGTTCTTCAAACTAATGATCTAAGGGTCAGCCTTCTTTCCTCTCCTTCCTTCACAGTCAGGATCTATGGCAGATGGTGCCCTGCACACATCCACTCTACACTCACTGTTCCCACGCATGCCCACCTTATGGCTTCCTCCTGTAAGCACCTGTGACTTTTTGCCTGAGGGCTTCTTCAAGACAGAAGAATATGCACACTCTGCCCACAGAGCATGGAAGAAATGCTGGGGAGTTTCCAAGAGTTGTCCTCAACCAATACTGGATGCGAATTGATCAGTAACTACCCCAACTTTGTGCCAACCCCATGGTGGGATAACTCTAAGGCATGAGATGTGCCCATTGGATTAGGCCCCAGTTGCCCACAGTGGTAACCTGCTCATTGATGTGCTCTATATTGACTTCATTCCCTTGATTGTGCCACTTCCACATTCTCCCACCCAAACTCCCTGGGAGTGCCTCCCAAACAAACTACTTGTGCCTGACTTGTTATCTCTGAGTCTGCTTCCGAGGCAACCCAAGTCAACAACATTCAACTGAACATCCTGCAAATAATCACTTCTCATATGTCCACCACCACGGTCTAAGAGTCCAAGGTACCATCATGTGTTGCCTGGAGTACTGCCACAACTTTTTTTTTTTTTTTTTTGAAACAGAGTCTCGCTCTGTCGCCCAGGCTGGAGTGCAGTAGCGTGCTCTCAGCTCATTGCCAGCTCCGCTTCCCGGGTTCACGCCATTCTCCTGCCTCAGCCTCCCAAGTAGCTAGGACTACAGGCACCTGCCACCATGCCCGGCTAATTTTTCTGTACTTTTAGTAGAGGCTGGGTTTCACCGTGTTAAGCCAGGATGGTCTTGATCTCCTGACCTCGTGATCCACTCACCTAGGCCTCCCAAAGTGCTGGGATTACAGGCTTGAGCCATCGCGCCTGGCCACTGCCACAACTTTCTAGCAGATCTCCCTGCTTCCTCCATGCCCCTCCCAGAGCCTGTGTTCCATACATGAGCCAGATTGTACTTTGTAATACATGAATCAGATGATTCCCCTGCCCAAAACCCTCTGATGGTTTTTCATCACACTTAGAATAATGCCCAGTTCATTAACCAGTAATAGCAATGTCTTATATAATCTGGACTCCCCCATCCGCTCTAGATACTTCCATCACTACTTCCCTCTTCACAACACTCCAGTCCTTGAATATGGTCATTTGGTTGCTGCCTGACCATCTTTGCATCTGCTGTTCCCTCTGCCTGAAAAGCACTTTCTACTTTTCTTGGTGTGACTGGCTGTTTCATATTAAGGAATTACAGTATCATGAAGGAATTATAGTATCTATCATTAATGAAGTCCCCCTTATCTGCAGTTTTGTTTTTCATGGTTTCAGTTACCCAAGGTCAATCTCAGTCAAAAAATATTAAGATATTTAGAGAGAGAGAGAAAGACTGCATTTATATAACTTGTAGTATATTGTTGTCATACTATTTTATTATTGTTCTTAATCTCTTGCTATGCCTAATTTATAAATTGAACTTTATCATAGGTATGTATGTATAAGAAAAAACATAGTATGTATAGGGTTCGGTAATATCCATGGTTTCAGGAGCCCCCCCACTGGGGGGTCTTTGAACAAATCCTCCAAGGATAAGGGAGGACTACTGTAACTAAAATGTTACCTTCTTGGAGAAGCCCTCCCAGAGTGTATAATCTGAAATAATTCTCATTCCTCATCACTATCCCTTTATTCTGCTTTATTTTCATCATAGCATTTTTCATATCTAAAATTACACATTTACTCTTTTATTACACATTTACTATATTTCCTAGTTGACTGGAAGCTCAAGGGGAACTTGTCTGTTTCTCTATATCCCTAGTACCTAAAACAGTGCCCAGCCCATGTTAGGGGCTCAGTAAGTATCTGTTGAGTGTATGAATGAATAATTCAATGAATGGACAAGCGATTCCCCCACTGGGCTAGATTGTGAACTCATGACACAGAAGACATCAATAACATTTGAAACAATGAACAAGAGAATAGGTCCAGGGACAGACAAAATCTATGTCCTCCCCAGGCCCCATCCAAGGACATCTATCCCTTTCCACTAGGAGTCCCATCGCAGTGGGTCTTACTTTGCCCTGTTGGTTCATCTCCACTTCCATAAAGCTCCTATCTCAGGCCACTCTAACCACTCTGTCCTTGCTTTTTAGGCCTTACCAGAGGGGCAGACAGCTTCGTGGGACACAGCCAAGGAGGATGAAAACCGCAATAAGAATCGATATGGGAACATCATATCCTGTAGGTGCCCTTCTGGGAGCTCCTAAGCTTCAGGTGTTGAGGATGCAGGGGAAAAGAGGCTATTACTATTATTTACCTGGAATTTGTTATCAAATAATCTTTGCTGTCTCTAGCTTTGTATCTACATGCCAAGATGGAAGCTTTATATCAGCCTTACTGCCATCCCTAGACTGGATGACAGAGCATGGCTGATCTCAGCCAGAGGGAGCAGGCAGGGAGATGGGTCAGGGCAGAGCAGAACCATGAAGCCTCTTGGGGAAGAACCTCTGAAGGCTGGGTCTCACCGAGCATTGCCTGCTCAATTCCTCAGGTCGGGGAAGAAGCCCAGCCAAAAGGGCTGACATGCGGAAGACCCCACAGCTGGATAAAGAGATGAGCTCTGTGTTCCCAGAAGCTCCTCTAATTCAAAGGAGGACTTTGGCAGCAACCTGGGGTGAGGAGCATGGGCCCCAGCCTGTGAGGGAGGGGCTAGGAGAACCCGGGCAAGAGAATGATGCTCCTCCAAGAAGGTGGAGTCACACTGGCTGATGCTTGGAAGTAAAGGCTGATGCTCAGAAGAAGCCAGTAACTCTGGCATACACCTGGGGCTTGGGGTATGCCCAGCTCAGGCCTCACAGGAGCCCGGGGCTACTCCTATAGTATGAGAGACAGAGTTTAGGGCAACACAGATTCTACCTGTCCCCACTATAGTAGGGCAGGGGCTCTGAGGTGAGGGCCTGCCCTCAGGTCTGCATCAGTGCACCTCGGGAGGTACTGAGCCTGCAGGGGAAGGCATGTTACGCAGAGCTAAGGAAGGACATTGCCTTTGCTCAACAATGAGCTTTACCTTTCCTGTAGGCACCCCCAGTGAATGACTCATTGATGAAGTCAGCGGTGCAGAGTAGTTAGCGCCCTCGGGAGTCAAACTGCCCAGGTTTCTATCCCAACTGTAGGGCCCTGGGAAAGTTACTTGACCTCTGTAAACTTTTGATTCCTCCCCTTTACAATGATGAGGATAATAGGAGGAGCATTTAAAGGTACATAAAACTCTTGCTACAGTGCCTGGCACCATTACTCTTAGCCACAGGGGTACTTGCTTGAGGTCACTGGTGAGCAGCATGGATCTATCATTCCACCTTATTTTATTAACCAGGATTCACTGGGTACTCAGGACATGTCCTGTGGGGACATAGAATAAGGCAGGTTGGTTGGGGAGAGGTGGGCATGATCAGATGTCCATTTTGGAAAGATCACTAGGGCAGCAGATATGGAAGGTATACTTGATTGGGAAGGGCTGGTAGCAGAGGGATCAGTCAGCAGACTACTGCAGTAGTCTCACCAAGGGATGATGGGGCCTGAACAAACAGTGACAATAACTTGTGTGTGACAGGTGCATGGTATTCAGTTCTGGGGGGTGAGGAAGAGAGAGACTGCCACAGAACTGAATGTCATGCATAGGTAACACACAAGTATTGTCACTGCCAAATATTCGTAGGTACAGCCTTCAAAGTAAAATAAATACAGAGAAGACAAAGTTATCTCGTGCAAAATGCTAAGCATGTATTCTAATTAGAACAGGAGTCTACAACAGCCTTTGTCTGACTCAGTGTAACCAACCTGGACCTTTTGACATCTCACCAATGGTGTGGGGAACATCCCTGGGTCTCAGCTCACAGAGTAACCCAGTTCATCCAAAAGAAAAAAAAAAAGGATCCTGAATGACAAATTATTTCTAGCACAATTCAGAGTTTTGTTTTGTTTTGTTTTGTTTTAACTGTCTAGACATTGCCTAAGAAAAAACTTGGAGGAAGAAAGAGTAAGATACAGGCAGATTGTAAAGGAAGAAAAAGGCAGAAGTTTTAGCTTAGCTGTTTCCTGTGCTGATTTAGGAATGGGCTATGAATGGTAGAACTAATCAGAAAACATTTATAATTTCTCTCTTGGAAGATGGTAATTCAGACAGCAAGATTTCTTGCAAGTGAAGTGTTGAGAAGTGATATTCAAACAGTCAGCAAACATGTATTAAGACTTATGACATGTGGGCCTCCTCAAAGCAGGCCCTGTGATGGGCACTGGGAGGTGGAGCTCCTGCTCCTGGGGAGCCCCCACTCTGCCACAGGGAGCTGCTTGCCCTGTCTGGTCCCCAGCATTCTCTGCTCCTGCACTGTGGACACTGTACCCTAAAATATATAGTCACTTATCTGATAAAGCCTATGCCTGAGACTCTGAGCTTGCTTCACCCTAGCCCTGCCCTGCCTGCATCTCTTAGACTGAGGACTTTCTCCAAAGCTGGGAAAGGATCCCCTGCCCAGGCACAGGCAGCCTGCAAATCCTGAAGGGTTAATACCCCCAGGAGAAGCCCTCCACCATGAAATACCCCAGCTTCTTCACCGTTCTCCTGAAGTTCCTTCTGGAGTTCCCACAGGGATGAGAATACAGCTACCTGCAGTCCTAATGGGCTTGAAAACTCACCCTTAATAAGCTGCCTTCTCTTCCCTGTCGTACATCACCCCTTTCCTACTGGTATTCCTGTCTCCTCCTACATAAACTGCTTGGACTAAAATCTCTGTCTTAGATCTACTTCTGAGGAACCCAAATGGAGACAGAGAGAACTGAAGCACCTTGACGATACCACCTTGATGGGTTTAAATAAACCAGAATCTCCTTTCTAATTTAAGAGTCAATCATTCTGCAAGAGATCAGGGCAAGAGCAGGTCTGCATTCAGTGCTGAAAGAAGACAGTGCCGAGGTAACCAGTGAATTCAGAAAGCAGCGCAAGACATAAAGGAGAATCAAGAAAAAAAGGGAAATGGAAAAAAAACAACCTGGAATTGAAATGGGATATGTAAAAAAGAAACAGCCCCAAGGAATGGAAAGTGTTCCTGCCCTTGTATGCGTCCCTCCCAAAGGCAAAGCCTGCCGAGGCTTGATAAATAGAAATATTCTTGGCGCAAGAAGAAAACTGGCTGTGATTAGCATCTTAAGGAACCCAGAGCACTGTGAGGCTGGAGTGGAGGACAAAGGCCCAGGCCAGGGAGAACAGAAAAGATTAAAGGGGACAAGTAGGAGGGAGGGCACTGCCTACAAAAGAAACAACAAGAGACCTTGGCGAAATATCTCCTTTCTTCCAAGTGATTCTATTTAGAATTTAGTAATAGAGACAGTGGGGTTTCTAGGGAGTGTAAATGGAAAGGAAGTGAAAGGGAAGGAAATGAATGGGTAAAATAAGAACAAAGAGACCTTTGCTTCCAAGTAACTCTAGGGCAGCGACTGTTGGCAAGGGGAAATTCAAGAATCCCAAAGCATTCTCCATGTAAAGTTTTAGAGGTGCTTCCTAGACTGGCAGGAAGGTGCTGACACTGAGAAGCTGAAGTGATCACAGGGGTTGCAAATGTTACAAAATGAGGCCCCCTTCTGGGATCAGTTCTTTATAAAGGTGTAATCTAGATGTAGAAAGACTACAAGGGATAGTGCAGTACCAAAATTCCATCCTCAGACCAGGAAGGATTCCGTAGGAGGGGTTACCAGGACCCAAAGAGAGATGACCTGACCAGAGGTGGGTGCGACCTTTGGTGGCAAGGCAGCCACCCATGGTGACCCCACCAAGGGGTGCTGGAGGAGTAAGTACCTCCATCACACTCTCCTCCCTCCACCCAATCTTCTGCCTGTGCTTTCCATTGGCTGGGGCCAACCAGAATCCAGAGAACAGGAGATCTGTTGACCTAATCCAGTGGTTCTCAAAGTATAATGCCTACAGCAGTGGCATTAGTGTTACCTGGGAACTCATTAGAGGTGCTAATTCTTGGGCTCCACCCCAGACTTACTGAATCAGAAATTCTGAGGACAGAGTCTAGCAATCTGTATTTCTAGAAGCCCTCTAGGTGATGGTGACGCATGTGCAACTTTGAGAATGTCCAATCTTGGCCATAGCAATCAGCCTCCTGGATTAGAGGGCCAGATGAAGTGGAGAGGGGGTCTGCGGGCACACAGGATATCAGCACATTTTCTGAGACTTATCTTCTCCCAATCTAGGAAAAGCCACTGGGCTCAGGTGTATTGGGGTCTTAGACATGAGGTCAGGCAGTCCCAGGTTTTCATCCCAGTTCTGTTGTTTACCTTCAGCACAATCACTTCACCTCACCCACCTTCAGGTTCTCACCCATCAGATGGCTCTAGGGCAGCTCTCAGGATGGAGAGGCCAAATTAAGCTGAATGATTATTAAATCTGAATCTTGTGTGGCCCCTTAAGTCACAGACTTTTAAGTCTAGATGAGTTAGTGTAGCCTTTTTGAGTTCACAGGCAAGAAGAGAGAGCCCAGAGATGGACTGTGCCCTGCCCGAGAGCACACAGCAAGTCTGTAGAACAGCCATGACCAGAGCTGTGGTCTCTTGCCTGCCAGGGTAGGGTGGCACATATTCCTTACCAAAGAGTCCTCTCTGCATCAAGTCACATCCATGTTCCTGGGGGAGAATGTGTTGCTAAGGCCCAACCTCAGAGCAGATGAGCTCTTCAGAGAGGCCCATCTTTTCCAGAAGGAGGTGGGGCTATGGAGTGCAGAGAGGACCCTCACTCCTAGTGAGGAACTCAGGTTCAAAACAAAACCCAGAGGACTTTTTTCACAGCAGGTTTCTCTGCTGATTCCTGGGGAGACAGAGCTGGGGGTGACAGAGTGGGTGCCTTATTCAATGCTCCTGACTCTCAGCCTCCATTCTTCTTCACTGTCTCTGAGGGTGGCCATTGCCTGGGTCCTACAGATGCCTTGTGGTGCAGAAACCATTGGTACCCTGCCATATCCCCAAACACTCACTACTTGCATGTGTGCTAGTGCTAATTCAAATTGCCAGCACCTTTGCTTCTTTTCCTAAGGACTTTTTCTGGCCACTAGAGCCTTCTCTGCCTTCTTGCAGGGCAGGCCCAAAGAGCCAGAATATTAAATGTCCCCAGAACCTGCCCTCAATTAATGACTGATGGAAGTGGGTATATACATACCCCAGCTCCCTCTCTGCTTAGGTAGAATGACTCCCAGAGCTCCTCAGCCGAATTAAGCCTCAACTTGCTACAATGGCAACTTGCTGAATGACACACCCCTATTAGATTTCTTCTTTCTCTGTCTCACTTCCCACTCCCCTGCTGGTGTTTCCTGGGATCACCCCCCGACAACAACTACTTGCATCCAAATACATATCTCATGTTCTTCTTTTGAAGAAATCCAAATAAGAAACCTCCCTCCCTTCCTTCAGAAAGGCCCCTCAGTGGGGCAGTGCCTGGATGGCATCCTTAGGACACAGGTGGTCCTCTCTTGGTGCTTGCCCCTCTCAACTCCAGTCCCCTTCAGTCCCCTCAAAGGTTGCATCTACTGGAGCAGCTCCTCCCAGGACCCCACAAAGGGGCGTTTTCCAATTTCAGCCAGCATGGATCTGGCAGGACAAGGAGGTACACAGAATGTCGGGCTGTCTCTGCATCATGCCCAAGCCAGCCTCTCTTGATAATGGTAATTCAATCAAGATTGAATGTGCAGACCTTTAGCTTCAGTGAGGTACCCAGGCAGTCTCAGCAGAATTACCTGCCTCCTCCTTATCCACTTTTGCAAGATGATGGCATTAACATTTCCAATACTTGTAGGAAATGGTTTTTCAGCTCCACAATTCATTGTAATGAGTCAAATCTCTTTTCTCTGAAAAAAAAAAAAAAAAAAAAAAAAAGCACTGTTCTTTACCCTCTGTAGTGCCCAGAAGACAGGAAGAAAGAATATCAAGTATCCAAATAATATTCTCTCCCCAGCCCCACCTCTTTGAAGTGATTCTCTCTTTAAGTGGATGTGGGTTGAGATGACAGGTTTACTGGGCTATCTTTGGTGATGGAGGGAGGGAGAAGGAGTTGTGGTTTGTTCTGAGAGTTAGAACTGTATGAAAGAGGAAAGTGAACCCTCTCTCTCGGGTGGCCATGAGACCTTAGTGGGATGAGGACCAATGTTGGAGACTGAGAACTTAGAGGAAAGTGGAAGCTGGAGAAGTGTGGCATAGAAGGGTATGGAGGTCATGGATCTCAGCGTTCCAGGAGGAGTGAGGACCCTACAACTCTATAAAGAAGCCCTCATCCCTATACCTTCTCCTGAGTTATTAAACTTTTTGGAGCCTTGAATTTCTCATTCATGAAATGGGATGATGGTATAGACCTCACAGGGTTACTGTGAGAATCAAATGGCATGGCATCCCCATGGCATTTGATAAGTGCCTGGAACATCTTACACTTTTCACACAGCTAAATTTCCGTATCCCACCACCTGGCACAAGGTGAGTCTCTAGTCTTATGGCCCATTTCCAGTAAGATCTTCTGGTCTTTCCCAAGACAGATTGAAGTGAATAACCAGAGCACCTCTGCACTAAGTCACTAAACATTGGTCTGTATACTCAAACCTGAACGTGTATCAGAATCACCTGGAGGGCATATTGAAATGCATATTGATGGGCCCCACCCCACAGTTTCTGATTCAGTGAGTCTGGGCTGGGGCCCAAGAATTTCCATTTCAAACAAGTTCCCAGGTGCTGCTGATGCCATTGGCCCAGGTCTAGAATAAAAACAAAACTGAATTTATATAGTTGTGTTAATTTCTTACAACATACCAGGTGGGTTCATATTTTACATCTTTTAATCCTTGCAGCAAGTCTGCACAGCTATATATGATTTGGATGTTATAGCTGGGTAAACAGAGGCTCAGGGGAGGTGGTAACCTACCCCAGGTGATATGGTTAGGGTGTGACAAGCCTCAGGTCTGCCTTCAGACTCCACCCAATCCATAACCTCCCTTCTGCTAAAGGCAAGAATTGGCTGCCAGTCTTTGGAAGGGATAGGCTGGGTCTACAGGTGTGGTGAGGGGTCAGCTATGAGGAGAGGAAGAATTGGAGCCCAGGATCCAGGCGCAACTGCCAGCTTGGATGGAGGTGTTCTTTGAACATGCAAAGGCCCTGTGGTCAGAGTGAACACAGTGCATTTGAGCAACTGAAAGAAGACCACAGTTATCAGAGCAGTATGTGAAGCTGGAGAGAGAAGTAGGTCCCAAACCATCAGATCATGCAAGACATTGCAGGGTGTGCTAGGCTTTGTCCTCTGTCAGTGGTGTTCTGTAGCTGACTCATACCAGCTTGCAAAAGCAGATTGTTAAATTTTCAGGAATTTTGTGAGGTGGTTGATGCTATGTTGGTAGCTTGAAATCGGTCATGGTGGGAGTATTTACACCACAGAAATCAGCAGACATTACTGATCAGGGCCTTTTTTCCCACAGGGAGCTGTATGTTAAACATTTACCAGCATACTAGTGGTCTTTGACCTCAAGCAAGGAACAGCAGATTGATTGCAAACTGAGTGATGATGTTCCCCTAGACTTGTGTTAAAGGGAGCTCTTTGAATTTATGTGTCTTGGTACCATGTCTCCCTTCTACCTTCTGCCACCAGTTCCCTCCTCGCCACAGCCAGCTCTTGCCCATCTCTCACCTCAACTGAGAGCCGGGGGAGCCAGGCTGCACCTTCCCCTCGCCTCATTGAGGAGTTTGCTTCTCCTCCACATGACTCTTCTTAACTCCTCTCCTTGTCTTGAATATCAAACAAGGAGTACCAAATTAGCTGTTTTTCAAGCTTGCAAAATGTAGATAGAGCATAATGAACATTCTAGGCTGCTTGTAAATTACCTCGTATAAACGCCTTCACATCGCCTGCCGCCCCATCTTTCTCCATGTGCATGTGGGTAAACACAATTTTTTATCCTTCTAATTATATAAAGTTAGAAGAAGAAGGGGACACAGAATAATATTAGCATCTCCCAAAAGGAATAAATAAACCATGAGGACACTGCCACTCCTTGCAGTGCCTTTGTGGTGGACCTACAGCTGAATTCCACCCTTTAGTGAACACACACAATAGTTCTTTGCCTCTGCAGATAGATGGATCTGTATTTGGTACAGAGGTCAAGTGGAGAGCACCAAGTTTCTAAGTATCTCTGCTATTAGCTCACTGCCTGCCTCACATTCAGCCCCAAAACCATCATTTATTAAGCACCTGCTGTGTACCAGGCATTGTCCTAGCATTTTTCTTTAGAGCAGTTTTAGGTTTACAGAAAAGTTGAGCAGAAAGTACCTCATTCCCATGTACTCCCTCCCACCCACATACTGTTTCCCCTATTATTAACATCTTGCATTAGTGTGGTACATTCATTACAATTAGCTAATATTGATTTATTATTATTAGCTAAAGTCCATAGTTTATTCAGGTTTGCTTTTTATGTTGTACAGTTCTATAGGATTTGACAAATGTACAATGACATATATCTACTATTGCACTATTGTATAGAATAGTTTCACGGCCTTAAACATCCTCTATGCTTCACCTATTCATCCTTCCCTCCTCCCAAGCCCCTGGAAACTACTGATCTTTCTCCTGTGTCTAGAGTTTTATCTTTTTCCAGAATGTCATATAGTCAGAATTGTACAGTATGTAGCCTTTTCAGATTGGCTTCTTTCACTTAGAAATATGCATTTAAGTTTCCTCCATGTCTGTTGCAGCTTGATAACTCATTTCTGCTTCTCACTGAACCATAGGCCATTGTATGGATATCGAATGAATGCTCCTTCACTTACAGTGAGGTTATATCCCCATAAACCCATAAGTTTAAAATATCATAAGTCAAAAATGCATTTAATATACCTAACCTGACAAACATCATAGCTTAGCCTAGCCTACGTTAAACATGCTCAGAACACTTATATTAGATGATTAGTTGGGCAAAATCATCTAATACAAAGTACATTTTATAATAAAGTGTAGAATATGTCAGGGAATTGATTGAACACTGTACCAAAAATTAAAAACAGAACGTTTATATGTGTACTCAAATTAAGGTTTCTACTGAATGCATGTTGCTTTGGAACTATCATAAAGTCAAAAAAACCTAAGTCTAATCATCCCAAGTGAGGGACCGTCTGCACCACAATTTGTTTATCCATTCACCTATTGAAGGACATATTGGTTGCCTCCAAGTTTTTGCAGTTTTAAGTAAAGCTGCTATAAACATCCATGTGCAGGTTTTCCTATGGACATAAGTTTTCACCTCATTTGGGTAAATACCAAGAAGTACAATTGCTAGATATAGTATGGTAAGTGTATGTTTAGTCTTGTAAGAAACTGTCAAACTGTCTTCCAAAGTGGCTGTACCATTTTGCATTCCCACCAGCAATGAATGACAGGTCTTGCTGTGCCACATCCTCCCCAGCCTGTGGTGGTGTCAGTGTTTTGGATTTTGGCCATCCTAATATGTATGTAGTGGTATCTTGTTTTAATTTGCAATTTCTTAATAACACATGATGTTAAACATCTTTTCATGTGCTTATTTGCCATCTGTATATCTTCCTTGATTAGGTGTCTGTTCAGATCTTTCTCCCATTTTTTAATCAGGTCATTTGCTTTCTTACTGAGTTTTAAGAGTTTGTTGTGTATTTTTGATACAAGTCCTTTCTGAGATACGTGTTTGGCAAATATTTCCTCCCAGTCTGTGGCTTATCCTCTCATTTCTTAATGTCCTAGCACTTTTCACACCTATGTTTTCTCATTTAATCCTCTCATGCCATATAGTATTGGCTCCATTTTGCTAAGGAAACCAAAGCTAAGAGAGATCAATTGACTTGCTAGGTGATGGAGCTAAGATTTGAAGCCAAATCTGATCACAGCTCCATATCTCACGTCTTATATTAAAAGTTTATCTCACTTGACATAAGTTAGCTGTGTAGGCATGAATTTTGGTTACATCATAATAAAGCACCTTTCCACTGTCCCAGAAAAGAAACACTGTATTAGGCTGCCCTGCAGAGCCCAGCATGATTCCTTGAGTCTTCATGGCTTCACAGGGCATGGAGAGCCTTCTGAAATGAAACCCCCGCTGCTGCCTCCTCTGTCTCCCCTCCCATCGCTGTTCCCCTCACACTCTGTTTTCCCAGGACAGGAGACCCTTGCAGCTCCCCCACGGTGCTTGCTTTTTTCAGGATATCTGCCTTCACTCTAGCCATTCCCTCTGATGGAAAGACTTCCTCATTGTGCACTGGCCAAACCTTACTCATTTTTAATTCCTCATTCACATGTCACTACACAAAGCCCTCTATTCCCCATCTTCTAGATTTGGAAGTTTTGCTTCTGCATACAGTCTGTCTCCACTAAATTGACAAACTCCTTAAACATGAGTATCACATTTGATAGCACTTTCTTAATCCCTTCAACTAGCCTGGCACATAGTAGGTGTGCAGTAAACACATTCTTAATAAATGAAGGAGAGACGTTGTCAAACACCATCATCTGGTGGCTAGAGATCACTTTCATCCATAAGTACACTTAACTAGAATAAATAAGTTCGTTTCTTTTTGTTTTGTTTTTAATCATTTTTGCTTTCCGGTTTTTCAACTTCATTTTATATTTTAAAAATTCCCTTTCAACATTTTAAACCACAATCTCTGTTTCCAGTGCTATGGGCCCCAGGGGCAGGCATAACTCAACAAATAAAGGAGATTTCTGAATCAGTAAGTCATAATGAGACCACTGAGTGAAAACACAATGTGCATTTTCACTTTTTTGAGGCCTACAGCTTCTGGAACTGCTGGTAACAGAGGCTTGATGCCCTGGGCTGAGAGTCAGGTGCCAGGCTTTGTCTGAATTCCAGCCTGCTGGATGGGCTGTCCCCCAGGAAGTCCTCTCTGGGGCTAGAATCCTGCAGGAACTGGGGAAGAGCTGTTTGCACACACTCCAGCTGTAGTGCCTGTGAGATGCCTGAGACTCTGGGACAGCAAGTTATGTGGGCAGAGTAGGGTTTCAGGGTCAGATAAACCTAACCGAGAAGTCCTATCTCTGCCACACACATGATGCGTAACTTCGGAAGCTTGCTTAATCTTTCTGAGCCTCAGTGTCTTCATCTGTAAAATGGGAAGACTCATAATACCATATCATTCTGGTATCCTTATAATAACCTATATGGCTATTTTGAGGCATAAATGGTTGAAGGAGATAATGCATGTAAAGTTTCTCTTACCTACCATGAATCCAATAAAGGTTAACTTCAAACTCCTCCCCCATGTCACATTCCACTCTCCCACTCACCCAAAGGGATTGCTTAGACCACCCACCTGCTCCCTCTAGTTGCTTCTGCTGAAACTTCCCCCTGATGAGTAAGAAAAGTCGCATTTAGTATAACTTGCTGTCTAGCACAGTGCCTGCCTGCCACATGGCAGATACTCAGTGAATGATTCTTAAATGAATGGATAGATATGGGGTGTATCTTATACCAGCCCTAGGCCTGTTTGTCCATAATAGGACCCATTCCTTACCTTCTCCCACTCTAGTGTGCATTGCAGGTAACTTACCCCTGCAGGTTGTGTTTTTCAGGCTCTCCTGTCAGCTATTTAGGTTTAGCCAATGACATGCACTGGGAGATTGGAGAGAAGGAGAAAGGGAGAAGCCAGGGTATTACAACTACAATTGCCTTCCTTAGCAGCAAGGGAAGCACCTCCTTGCCTCCAGCTCCTACTAGAATCCCACTGTGGCTTCAGGTTCCAGCAGGTGGCCCCAGCTCCTGAGCACTGCCAACTCCACCACCTCCCTCCATCCCTTCAGCCCAAGGGCAGGCAGTGTCTCCTTGTTGCTGCTTATCTCTGAGTTTCTCCACTTTCTTCTATCTGGCTGCTCAACTCTTTGTAACCCAGGCAACCACTTCTCAGTAGTTAATTCCCTCTGCTGGGTATATCTGAAGTGGTTTCTAACATTGTGCTTACACCCCCTTTGGAAACAGGAGCGACCGAACTCAGAGTTAAGAGAACTTCACTCCTCTGTGCTCTACCATTCACTGGCCATGTGGCCAGTCAGGCTTTCTGGAGCCTCAGTTTCCTCATTTGTAACAAGGGCTAAAAGAACCCATCCTACTTCTCTTCCACAGGGTCACTGTGAGAACCCAATGAGGGCATCCAATTATACCTTTTCCATGTACTACTGAGTACCTGCTGTATGTCAGGACCTTTTAAAGGTGCAGGGGATGGAACAGGGAATAAGGCATAATGTCCCAGTTCTCAAGGGGGTTTTGGTTAATTGCAATAAATGTGCCTTGTAAACTGCAGAATGCTGTATAATTCTAAGAAGATAAGCTGATCTGACCTCCGTGACTCCCAGAAAACCCTTGGGGATGTCCAGAGCTCTCCAGCCCACATCTTAGGGACCCATTCCTGCCCTAGAGGAAGGTGAACTAGGATGCAGTGACTGCACAATGATACGTGCACAGTGACCTGGATAGCAAACCAAGGTCCCTCCTCCCAACCAGACCGAACCAATGTTCCACTTGTGTGTGTCTATTAGCGTGTCAGAGCTCACTTAATTAACTGTAAAGGATTATCCTGATTCTTCTGCTGTACTGGTTTTCTTTTAATGGTTTTTATTTGGTGTTAGTTGAAGTAAGCATGCTACCAAATAAAGCCTGCAAATCTTGTTTATGTCTAGATAGTGTTTGAAAAGGCATCCTCTATAACACAATTTTTAGTTATTGATGACCTCTTTTATAATGATTTAGTCAGCCTCACTTTAATGATAGTATTGATAACAATATATGGCTGACAATCTATCTCTAACAATACTCCAAGGGGCAAATGAAAAGCAATTTGTGCATGTGTGGAAGATAGGTAAACTTGCTGTTTTTAAACAACATGAAAATGGAGTATATTAATCCAGATGCAACACTCTCCTGTCCTAAGCATTTTTATATGGTCTCTCTCACATTGTCCTATGAAGCAAGTATTTCCATCCCCATTTTAATGATTAAGTCACTAAGACTTAAAGAAACAGGTGACTAATCCAGTTAGGTAATGACGAAATCAGAAGGGAAGGTAGAAAAATGAGAAGTGCTTACCTCCCTGAGCCTCCACTTCCTCATCTATAAATGGGAGCAGTAACTGAGGGTGGTGTTGAGAGTTAAATGAGAGTAGCACAATGCCTGATATGCAGTCATTAATAAACAGTAGTTCTAAAGGAGGACATTAGCTGCGTAAGGCCTCTTATCAACCATCCCCTTGATTTCTGCTCTCTCTGCAGACGACCATTCCCGGGTGAGGCTGCTGGTGCTGGATGGAGACCCGCACTCTGACTACATCAATGCCAACTACATTGACGTGAGTGTCTTAATGGGGCTGGGGGCTGGGGCTGGCTTTTGCAGGCTCAAGATCTGTGGTTTACCCCAAACTCTCCTCCAGAAGGTGGCCCTTCCAGAGCAGTCTGGATCCTCCTTGATATGTGGAACTAGTGTAACCCAAGTTGACTGTCCATCTACCACTGCATCCACTTTCAGGCTAGCTGTAGTAGCCTGCTCTATGGGGCCTCAGGACAACTGTTAGTCTTACTCATTCACCCCATTTATTCATTTGTGTATATGTCTGTTGATCCATTCATTCATTCACATAAACGCATGGCCATTTATGCCACAAAAATTTTAAAGTGCCTACTGTAAAATGTATACTAGATGCTATGGGAACCATAATGCTAATAATACCATGGTCTCTACCCTTTAAAACCTTAGCAGGGAGATAATGTGCACATCAATAATTCCAGGGCAAAGTAGAAATTGTTAAGTGTCAAAAGTACAGATAACATGCTGCAGAGATTCAGAAGTAGGGAAAAATATCACTTCTCCCATCAGGAATGCAAAATATGATGTGAACCAAAGCTTCAAGCACAGATATGATTTAAAATCAAAGAGAGGGGAGAGGGGCCTCTAGTTAGAGAGAATAGCACAAGCCAAGATGGAGCAACTGGCCAGGAGATACATAGCAGCTCCATTTGAGGGGAGCAGAGAATATGTAACAGGAATAATGGAAAATATTGTTGGGACTACATCAGTGAAGATTAAATGCTCAGACTTAGGAAGTGGGACTTTATCCCATAGACAAGAGGAAGCTATTAAAAATTTTTTATCAAGGAGGTGACCAGCTTAGAACTGAGCTTTGGCATGATTTATCTGCTACCAAAGATAAGACAGATCCGAGGGAAGAAATTCTGGAATTAAGACAACTACAACCAATAAGGAAAGAGGCTGCTTCAATATTCCAGAGACGACTGAGGAAGGGACTAAACTCAAACAGGAGCCAAGAAGGGTATGCATGGAAGTGAGAGAATTTGCTAAGCAAGAGCATGACTGCTGAGGTCAGAAGGACAACCCAATGTGACTGATTCAAGCCATGCATCTCAGGACCTCAGCTCACAGTCCATGGGTCTTGAAGAATGGCACAGAGATTCATACTGGTCCCCTAGACTCTCAAATGTATTTATAGATAGGCTATAAAGTGTGGTGGTGCAGTTTGTGAATTCCCCCTTAATCTAGACTAAGCCAGGTGAGTTATTAACTCAACAAATACTTATTGAGCCTTGTATTGATCATCTGACTGCTTGCCCTCAGATCTATTTTGTGTCCTTCCCTGTTCTGCCTTGCATTGCAGGGTGTGTGTGTGTGTGAGAGAGAGAGAGAAAGAGAGAGAGACAGACAGACAGACAGACAGACACTGGAGGATGATGGAAGGGCAGTGTATTCTCCATCTCACTCCCTTCCTTGGGCAGCAACTCCAGCAGTGGCTGTACCCTGTCTGTGGCTCCATCTTTCCTCAAGCAGGCCTGCCATAGTCCAGTCTCCTGCCAGTCAGCCCACTGGGGCTCTGGTTATTTCTGGACTCTGGACTCTAGTTATTTCTCCCTCTCCTGTTCTCCCACTAGTTCTAAGGGTTGGTTGCAGCCTAGTCCTGTCCCTGATCTCTGGGTTGCCCCACTATTCTCTGTTTGGCATCTTGGCTCCTCCATCACTTGTGTAACCAACTCCCCATACTGAATTGCCTCGTCTGAAACACATAGACTGGTTTCTGTTTCCCTAACTACACCCTAATTAACAAAGGGCCTACTACATGGCCAAGAACTGAGGCTGCAACTTCAGTGGAGTTGAAGATGAACACCGTCTCTGCCACCATAGCCCTTCCAGAAAAGTTCACAGGAGACAGCCAGTTCTGAATAGCTTTTCTCCAGCCCAGAGCAAGGCACTCTGAGCATACATCCATCATGCCAGCAGCCTTTCCTTCATACATCCAGTATTCAGTTCACAAACACAGAGCAGACCCTCCACTGTGTATGGGAAATACTGACTTTTAAGACCAGGTCTCTGACCTAAAAGGGACTCAAATCTGGTGAGGGAGTCAGATAAGAAAATAGACCTTCACAGAGCAGGGGCTGTGGGACCATAAAGGAAAATCAAAGCTTCAAGTTGGTGGGAAAGGGAAGTAGCCAGTGAAGGCTCCCTGGAGGAGGTGATGTCTCAGTTCTGCCTTGAAAGATGACTTAGAGCCAGCCAGGCAAGAAGGGTTTATAGTAACCTAAGAATTACTGATCACCTTTCATGTACCAACATCACCTTAACTAGTATCACAACTTCACAAGGTAAGTACCACTACTACCCATTTCCAGATGAGTAAGTGAGTCTCTTAAGATTATATAACTTGTCCAGGATTATACTGCTAGGAGGTAGGGGAGGAGGGAGCAGAAATTTGAGTCAAGAGTACCTCTCCCACCATACCCTGCTGTCTTTAATAATCACAGTGAGCAATGACAACACCAACTGGCTCTTAATGAGTCACTCTTGGGGTCCTATGATGGGTGGCTCAAGTAAGTCAGCTTATCAAAACTTCTTAACAACCCTTCAAGGTAGGTGTTCTCATTCCCATTCTCCAGATGGGGAGGGCTAAGGTTTAGAGAAATCACAAATACGTCTCAGGCCATGCAGCTGGTCAGTGGCAGAACCAGGATGGGAACCAGACCTGAATGGCTCCCAGTTTAGCACTCTTTCTCCTTCCCCTCCCCCCCCCCACTCCCAGACACCGCCTTGTAGCCAACACACAGCAAGGACCGAGTCAGCATATATTGATGCAGGTTGAATTGATTCCTTCCATTTCTCCTCGACCTTGTCTATGGCTGCATGGATATGACCCTAAGGACCACAGGCCACACAGGGTCTGGCATGCCTGAGTTTCTGTATCTGGCATTCATCATTTGACTAGAATCCCCCAACAAAAGTCATTTTCCTAGATAGGCACTCACTCCAAAGTTGAATGAGCATCTGACTACAGTCAGGGCCAAGATACACTTTGGTATTTTATAGGCAACAAACGAAATTGCTTTAAATGCAAGTTAATCTCTACAACTGCTAATTATGCCTCTGATTCATTTCCTGTTTTATCATTGCAAGGCATGTTTCAAGCCTTTAAAGACAGGAAACCAGAGCTGTAGGTTAAGAGCACTGTCCAAGGTCACACAACTGAACTTCAGTTCTCTGCCCACTTAGGACACACCACGACCTTCTTCTTCTGTCTGTAATAGGTTAGGCAGACAGGGCAAATGGCCTCTGTTCATGCTGTCTTATTATGGGATATTGAACTCCAGGCTCAATCTCAGTGGTTAGAATCCAGGGCCAATAAAGTCATGAATCTGGTCTGTGTTGAAGACCTGTGTTGAATCCAGGCCTTTTTGATTACTAGCTTTATGATCTTGGGTAAATTACTTAATCATTCTGATATCTATAAAATGAGATAATGATGCCACCCCACAAGTGTGCAATTACTGATGTAAAGTATCTGTCATGATCCCAAAAGGAAACATAGGCTTCCCCAAAGTGGGTACCCAGGGAAAGTTTAATAAGGATGTGAACAGGATTAAGAGAAACCAGTAGGGTAGGGTGCAGTATCACTAGGCTAACAATAGTAGGGAGTCCTTACCAGCCCTAGACCCAGATAAGGGAAGAGAGTAGCTATGAGAGAGGGCTGCCCTTCAAGAACTGAAGCCCTTGATTGAGTGACAAGGTCAAGCAAGGCATGGAGACCTGGCAGGGAGGAACCTAGAAGAACATATGCCCCAACCTCCTCCTGGCCTCTGAGTTCCTGCTTTTGTTCCCCATTGACTAAACCCAATTTGAAGCAGAAAGAATAGGAGCCCATGGCGCGATCCATACAGAGCAGACCATGGAAGGAAAAAGGGGAAATGGAGGGACAAAGGGAAGAAAGCCAACCACAAGCAACTCCTTGCACAGTTACCACTATAGGGTGAAGAGTAGAGGAACTCCATTAATTGTGAACCAACTACATACTCCAGCAAAGATAAAATTCCTGGGGTCTCTATAGGGATTCCTGGCAAAACAGTACTCCAGACAGCTAACTAGGTCCTCACTCCATCACCCTGGTCTCCAACGCAGCCACAATCCTTCCTGGCTCTCTAAAGAGCTAACTGCCCATGCTAGAATCATTTCTCTACAATTGGATCTTGACGATTCATTAAAATAACTCCATTGGGACAATGAGCTGAATGGGGCCAGCCCTGTCTCTGCCTCCGGAGGCCGTGGTCTGTTACTGTCTGAACCATCCCGCTGGCAGGTTTGTTTGCACACCCGAAAATGTATTGGCCACTTAAATCTGTTATGAATTACCAGCCTGGAAATAAATATCGTATCTGGGTCCCCAGTAAGTAACAGATGCATGAGTGCAGAGTGAGATAAATGCGTTTTGGATGCAAACCTCTTTCCCATTGCTCACAGACAGATGGAGGCAGGCCCAGTGCTGGTTTGCAGTCAATCTGCGTGCTGTGTAGGTGGGACTTAAATGAACTCAAAGTTCTTTTAAGGTTAGGAAGTTTTCTGTACTCGCTCTTGGCGAATCCCCAGAGGAGCCCCAATTGAGCAGTACGTTTCCTTTTATCTCCTTTGCTGAGGAGTCTCGTGGTTAGAATGTTTTCTCTTTGGGGACTGCGTGGGTTTTTGGAAGCCAAGGAGGGTCTCTTTACTCAGATGCAGCGTGGGAACAGGCACACAGCATGCGTACATTCAGTCAATATGAATTTTTCAAGGCCAATGGCCCAGGCTGACTTGTAGGTGCTGGGGACATGGCCATGAGCAAGCCAGCCCTGGCTTCATGGAGCTCCCATTCAACTGGGGGAGCATGTAAATGAAGAAAGAATAGTGTGCTATTTGGTGATAGGTTATCTAACGAAAAGTAAGCCAGAGAAAGTGGAAAGAAGCTGATGGGGTGGTCAGAGATGAACTCTCCACAGACGTGATTGACAACTGAGCAGAAGCTTGGATGGAGCGAGAGAGCAAGCCACTCAGGTACCTGGGGGCAGACATAGCAGGCACGGGGAATGGCCAGTGCTAAGGCCTCTGGATGGACATGTGATCCCTATCTCTGAAGAAGAGCAAGAGCCAGTGGATGATGAAAGAATGGCAGAGAAACTGGGAACATCACTGAAAGGATGAAATAGAAATGACAAGAGGTGTCAAGATGCCCAAACTAGGTTTAAGGAGCCAATCAACCACCACCTCCTCTGAGGGGACCCTCCTTGGCTGTTCAATTCCCATGGGTACTCCACAGAGTCCCCACATCTTCCCATTAGTAGCCTTTACCCCAGTCTGTTGATGTCTATAAGTTGCTCAAAAGCAAAGTCCACATTCATCGGGTCCACTTTTGTATTTCCAGTGCCTTGTACATAGTAGTAGGTGCTTAATACCTGTTGATTGACAGTGAATAACTGTGCAAACAAATGAATTCACAAAATAGAGAATCCAAGCCATCTAACTCCACAACTAAAATGTGAATCTCTTGCTCAAAATGTTATCTCACTGAATTTCAAGCACATTAGAATCTTCCAAATCACAGCTTCCTCCAGGGTCTCTTTTTCTTCCAGCCTGAGCATTAAGAGGATGCTCCAACTTCAGCTCAAAAACATTCATACATGTATTTCACCAACCAGACTGCTGAAAACTGCACCCAGCTCTGGGTGGCATGTCCCATGTCCCAGGAGGAGAAAGGTACAAAAAAATTTACTGCAGCACATGGAATTGCATTCACTGAGCATATACAAAGCCCTACTGGGCCACTCAGGAGGAATGAGTCAGCTCTGTATCCCAGAGGAGAGCATATTTCAAGAGCAGCTTGGTGAGGCTGAAGCACAGGGTGCATGGGGTTGTAGGAGTGGACAAAGAGGGACAACTGGAGGTGAGGCTGGAGATGAAAATGGAGACAGATGACTAGTCCGAAGGTAAGGCATTTGGCATTACCATGCAGACAATAGGGAGCTACTGCAGGCTTATAAGCAGGGAAATAACACACTCAGTGTGCAAGAGGAAGCTCATGGGGTTAGGAAGCAGCAAGGCTACAGAGTGAAACTGCAGGCAGGGAAGCCAGCTAGTGGTTGGTGCTGTGGCCTCAGCCAGGGAGGATGAGGGCTGTGGGAATGAGTGATGGGAATGGCAGAAGAGGGCAGACTTGAGAAACTGCATCTTTCCAGGATCTAGGGGACTATTTTCTATTCCCAAAGCTACTCAAGACAACCCTTGGGTTTAATTCTTTCTTTTAGCCTGAGCAGCCCTGTCCACTTGACTTGGAGGAAGGGATAGGTCTTCCTACCCCTTGTGTCACAGGGAAGGGCTCAGTTATTACATTAACACAAAGAAGGTCTCATCATCCCAGTGTCCCCTGAGAGGCCTGCATACACTTTTAGTCTTGATAGGCACTCAGTAAATAAATATTTGCCAAATAAACAATAAAATAACAATAGCAAAGACATATATGTTAAATCTTAGAATAGTGCCTGGCACATAGTAACTGTTATATATCAACTCATTTAATCTGGTCAACAACACTATGAGGTAAATACCATTATCCCCATTAATTTTTTAATTTTATAGATTTAGAGAGCACAAGTGCAGTTTTGTTACTGTATGTATTGCACAGTGGTGAAGTATAGGCTTTTAGTGTAACCATCACCTGAATAGTATACATTGCACCTATTAAATTATTTCTCATCCCTCTCACCACCCTCCTACCCTGCCAACCTTCTGAGTCACCAATGTCTACGATTCCACACTTTACATCCATATGTACACATTATTTAGCTCCCACTGTAAGTGAAAACATGCGGTATTTGACTTTCTGTTTCTGGGAGTTTTTTGCTTAAGATAATGGCCTCCAGGCCCATCCATGTATCCATGTTGCTGCAAAAGTCATGATTTCATTATTTTTTATGGCTTAGTAGTATTCCATGGTACACATATATATGTATATACACACACCATGGAATACTACATCTATATATATATATCTCTTCATATATATCCATATATATATGGAATACTATATATATATATATATATAAAAAATTTCTTTATTCAGTCATCCATTGAGATGGACACATAGGTTGATTTCATATCTTTGTTATTGTGAATTTTAAAACTGAGGCACAATGAGACTAAGTAGCTTGCCCTAGACCACACACCCTAGAAGGGACAGAGCCAGCGTTCAAACCCAGGCAGCTGAGTTCCGGAGTCCATGGTACGCATAACCACCATGCTGTGTTGCCTGCCTAGTTGGTTTGTCAACAGCTTGTTTATTGGGTATTTGCTCTGAGTCTCACATTGTGCTGAGCTCTGTGACAAAAAAAATTTTAAGCTTAGTAGGGAGTGTTTGTCCTTAAGAAACTGACAACCTCACTAAGTACATAGGAGTCCTCAAGCACAGAGTTTTAGTAGGGCTGTTGATTGCTCTGCGGTTAATCCAACAGTTCTGGTCATGACATTGCCCCTGGATTGGTGCCAACCTCCAACTCTAGAGCAGGCCCAGCAATTGGAAGGTGCCTGCAAAATCATTATCGAGCAAGTGAAACACAAAGGTGGAGAAATGTACAAGGGACGCAGAAACTTGTCTTTGTATCAGAAAGTGGGTCTAGAACTTTAGAGATGCCACATCTGTGGCACCATAAACCATACAGATGGCAGTTCTATTTCCTGAAGAAAGTGGCCTCGAGGCAGTTCATCTACCTCAACAGGGCAAAAAGACTGGTCAGCAACATCTAAGACAAAGACAGATGTTCATCAAACTTTAGGACTTATTTTCTCTGGACATGGTTAACCATAAAAGCTAAGTGGATTTCAGGACTGTCAACAATCTCCCAATTGATAGGCTCTAAAATTGGCATCTGTGTTCTTTAAAAATTTTATTCATCTATTCATTTATTCACTCATGTATTTATTTAACAAATACTAATTGCATTCAGTGTTCTGCACTAAATGCAGGTCTGTCTCCAAAACTTAAACTTCTACTCAATATGACTGTAACTGGAAAGAGGACACTCCATGTATGCCATGTCCAGGCAAAAGAGGGGTCACCTTCAACCTCTTGTCCAATGATGAAGGTTATGGGGCAGCAGGGTACTCCCCAACCAGAGTACAGCAGGGCCTACTGTAGTGCTCTGAAATGTACAGAGAAATTAGAAACTGGTCTTTGTATTTGCAGGTATCTTTATGGGTCTCCCAGGTCAGCCTTCCATAAGGTCTTCTCCGTACCTGGGACTTCAATTCCAAGCCCAGGAATGTTGGCATAGAGAAGCAATGTGGGATGCTTCTCAATTTTCTTTTTCTAATTGTTACTAATGGAAGAAGTCAACAATTGAATTGTTTTCTTCCTTTTTCTTCTCTGGGTGTCCCATAGGGTCTTGTACAGTGTTCTTCATATAATCATGGCTCAAGAAAGACTTTTTGGTGGTTGATGCTCCCCATAAACCTGGAAACTCCTTCTCTACCTGTTTTTGGGTGCATAAGGATAAGCAATGCCCATCCAATCTTTGCTCCCAGTGCCACTGGCTCCAAGGCAAGCCTATGTAGGCACCTCACAAGTAACTATAAAAATAGCTAGCATTTAGTGACTTACTACACACTTTATGTGCAATATCTCATTTAACCTTTGCCACTTCTCTGGGAATAACTGATGCTGTTCTCATTTTGCCCATGAGAAAATCAAGACTTGGAGAGGATGTTTATTAATATTGTGCTGTTTGCAAGCTTTGACAACAGACTCTTCACAGTGCTTTTCTCCTGTTATCCAGGGATACCATCGACCTCGGCACTACATTGCGACTCAAGGTAAGTGCCCTCCCTCCACCTAGTGCCTCAGAGAGGCTTCAGGGGTCCCAGGGGAAAGGGCTCTCTTAACTGCAAGGCTTGTCCTCTCCTCCTATATCTGTTACTCCAACCCTCCTTTTTCACTAAACAGCCCTGGAGGAGAGGAATGAGTTTCCACCAGCAAAGAAGCCACGGAGGGGTAGGCTGAAGACTCTCCAGAGGTCCTTGAGATTGTTCATTTGTTTATTTGGGAAGGAAAATGGTGGCAAGTTTCACTATAGGAAAAAGGCCCATGAGTGACAGAGCAAGGAGCTTCACTTGGTCAGGAGGGAGAGGCCCAAGCAGGTGCCATCAACACCTGCCAGGGCCGGAGCTGATGGTGCCTTATCTCCACGATAGGTGCATGCCCATAACAGATATGCAGCTGGCTGCCCTAGAAAGTAACTTGGCAGTGCGTTTTCAGAAGGCTTAAAAATGATCGTACCTTTCAAACCCTTCTGGAAAAAAATCCTGCAGATAATTATATATATAGACAATGACGCATATAAGAACATTATTCACGGTGTTATCTATAATAGGAATAAAAAAGCGAAAAATCTTAAATGCCCAACAATTGGTACGTTGGTTACATAAAGTGTGTTACCGCCATATTATAGAAAACTTCGCAGCTATTAAAACTGTTACGCTTGGTAAGAATTTTTAAGGGCATCAGAAAATGCATATAATAGGTCTGATGCTTATTACAGTAAATACACACATATACATATAAATATAGAAAAATGGTATTCAAACTTTTATATCAAACACATGTATTACTTTTGTAATTTTAAAAATGATGAAGGCCCAGGACATTGAAAGAGTAATTTCCAAGGAAATTGCTTTGGACTGTCAGAGCCTATTTTCTGCTCCTGGTCTTTTTTTTTTTTTTTTTTTTTTTTTTTTCCTTCCTTTCTGTTGAGGCCCTAGAGGAATGCCTCCAGCATTTGTCAAGCACAAAATCAGGCATCTCCTGTTTTTGTTCTCAGCGTCTGGCACCCTGCAGCTCTCTCCACCCCCCACCCCAGTTGCCTTCCTGTCTCTCATGGAGGTTCTGGAGACCAATTTTCGAAAACTCCCTTAAGCCATAATACAGTCCAGATAAGGTGATAGGTGGAGTTGGTAGAAAGGGTCTGAGCAGGAGGAGGACAGAAGGGAGAGGAGAGGCTGCCAACATTTCCAGTAGATGCTGCAGATTGTGAGAGCTTGGAATGAGCCTTTCCCCATCCATACCCTAATCTGTCCCCATCAGGCTCACATGTCTCAGGCCCGTGTCTCAGATACTTGGTGTCTTAACAAGGATCACCTGGCCTCACTCCTGCTCACCAGTGTGGAGACTTGACCAACCGGGGGGACAAACCTTCTCAGCTGCTGCTTTGCACTTGCATTCTCTAACCTCACTGTCTTCTCTGTTGGCAGGTCCGATGCAGGAGACTGTAAAGGACTTTTGGAGAATGATCTGGCAGGAGAACTCCGCCAGCATCGTCATGGTCACAAACCTGGTGGAAGTGGGCAGGGTAAGCCTCTCCTGCACTCGCCTGGGCAGAGGATGCTGGAGATGCACTCTCGAACATCTCTTTGTTCCATGCATCGTGCTAAGTGCCTCCTAGTCAGTATTTCACCCTCACGGCAACCTACAAGGGAGGTGTCATCACTCCTATTCCACATTCAAGCAATGTCCTTTCCCTTCAAATCCCCTTCATCCCTTTTTACACCCTCACTCTCCGTTGATGATGTCATCTCATATATTTTGAGGAAATTAAAACCATCAGTCGTTCACTCCCTCATTGTCACACCACAATCCTACTTGTATCTACAACTGTCCTCTTGTTCTTCTCCTCTGCTGTCAGATTTGACTATAAGAAATGGCTGTTTTTGTTGACCCAAATGGTCGAATGTCAACTGTTTCCTATGGCTCAGCCTAACACAACAGAAGCCATGTCTCTGCCCTTCCAAAGGCAAGCATAGTGCCTGGATCACAGATTCTACTCAATAATTTTTTTCATTTTTCCCTTTCTCACTTGCAAAATAAGTCTCTTTCTCATTGCCAAATTGTTCCCCTTAGCATACAAACATGCCCAGTACCTTCCATCTTAAAAAGAAAGGAAAAGGTAAATAAAAAGTATTTTCTTGTTCCCTCTTTTCTGCCAAACTTTAAAGACTCACAGGGTGGCTCTGTTTCTTCACTCATGTTCTCTTCTACCCACCGCAGCGTAGCTCCTCCCTCCATCCCACCAATAGTGATATTGTCAATATCACTCGCACCCTTCATGTCGACAAATCCAGTCTCCACTTCTCTCTTCTCATCTTACTCAATCTCAGCAGCATCCAACCCTTTGCTACCCGCTCTTCTTCCCCTGACCTCTAAATCTTGATGTTCTTCAGGGCTCAGATCTTGGTCTCCTGCTCTGCTCCATCTCAACTCTCTCTGAAGTGGTCCTCAACTACTCCTGGGGCTTAGAAATGGGACTGCTATTCCCAGCTTGCTTTTGCCTACTTAGTTAACTCTGGCATGTGGGTGGGCTGCTGAGTTTAAAGGCAAGGTGTACAAACACGAGAATTAAAAGGGCTCTCTACACATCATATGAACTAACTAAAATGTGGGCAGGTAAGTTTTTGTTTGGGTAAGAAACAGATAATTCATAAAGATGAATTCTGGCCTCTGCGACGATGGGAAGGAGACAATCTGGGCTTTCGTAATCCAATAAAGGGGTATGGACATCTCAGGGCCTAATGGGAATTTAGGACCAGGTGAGACTTTACCCATGAGTCCACCCTTATCTAGTCCATCACTCAATTTTACAGATGAGGAAACAGACCTAAAGGGGTAGAGTACCTACCCTGACGTCACTCAGCCAAAACCTAGGCACAAAATCTGACGCTGGACTCTGATTCCAGTGCTTGTGGTCACTCCACTCAGACTGTTCCCCAGGGACCCAGGCCCAGGGTGCAGCTACTGTGGACATAAAGGCCAGCCCAGGATTCAGGGATTCAGAGGCAAATTCCAGCCTGTTCTACAATATATCCCCCATTGGAAACAGATTCCCTTGATGGATAGACCATAAATCTAAATTGGATTTGGGGAGGAAAGCAGTCTCTTAGATAAGCTCCTGCTAGTGCCAAACACTGTGCCAGGTGCTTATTGTGCATTACCGAAACCTACAACCATCATAGGAGCCCATGTTCCTAGTTATTATTCAAGTGCCCTGGGTTTGCATCCTGGCCCCATCCCTTACCAACAGTTGACCTTGGGCAATTTTCTTAGCTTTCCTATGCTTCCTCGTCTGCAAAATGGGGATGATAATATCTACTTCATAAAGTTGTGTTGATAAGTCATTAGAATTAATACATGTAAAGTATTCGCAGAACACTTTGTGAGCCGTGGTAGACAGAGTACACAGTCAGTAAATGTTAGCTATCATTATTGATAGGAAGCTGAGGCTCAGAGAGGTTTCAGCACTTTCTTGGGCCACCCAGATACTGAGTGTTAGGACCAAACAATGAATCCATTTGCCCCCATGCTCTGTTGCACTATACCAGTGTTTCCCTAAGTGGGTTCCATGGGATGCTAGTCTGCAGGATGATTAGTGAGAAGAGGGTTCCACGGTTAAATACGTTTGGGAAATGCTGCGTCCTCTGTGCCCCTTTTGGAGAGTCGCAAAACACAAAACACATTAGCACTAGCATGAGAAAGAAGCTGAATAGTCCTGTAGCAAAGCTGCCTATTTAACTGTGTAATACAGCATTTCCCAAACTCATTTGACCACAAAACCTTTTTTTGTTTGTTTTTTGTTTCTTGTTTTTTACCTAACACCTATTAGCACCCAGCGGAACACACTGTGGGAAATGCCACTCTAGGCCGTGCGGCGTCCCCCGGAATGGTAATCATGCTTTTGTTCTTTTAAGGGGAAAACCATGATCTCTTTTTCATCCATGAGTGCGACTTAAACAGTCGACTGGGGAATGGCTTGCTCGCGTCCAGGGTCAGAGAGGAACTGCGCATCTTCCCTTGGAGTCCAGCAGCTACCATCCTTTTCCCAACCAAGAGCCTTTCTCCTTCCAGACCCCCAACTGCCACCTCTTAATGATGTCCCCCTCCCAACCACTTCTGCTTCCACCTCCTATTTCCCACCTTTTATTCTCATCTTTGCTCAGCTGATGATACTCAGCTGCTCCACCCTGACAGAGCAGAAAGGGGACTCAGTCAGTCCCCAAACTGGCCACATGGCCTTGGACAAGTCACCAAACCTCTGAACTTCAGTATTATTTTCATCTGTAAAGTGGGGACAATAACACCCACCTATCTCACCTTGTTCTATTTGATGACATAGTGTGATAATGCATTGGAAAGTTACAAGGAGCTTTGCAAAAGAAGGTACTACAATTATTTCTAATGGCTCCAGTGCCTCTGGGAGTGAGCTTGGCCCTGTGCAGCTTGCTGATCCCTGGCCAGCTGTGAACCCTGTGGACTGAAATGCCACCAAAGTCACCCTTGGGTTTATTTGGATGGGACGACCAGATGAGACAGCTGCTCACACTCAGCCATGTGCTTATGCATCCTTGTCTCTGTTCTGTCTCTGTCTCTGTCTCTCACTTGGCCACAGGTGAAATGTGTGCGATACTGGCCAGATGACACGGAGGTCTACGGAGACATTAAAGTCACCCTGATTGAAACAGAGCCCCTGGCAGAATACGTCATACGCACCTTCACAGTCCAGAAGGTAAGCTTCTTGGAGGCTGTGGGCAGCCGGTCCACCATGAGAGCCAGCTTGTTTGTTCATCCAGAACATGTGGTAACTGAGGGTCTGCTCTACGTCCAGCCCCATACTTGGCACCAGCAACAGATCAGCAATCAGGGCAGACATGGGTCCTGCTACCAGGGATCCCACATCTAGTAGGTGGGGCAAACTGAATTCAATAAGCAAATCAATGAAATAACAACACATTGTGATAAAAGCCACACAGGAATATGCAAAGGATGGAGATAGAAATCCACAGTAGGATGGGGTGGTAGGAGAGGGCCTCTTAGCAGAGGAGGCATTTGGGCAGAGAATGAGGGAGGAGGAACCAGTGAAGGGTAGAAAGGAAAGAAGAGCTATCCCAGGCAGAAGGAAAAAACATGCAGTCTGGAGGGGAAAAAGTGATCTCAACCTGTTCAAGGCATGTGGTCTCAACCGGGGGCATTTTGATCCCCCAAGGAATATTTGTAAATGTCTGGCAACATTTTTGGTTGACACAACTTGGGGGAGAAGGGTTAGGATGGTACTGGCACCTAGTGGGTGGAGAGGCCAGAGATGCTTATAAACATTCCACAATGCACAGGACAGCCTCCGACAACAAAGGATTATCCAGCCCAAGGCATCAGTAGTGTCGAGGTTGAGAAATGCTGGTCTGGACATTAAAAGGAGGCCAGGGCTGCACAAGCTTGGTGAGCAAGGATGTGATTGCAAATAAATATATTTATAACATGTTACATAATAATTGCTATTCTATCATTACTATTATATCATAATGATAGCTAACACTTACTGAGCACTTACTGGACCAGGTACTTTTCTAAATGCTTTGCGTAGAGTAACTCAGTTAATCCTCCCAATAACCCTATAAGGTAAGCACTATTATTATCCCCATTTTACATATGAAGAAACTGAGACACAGAGAGTTTAAATCAGTCATCCAAAGTTGCCCAGCTGCAAGGTTGGTACAACCAGGATTCACACCTTGGCTCCTGTAACACATTTCTCTTTCCATTACACCATAGGTTCCATTTCTCTAAAACCAATCACTTTAATAGACAATGTGGCCACAGGCCTAAGGATGCAAAAGCACTGGGGACTTACATGCTTTGAGAGCTGTGCCCTTGAGGCTTTGACAAGTCCTTGCAAGGGCCAAAGCAGGCTGCTCTGCAGACTAGAGCCCGGCATGCACACAGTACTGTTCCAGCATACAGAGTGGCCTAGGACATACTGTTTGCCCCGGAAGCTCCCCCTCCAACCCCCAGGCTCCTAAAGTCTCAGGGTCTTTTTCATCTGAATCTGCAGTCTCGGGTGAAAAAGTCAGGAAGCCTGTGAACTCCCTCCACTAAGAGGAAGGAAACCATCGGTACTTCAATGTTGCCTTAGGTCAGGTTTTTTAGAAGCAGAGCCTGAGGCAAGGATTCAGAAACATGAGGTATATCAGGGGAGCTCTCCCAGGAGAAATTCCTAAGAGAGAGTGGGAAGCAGGAGAGGGAAGGAAAGACACCAACCAAGGACAGAGGCTCCAGTGAAGTCTAGCCTAGAGCTGATCCACAGGGAACCTCCAAGGATAAACTATGCCACAGAGTGAGTTGTCCCCCTTAAGGCGTGGAAGCCAGACTTCTGTGCTCCCACGTCAGTCAGTCTGCTGATCGTGGACCATCCACTGAGGGGTAACCTCCAGGGTGGGCCAGCCCCTGTCAGCTGAGGGCGTGTCTCCAGAGAAGGGGACAATTGAAAGGCAGTAGCAACCAACAGTCCCTGCAGCTCAGGCCTGGAAGCACAGGCCCAAGGAAGAGGACCCAGGGGTACCAGTCTCATCTGCCACATCTGTGTTGAATGCCCGAGGATGGGATGAGTGACTGGCGACACGGGCAGGGAGGCCTTGAGGAATTGCAGCTAGCAAACCATGTTGAGGCATTAAGGTCCTTTCTCGTGTTACATTTTCTTTGTCTTTTAAACAACCACGAGGGAAGATATTACTCACAGGGAGATGCCCTTAAAAGACCCCAAGGGCCTCTGAGGATTAACTGGGCTTAGCCAGCCTCTCCACAGCATGCAGGCAGGCACTCAGCAAACATTACCTGCGATTTTAGCTCAAAATCGGTTCCTGAGCTGGGAACCTGGAAATAATAAACAGGGAGTGCTGTCTGCCCTTGAAGACAGCACAGACGCATCGGGGAGAGAGGATCCTTGATAAATCATCACAGCACAGGTGGGAAGAGCTCGAAGGAAGGCTTCTTGGGACTGAATTGATTTGGAGGATGGCGTGAAAAAAGTCCAAGTATTCTTGAAGCTTTCTCCTCTCTCACTTCAGCTCATTCATCACTGCCTTCATCTGGGCATCTGATTTCTCCCTCCTAACAGGACTGTCTGCCTCTAGTCCTGCCCCTATGTTAGTTTGGGTTTCCCAGAAGCAGAGCCAGAAGCAGCAGTCGTTTGGGTGCCCTGGCTCATGTGTTTAGGGAGAGTTTGCAGGGGGAAGGCAGTGAGAGAGCCAGGATGGGGTGGGGAAAGGAGCTGAGTGAGGAAGTGGCCTCAGCAGAGACTTGCTTCCACCTAACCCCATGGGAGCCCTGGAACATGAATGGTACTGCACACTTGGTCCAACCTTGAGGCAAAGGGGCCTCAGGTGCCCCCCATAAGGGTAAAAAAAATTTCTGTTTTTCCCAGAACATTACTGGTTTTAGCACTGAAAGTCCCACGTACCGGGCAACCCGTCAGTCCTGGGCAGACTGAGCAAGTGGCAAGCCAGTTGGTCACTCTCCCTCTACTATCAGTCAGTCACTGAAGGATGCTGCCCCACCCAGCCACACCCCAGGGGAGGGGGGTTCCTGTTCAGCTGAGAACAGTTCTCTTCAGAAGAGGGTAACTGTGAGCTGTGTGCAGCCACGACTCAGAGCAGGTGGCAATGAGTCCACTGGCCCAGTGATGGGGATCTGAGTGGGCACCAATAGTGCCCTCTCTGCAACCCCCGATCCACCCACCTGAATCCATCCTTCATGTAGCAGGATGCAGCCTCCTAAAATGCAAGTCTAATGATGCACTTCCTCTTGTGTGGAACCGTCTGTGTAATCTCCCTGTAGCTTCCCAGTGCCTTTGAGATAAAGTCCAAAGGCCTTAATGTAGATTCAAGGCCTTCTGGGATCCAGCTCTCATCTATTCTCCTGCACCCCCAGGCCTGTGGTCTCCCATGGCCTGACTTCCACTTGCCTCTAGCATTGCCCTGGGTTGCTAGTGATTCTCTGCACACACCATGCTAAGCCCTGTCCCCAGGCCTGTGCCCATGCTGTCCCCCTGCCTTGGATTCCTTCCTCTTCTCCCGTCAACTGGGTAATACTCACACATCACTATATTAGAATGATTAAGAGTGCAGACTGTGGAGACAGACAGCCAGGGTTCACATGGTCCCTTTACAACTTGTGAGTTGTACTGTGACCTTGGGTGTGTCACTTAACCTTGTTTAGCCTCAGTTTCCTGATCCATCAAATGGAGATAAAAATATAGGGATTTATATCAGGATTAAGTAAGTTAGCATGTTGAAGTGTTCAGAAGAGTGACTGGCACACAGTAAATGCTTAGTTAATGTTTGTTAGTTATTATTTTCACTATTAGTCTGTTTCAAGATGGAGGTCAAGCATCACCTCCTCCAGAAAGCCTTCTGGGATTTCTCTTCTCCTCAGATCAGGTTAGCAGGCACTCCTTTATCCACTTCAATAGAATTACCCACTTGGGCATCTGCCTCCCCGACAAGGCCATGAGCTGTTCCAGGGATAGGAGCTGTGGCTTTTATTCTCACCTTCCTAGTACCTAGCACAAGGCTGGGAAGGCTGGGCACAGGTCACACTTGGTAAATGATTTTTCAATGAAGGAATGAATGAATAATCAAACAGACTCTTCCTATTCAGTGTTCTCTGGGTATCTGCAGGAGATTGCTAAGTAGAAAAATAGTAGGGAACAGGAACTGTCTAAGCGAAGGCTTAGAAGTGTGACCTGGCCATGGAATGGTCAGAAAACCACTACTGGGCCCGGAGTGTGTCTCTGTGAGGGGTGGAGGGGTGTGAAAGGGGAGGGGAACCGCTCAGAGCTCTAGGCCCCACTCTGTCTCCATCAGATCAGAGAAGCTCTGCCTTTGTTTGTTTCGCATCTTATGTAATCATTCTAAGTAAGAATCTACTTAATAAAGAAGTCAGTACTAAGTTATATAAACTTTGAAAGCCACACAGACTATCACAGCCAAGGCTGGAACACTACAGAATATCAGACCTCAATCACTGAACGCCTCAGATTCCACTGGAAACAATTTGGACTGACTTGGTCCTTAAGGCCAACATTTCTTTAAATCCGTACTCAATACACCTCCTATGAAACATTTGTCAAAGACGATCCCCTAGGCAAACAAAAGAAGGTCTCCTAGGGTGCTCTGTGGCCCTCTTGGGCATTCAGAGTGTGTATGAGCACACTCAAGACTCTGAGAAATCCTGCAATAAAGCCATCGGTTTCGTTTTAACAATCCCATATTTCCCAAATGTAACTGATTACAGAATCGCTCTATCCAGTAACACCTATTAACAAACACTGTGAGGGCCCTGTCCCTGCGGGAGGTTCCTCAGTGCAGCAGCTATGGCTCCACGTGTTGCTGGGCTGGGTATGCGAGGGCAGCAGCTGGAAGAACAGAGGCCCGTTCTTTCCTCAGAAAGGCTACCATGAGATCCGGGAGCTCCGCCTCTTCCACTTCACCAGCTGGCCTGACCACGGCGTTCCCTGCTATGCCACTGGCCTTCTGGGCTTCGTCCGCCAGGTCAAGTTCCTCAACCCCCCGGAAGCTGGGCCCATAGTGGTCCACTGCAGGTAAGTCAAAGGTCCTTCACCTTGGGAGGCCGAGGCGGGCAGATCACGAGGTCAGGAGTTCGAGACCAGCCTGGCCAACGTGGTGAAACCTCGTCTCTACTAAAGAAAGATACAAAAACTTAGCTGGTCATGGTGGCATACATCTGTAATCCCAGCTACCTGGGAGGCTGAGGCAGAGGAATCGCTTGAACCCAGGAGCGGGAGGTTGCAGTGAGCCAAGATCGCGCCACTGCACTCCAGCCTGGGTGACAGAGCGAGACTCTGTCTCAAAAAAAAAAAAAAAGAAAAAGTCCTCCACCTACCCTAGTGTGCCTCTGCAGCTCGGCTTTCTTGGGAGGGACATGTTATCTTTTCTAGTGGCTTTACTCTTAGAGACTCCTCTTCCTGTGTCCCCCCCATGCCCAGTGCTTTCTGATGATACTTGGTCACAAGGTCAGCTAACAAAAGGAATAGCAGTAGTGGCCATTGTTACTGTTGTTGCCTGAAAACAGTGAAGAAGTCAGTCACCAGGGAGGCAGGCTGAACACTGGCAGCATCTGCTGGGTCTGTCACGTGCATTTTACCCACATTATTTACTTCTCGTCCAGTCTGGAGAGGTGGGCATTATTAACATTCCCATTTTACAGATACAAAAACTCAAGTGCTGAGGAGGTAAACACAGAGTGGGGATATTTCACCTGCTTTTCTCCAGACACTTGCCCTCAGCTCCTTGACATGGCAGCAGGGCGCCTTGGTGGAAGCATGCTTCTTTTCATTTCTATATTATTTTCAAGATCACTTGCCAGCCTGCAGGGTCCCTCATAGAGAGAAATGGACAGCACCAGGTTTTACCTTATTATGAAGAAGAGATATTTTCAGCTCTGACCTAGAAAGTCACATTGAGAATGAGTGGCATGTCTTTGAATCCTCCCAAATGGAGATGAAGTATCCTGTCAAGGGTGTCCAGAATTGGAGGAGGATGGCCTTCCTGACCTGAAGGCTGGCCAGCTGGCATCCCCCTCCTTCCCAACGCCTCTCTCTTCCAATATGACCTTGGGGCAGCCCATCTTTTCAGACCCTGGATGCTTGAGTTATCACATCCCTGCCCTGGCAGTTTGTGTCAGTCAAGAGACCATGGAAGACTCCATAAGCTGTGGATGTCTCAGAGCCAGCCCCGTCCTCATACAGCATCCATTTATTTATCTTCCCAGCAATAGTAGCTACACAACCCCATTTCACAGATAAGGCAAGTGAGGATGAGGAGGTAATCCTGGACTCTCTAAATGTTTTGCATGTATTTTCTGCTTTGCTTTATATCTCATAGCAATCAAAGGGCAATGGATCATTAATGCCCCCCATCTCTATATCCCAAAGAGCACCCAGATCAAGGGTTAGGGAGAAAGAAAGAAAGACAATGGCAAATGTTTGTTTATCATCAGGACTTCGGCGCATGATGGCTCTACGCCGGTATGTGTCTCCTTAGCAGGTCATCTTAATGCATCTGAGCAGAGTGGTACCCACTCCTGGGGCCATTCTGAAAATTATTACCAAATGGGTTGGCTAAGTGCCTAAGAGAGAATGCCTGACATATAGTAAGCACTCTAATATATCATTATTCTCTGCCTCCTCTTAATGTTTTCTTTCTCCCCCTCCCCAGATTATTTATTAATCCTTCAGGACAGGAACAATGTTTGTTTGTTTTCATATTCCCACTCCTAATACCAGCATCTACTGCATCTTAGATTTTCAATAAATATTTGTTGAATATAATAGTAATAATTTCTCAATAAAAAATGGCTATGTATCCAGGCACAAAGCAATTTGTATGCATTATGCATTTTAATTGTAATTTCATCCAATTTATACATATTGTGCTATTAATGCTGTGAGGTGGATCTATTAATTATTATCAACATCATTTTATAGATGAGTGAGTATTTTAATTATTATCAACATCATTTTATAGATGAGTATTGAAACCCAGAGAGGTTAAGTCATTTGCCCGAGGTCATGCAGCTAATAAGTAATAGAGCCAGGATTTAATCCTAGGGGGTCTTTTCAAATATCCTGTGTTCAATTACTATGTGATGCTGAAATGAAATAAACACAGCTTTGTCCTCACAAGGACCCTGCAGGGAGGTATGTTAAAAGCATCAGAAATCTGAAGCTAACAAACAAACGGACACTAGGCAACTTGGTCACCGCTGATTGATTGATAGTTGTTCCAAAATTTGGAACCAAATTGGGCTGATTCTTTATACTAAAGCATGGTGAATATGAACATTGAAGAAAAAAACACGAGTGACCCCCCCTATACTCCCTCCCAGACACAGAGGCCAAGTCTCTTGAGTCCCCGCATCTGGATTTTGGGGAGTAGGTTCTGAAGCAAACTTAAGTCAGACTTCATTCAAACCATGAAAGTTTCTCATGAATGAAGACTCTGCTTCCAATGGGTGTACTTTCCAAATTGTTGTAGGTAGTGGTCCGCACTGGCCTGTGCCCCTTGGATTTACCATGAGCCAATATTGCTTTTTTGTCTTGTTCCATCTCTCTTCCTCTTTGTGTGTCTTTTGACATCTACATTGTTAGACAAAGACACTTGTTTCCATGAGAAAGGCAAGATGTGAAAACGCAGCGGAAGGGGGCCTCCTTGACAGGCTGCCCGGCCTTCCCATCCAAAACTGCACATGTGTAAGGCACATGTCTTACGTGCCTCTTGGTCAGCACTGATGTTTCAGAGCCCAGCACTGATCTAGAAAGGGCTGGCCAAGGCCCATAGAGTCTCGTTGAGTTCCCCTACCATTTTATACTTGGTCTGAGATTCTCCTAAAGAAGCCACTAGTGACCAGAAATCAAGTAAGTATGTATCAAGAAACTTGATCCCTGACAAGGGTCTCCGGACGGTCAGCTGCTCCAGTTTCATGACACTCTTGCTTCACGATCCTGCGAAAACAGCTGCAGGTGGAGCCAGATGCCGGCCTTTGAACGTGGTGCTCCACCAACCACTCTCTGTCTTGGGGACAGCTCAGAGGACTCTCGTTTCTGTCCTGTCATTCATCTCCCCTCTGTTCTCTCTCCTCTCCTTCTTTGCTTCCATCCGTCAACCCATTTGCTGAAGAAGAAAAAAGAAGAGAAAAGAAGGGTAGAAAATAGGAAAGACATATCTATGAGGCAGCTCCAGCATGCCAGGAACCATGCTAGGTGTTTTATGCTATATGGATGTATTATTTTATCCATCAGACAAGGCAATGGCATGTATATGTGTGGTTTGCACATGCATTACAAACTATACATATTAAGAAAGGAAATGTGGGAACACATAATCTAGAGCCTCCCAGCAGGACCCTTGGGGATAGGGCTGAATGCTAGGGGCCTCCCCAGGGCAGGTTCCCCCCATGAAGATCCTTAACACAGACCATACCTCTCTTCCAGTGCTGGGGCTGGGCGGACTGGCTGCTTCATTGCCATTGACACCATGCTTGACATGGCCGAGAATGAAGGGGTGGTGGACATCTTCAACTGCGTGCGTGAGCTCCGGGCCCAAAGGGTCAACCTGGTACAGACAGAGGTGAGTCCTAGGGGGCCAAGACAGTTGGCCACCTGTAGCCCTGACCAAGGAGAAACATGATGATAGAACGGAGAGACACATAGGTAGGGGCATCCTATGGAAAGGACCTGGGTGTGAGAGAAGCAGGAGGGAGTAGACACGTGGCTTACTATGGTGAGACTACTGTAGAAGCTAGGGTGCCCCAGCCAACCCTGGAGGTCTACAGTGCAGGCAGTTCCACCAATGAAGAATGGTGGTGAGTTCTCCATCTCTGAGGCCATCCAAGCAGGGACAGAATGACAAATTTCGGGGATTATTGGAATAGTATTCTTGCCTTGGGTGAAGTGATAGAGAAGGAAAGAGAAGGACTGGCATTTATTCAGTGACCACTACGTGCCAAGCGATGGTTCAGTCACTGCAGGGAATGGTTTAATCAACAAAGTAATTGAGTACTTAAGCTGGGTGCTGGGCATTTCAAGAGATGTAACACACAGCCTCTGCCCTCAAGGGAGAAGCAGACCTTTAGGCAACTCTCTGTGCAGTTGGAGAGCCCAAACCTAAGAGTATTGAAAGGAATTAATCTTTATTGTTGTGTACCTACTGTGAGCCAGGCAGCATACATTCTTTCTAGTCACGGTATTGTTTCTACTCCTCCAAACCAGCTATGGTGTAGCTCCTAGTATTATCTCCAATTTATCAATGAAGAAGAAACTAAGAAATTGTGTCCCTAAGACCTCACATACCAGACTGTGGTAGAACTTCGGTCCATGTGACCCCCAAAGGCCTCTGCTTTTTCGCCAGAACCACACTCTCACTAAGCAGCCTTTTCTGCCTATCCCACTCTGTACCTTGGCTTATCATTCCTGTAACGAGCCCATCTTCTGTTCTAGTGAAGGCTCTGGGTGCCTGGGCGACCAGAGCTGGGACAGATAGGGAACTATGCACATCATCAATCCTGCAAAGGGAAGTGACCCATGGTTTTGGTACAGCCAGCCTCTCTGAATCTGCAGTGAATACCACCATTGATTGGTTTACACACATAGGCTCTGAGCTAACTCACACAGGCCAGTCTTCAGGCTTCTAGCACTAAAGCCAAGAGGGCTGCTTTATCTATTCCTAGGTCCATGCATGCAGAAGCCAGGCTTGCTGGTTGCAGTCAGACATATGGGGAGACATATTCAAATGCAGATGCATCACATAGCATCTGGAAAAGTACTCTTTATAGAGAAACTGACCAAGTTCTGCAGAAAAAGTCACTCAACAAACATTTATCTGGGGCCTAGAAGTAACACCAACTTCTGCCTGGTGGATTAACAGATGGCTTTCCAGAAAGAATGAAACATTAAAGGTATGGAAAAGAGGGAGTGGAGTTTCAGGAGGAGAGTACAGCAGGTACAAAGAATTGAGATAGGAGAAGATATGACACGTTTTGGGAGCAGATCGTGAGACAAAGATTTGCCGGCAAATAATTTGCTTGGAAGGTAATCCCAAGACACAGTGGCTGGTGAATGGGAAAGTGAGGCAGAGCAGGGAAGGAAACAAACAAAGGCTACTTTAACAAGTTGTTAAACACTGTAGACAACTGGAACCCAATTCTGCTGGCGAACTCTGAGACACATGCGTGTCCAAGTGATTCCACCTAAAGGGAGAGATTTCTTAGATTTCTATCCTCAACTCTCCATCTGTCATTGCTTGAGGGTTCCTTTCCACACAGCCCAAGTATCCCCTCTGCCTTCAGCAGACAATCACAGGTGTTTGCAGCAAGCAGCCTTCCTCAGGTAAAGGTGAAAGCTGAGGGGACATGGGCTGGACACCAAGAGCGCCTGCTGACAGCATGTCTAGAAGTTTCTCATTTTATCATGACTATGCTATTACATCTTCTATCAGAAACAAGACCCACCATAGCTCAGGTGATCATTAGGAAACATGGAAATTTGGCCCTTTGGGTTACAGTATAAAAAGTAAGGATCCTGTAATATATTGATAAATCATGTCTATTCTTCATAGCCACAACACTAAATGTGGACAGCTAATTCCCAGGCCACTGTTCTTACCTGGCACCCCATTCCCTCTCTTCTGACTTTGCAGGAGCAATATGTGTTTGTGCACGATGCCATCCTGGAAGCGTGCCTCTGTGGCAACACTGCCATCCCTGTGTGTGAGTTCCGTTCTCTCTACTACAATATCAGCAGGCTGGACCCCCAGACAAACTCCAGCCAAATCAAAGATGAATTTCAGGTATGAGCAAATCCCAGGCTCGGTGACCATCTTAGTCAGTTTGGGTTGTTATAACAAATTTCCATAGATTGGGTGGTTTAAATGACAGACACTTATTCATTACATTTCTGGAGGCTGAGAAGCCCAGCATCAAGCTTCCAGTAAATCCAGTGTCTGGGGAGGGCTCACTTCCTGACTTGCAGATAGCCGTCTTCTCGTTGCATATTCACGTGGTGGAAAGTAGAAGCAGCAAGCTCTCACATTTCTTCTTTTTTTTACTTTTTATAGAGATAGGATCTCACTATGTTGCCCAGGATGGTCTTCAACTCCTGGGCTCAAGGAATCCTCCCACCTTGGTCTCCCAAATTGCTGGGATTACAGGCAGGAGCCACCACACCTGGCCCTACATGTTTCTTCTTATAAGAGCACTAATCCCGTTCATGAGGGTTCTATGCTCATGATCGAAACGTCTTCCAAAGTCCCAACCTCCTAATACCATCACATTGGGGGCTAAGATTACGACATGGATTTTGGGAGGGATGAAAACATTTAGTCCGTAACAGTAACCCAACCAACTTCAGTGGCTATGTGCACATTTGTGGGGTTTTCTTTGGGACAACTGATCTATGCACTTTCAGTGTCTGCTTCTCTAGGAAGCTGCAGAATCTATTCCAGAACACAAAATGCACAGCCATGAGCAACTACACACTCACTCAGGGATTGCTGGTACTTGTCTTTAACTGTGAATATGTTTTTTAACTGAGGTCTTATTCAGTTCTAGTCCAAGTTGTGAATGGAGACAAATTTATACAAACAGGTGTGAATTTCATGCTCCTTCATCCCTGGAGGGACTCAGGTCCTCTCAGTAATTTTTCAGTAGACTCTTACTGCTAAAAGTGTGGTCTGCAGCCTGACCAACATGGTGAAACCCTGTCTCTACTAAAAATACAAAACAAGTGAGCCAGGCATGGTGGCATGCACCTGTAATCCCAGCTACTCAGGAGGCTGAGGCAGGAGACTTGCTTGAACCTGGGAGGCGGAGGTTGCAGTGAGCCGAGATTGTGCCACTGCACTCCAGCCTGGGCAACAGAGTGAGACTCCATCTCAAAAACATAAAAAATAAAATAAATAAAATTTTAAAACCTGCAGTCTGGAGACCAGCAGCATTGGCTTCACCTGGGAACTTGTTATAAATGCAGAATCTCGGACCTGGCCCAGACATAGTGAATGAGAGCCTGCAAGTTAACAAGATCTCTGAGTGATTTGTATGCATGTTAAACTTTGAGAAGTACTGTCCTAGAACATAGCTCAGGTATACCAGATCCACACCTGGAAGCCCATGCGGTCAGAGCTGTGGCAACATTGATTGGTCTAGGGAGCCTGGACATGAATCACTAAGTAAGATAAAGCCAGAGTCCAGCCCTTTATCCCAAGACCAGTGTCAGAATTACACCTGGGCAACAGGAGCTGAGAACCAGGTATGAGAAAGCAAGGAAGCTCCAGGTCTTGCTTCAAGTCAGTGGGCAAATGCCAGGCCCATTGTTCCACGGGCAGATATCCCAGGCAGGCCAATACCTTAGCAATCCCTAAAACAAATAGCCATTATTGATCTGAAGTAGAGACAGAGAGCTGAATGAGGGAAGGATGGAGGGTACAGAACACTGGTCATTGCACGTAACATCTAGTCCATTGGCTAGAGCAGTTCAGCTCTGGCCTCAAACTTGCAAGATGTACTCGGCAAAGTCCAAACACAGCAATTTCCCAGACCTGTTAGGGTTTGCCCCTCGGAGGTCTCTCATCTATCCTGAGCAGGTCATCTAGGCATCCTTCCATACTCAGACAGCTTTCTCTCTGAGAAGAGGGCTGGTAAATCATTTCCCCCATTCCATGACAACGCAAGTGATGTTTAGCCCTCAGTAGGGATTCCCTACCCCCACCCCTCTGTATGCCCTCCTGGCTGGCCCACCCTTTAAAGCAGCACTGGCTGAGCTGAACGACTTAGTTCATCTGGTTGGCAGGTACTATGAGGCTGTGTCTGAGCCTGTGTGTGGATGCGCTGCTTCTGCAGCCTTGGCGTTTTGAAGGTGTCACACAGCTCACACACCCTATAGCAGGGAGCAGGAGAGGACAGAACATCACCGTGGAAGAGAAATGGGTCCCGGGAAAGGGAGAGTGGGGCTGCGCTTAGAGGGTGGAAATAGGCGAGTTAGGCTGAGTTGGAACATTACTGTCTCTTTTGCTCAGGGGCAGCCAAATGAGCAGGGCCTATCTATTCACCTTTGTGCCCCACAGACCCTCAACATTGTGACACCCCGTGTGCGGCCCGAGGACTGCAGCATTGGGCTCCTGCCCCGGAACCATGATAAGAATCGAAGTATGGACGTGCTGCCTCTGGACCGCTGCCTGCCCTTCCTTATCTCAGTGGACGGAGAATCCAGCAATTACATCAACGCAGCACTGATGGATGTAAGCCGAGCCCGGGCAGAAAGCTCCTAGCTGGCATTCTAGGGCAAATATTCTTCCTGAGGTGGAGGTGGCTGGACCTCAGGGCCCTGACCCCACCAGCCAGCCCCCCCTGCTTCTGATCTACTAGTCCCAAGGACCTTTGTTCCCCTGCAGGCTCTGGTCCAAACCTAGACACAAGGTGGGCTCTTGGCTCCTTTTCTCATACAAAGAGCCTGGAAAGAATAGACCAGAAGCGTAAGGTGGCTCCCGTGTCACCATGGCAAGTCTACAGGCCTGCCTAGCAACCTCTTCCATTCCCCACAGAGCCGACTCTCAGCCTGAAGTTTAGTAAAGCAGGTATTTTCTGTGCTGGGCCTTGGCCTGAGCGTGGGAACACAAGACGGTGCAGACACAGGTTCTGCCCTCTGGTAGCTCCCATGAAGGTTCCAGATAACTCCTGAGCAGAGACAAAAATGAGGATGGCGCACAGTAGGGGCTCAGTAAATGGTTATTGGGAAAGTAGTGGGAAGCAGTAAAACAAGCATGGGGTGGAAGCGGGCTGTGTTCCTGGCTGTCCTGTGAGGGCCACTGCCCCCCACTTTCTTGTCATCAGGTCCAGGAAGGGGCTTCACCCTACCCTGGTTTGGGATTAGGGTCATGTTCCTGGTCCAGCGAGCCTAAGCTTCTCCCCTGCGTTTTTCGGATACTTCTGATTATCATCACTTCCCCTCCAAGGTGTACAGGTGTTTGCAGTAGGAAGGAACTATGGACCATCTACTACCAGCCATGCACTTTTCAGCAGAGAAAACAGAGGCCAGACAGAGAAAGAGACTTGCTCAAGGTCACCCAGGGAGCTAGTGGCACAGCCCACACACAGAGCTCCTGGGTCACACTCTGGAATTCATTTCTTGAGCCTCCCTGCAATTTGGTGGATCCAATAAGAGGCAAACATCTCACCTCCTGAGGCTCAAAACCAAGAACACCATTGCCTGATATAATGAGCCCTTCCAGCTTCCCCTCCCCAGCCCATCTGAGTTCACATCCATCTAGCCCATGTGGCCCTCCTATCTCACTCAGAATAGACAGAAACATGGGATGCTTTCTCCTGGGGTCAAGGCCAACAACTTCTCTGACCTCTAATCCTCTTGAAGTTTCTCCCAAGGGTCTGGGTGTTAGAGGCAGGAGGGTGATGATGGAAGGTCAATGCCTATCCCAGCTCTCTAGGGGCCTGCCCTGGCCTCTGTCCACAGAGTGCCCATATCCTCTGTAAAAACCCTAGCTCTGGGTTCAGAATCAGGGAGTCTTGGCTTGGTCATAGCAAGTAGCTAGAGGTGGAGAGAAGACCTTTGGCATTAGCTTATAGCTTAGAGCCTTCTAAAGTCAATGAGCGCATGTATGTGTATGTGTGCATGTAGGTGTGCATTATGTGTGTGAGTGTGATGAGAAATGGAGCCTAGGGGTGCGCCCATACTTCCAATTTCCTCCTAGCTTTGTCTCCCACTTCTCCCAACACCCCCTCCCTGCCTTCCTCATCCAGGCAAAGATCAAATAAGCTCCTGGCCTCTACTTAATAGGTTAGATACTGCCTGGAGTCAAATGCCTTCTGCCAAGCTCTGATGCTGATTGTATTCTCTTTGTCCACAGGGCATTTCTCCTGTGAGCCATCACTGGGGCCTTTGCCTTTCTGATATTAAAAACAAAAAAAAGTCGTCCTTATCTGTATTCCAGCCCAGTCAGTGCATTATCTGGTAACCATAGCAGCTTTGCTCCTAGCAGAAAAATATGAAGTCCTCTGGGTTAATTTTTAATGTTTCCCCTGGTAAAGGATGATGTTATCCATGAAATGGATTGCCGGCTGATCCCTGAAACCCGGCAGGAGCACGGATCTCGAACATATTTTCAGATAAGGCTTTGTCAGGCGTGCTGGCCTAATAGAGCGTTTATCACAGAGACAGGGAAAAAGAAAAGAAAACTAACATTCACTGAGTGTTGGGCACCATGTCGGGCCCTGGACTTGCACTGTCCCATTTTGCATGTGGGTATTCTCATCCCCATTTTCTGATGAGGTCCTCGGGGTCAGAGTATTTTCATTCATCACTTGCTCAAGGTCAAGTAGCTCAGAAATGGGAGCCAAGGATTGGAGCCCCAAGTCTGTTAACTCTCAAAGCCTCAATGTTTTTCCATGTCTGGAAATGGCTCAAAGTTGATGCTGTCTACAGCTAGAGAGTTTGGCTTTTGGAAAATAAATTATTTGCCTATGCCCACCCAGACCCCTCTTCTGAACATTCTACTGGCCAGGAAAAGGCCCTCGGAAGAAGGGCCCCCCCAGCCAATGCACGCATGATATCCATGTTTGCAAGGCTTTGTCCTGCTTTTTCCAGGGTCTTTGCCCTCTTCCCTCTTGCTTGTAACTGCACTGAAAACAGCTGTAACTCCCACAGAAACCATCATCATCTCTTGAGAAAACATATCAAGCACATGAGCCACTGATGAAGTGGAGAATCTTCCCAATCTTTTCAAATACATGACTTCAGGGTGGGGAGAAAATAAATAGGGCCCTGGATGAAGCTGCCAGACCACCCCACCCCCCCCCCCCCCGCCCAGGCCATTTTCTCTGGGCCTCTGTTTCCCTATCTGCAACACGGGACTGAATTTATTGTTTTATTCACTGGAGTGGCACTGTCTAGCATGTGCCAGCGACAATACCAGTGCCAAGGACGTAAAACAAAGTCAGGGGTGTTTCTGCCCTGCCAGTAGGCTTACGTTCCGGCTCTTGTTTGCTGGCCTTTTCACACGTAAATCTCATTCAATCTGTGTGACATCATTCCTTTGGATTTATGATTTCCGTTTTCCAGGTGAAGAACATGAGCTTTGGAATCATCTAATAACTTGCCAGTATTTAGCACCCACCCCGCCAAAAAAAAAGCACTCTACAAAGTTTGAATGAATGGATGAATGGATGAATGAATAAATGGGCAAATGGATGGACAGATGGATGACTCATAACTTACAAGTGGTAAAGCTGTACTTGAACCCCAGGTCTACCGGACTATTAATAATGCATGTGTACTTTCCACTGCCCCATTGACTCACATGACACAGTGCCCACCTTGCCAGGGCAACTCAGCCCCTCACTCCAGCCTGGAGGCAGAAGGGAGCCTGCCCCTTTGGGAGAATCTCGGCCTCAGGCCGACCCAAAACCTCGCCCAGCATCGTGGCCACAGGGATGCGGCCAATCCCTTATATCCCAAGAGGTGTCTTGACCAGTAGAGCAACAAATCTGCATCTGAAATCTTTCATTTCGTATTGTAATTATGATTATTTGCTGAGCTCCGAGGCATAAATAATTTATTTGGATAATCCCATCCCAGTGACACTTTCCTAATGAAATGTCTTAGTTTGGAGGAGATTGTGTTCATTATGAGAAGGTCCCCTTTGCCGCCAGGGCGTGGAGAGATAAAAGAACAGGCAGGTGTTTTGTATAATCTATTTGGCAGGCTCTGGAGCCTCTGGCCTCAGTCCAGGCCTCATCATCATCAGAATATCACTGATGGATGTGTAATTTACGAAGCCTGTGTCATTCCTTTGTCAGAGCCACAAGCAGCCTGCCGCCTTCGTGGTCACCCAGCACCCTCTACCCAACACCGTGGCAGACTTCTGGAGGCTGGTGTTCGATTACAACTGCTCCTCTGTGGTGATGCTGAATGAGATGGACACTGCCCAGGTAGGAGGAGGCCAAGCCAAGCCCTAGGTGGGTCAGGGGGGCCATGCTCTAAACCTGGAGGGAGATCCCTTGACAGCCGGTGCCTGCCACATCTGCCCCAGCCAGCTGTCTTGTAATAAGCAGTGTCTGGCCACGAGCATCAGACAAGCCATTCTGCTACCTACAGAGGGTCCTGTCACCCCCCAGACCTCCAGCAAAGACTCCCCCTGCCTATGGGCTTTGTCCAACTCCCCGCCCGGGACCAGACTCTGTTGCTCCATCTCACAAGCATTGATTATTGTCTTGCTCCAAATCACACAGATCTTGCAGAGCCAGGAGGCTTCCTCCCCCAGCACTGAGCACCTGCAGCCCTGAAAAATACCCAGATGCCCGGCCACACTCACCTCCCTTCCCCCTCTGCAATGCAGCCTGTACAGACAGAGCCTGGGACTTGAACCTTGGACACATTACCCACTGACCACCCCACCAAGCCCCAGTTCCTCACGGTTGACCTTTGTTCCCCGGCAGGCTTCCTGCCTTAGCCCCTCTGTTCTGATAGCTCCAAGCATCACGTGCCTACAGCATATCCCCATACTCAGGACACAGGACGTGTATCTTGGAACAGTTTCTATGCCAGGGCAGCCATTCTGGGGTGGAAGAGCTGAGAATGGTCCTTCAGATTTTTAAAAACCTATCCTTTCACTGCCTTAAATAAAACTTAAAGTAACATTGAATTCCCATATGAGAGCTGGCCTTGTGCAGGCCTTGGATGGGAATTTAAAAATTTTTTAAACAGACCTGAGCTATAGTTTCAGCCCTCCAAAAGCGCATGGTCTTGCTCCAGAGACAGATGAGCACATTGTCCCAACCTCATGTGGCTGTGTTATAATAGAGGTCAGCAGTGAAGTGCTGTGTTGGCCAGGAGCAGGGAGCAATGAATTCTGCCCAGAGGGTGAGGGAAGACTTCAAAAAGAAGGTGACTTTGGCCTTGAAGAAGGCAGAGGAGCTTTAGGCATATGGAGGCTGAACTCACTGGGAAAAGGCATTTCAGGCAGAGGGAACAGCAGAGGCAAAGGCGAGGCAGGGGATGAATATACACAGACTTATTTGCGGAACAGTTTATGTTCCAGTGTGGCTGGGACCTAGAGGAATATCAGGAGGAGAAGAATGTAGTGAGGCTGAAAAATGCAGCAGAGCCCAGCTTGCAGAGAGGTCCCTGTGCCAGGCTAAGGAGCTTGGGTCTTGGTTGGCAGCATAGCAAGCTTCAGACTTCTACTTTGTAAGCGACAGAATCCTTTCTATGAATAAAAGCTTTCATGCAAGCCCAATGTATGAAATAGGGATGACCAAAAGCTGCTCATGATGAAGCAGTAGGCAGGGGTTGGGCTTCCACCCACACTGCTGTCTCATTTTCTCCTGGTGCCCTTAGAGGGGTCAGTCCTTTGTGGGACCACTGGAGTTTGGAGGAGCACAGTTAGAAATACTTTCTGTGCAGGAAGGTGAAACACTGGAGGGTTGACAGTGGTATAACACAGCCAGGGTTCCTGTTAGAAAGATGGGTCTAGAGGCTGGGCATGGTGGCTCATGCCTGTAATCCCAGCACTTTGGGAGGCCAAGAGTTCAAGCCCAGCCTGGGCAACACCATGAGACCCTGTCTCTACAAAAAAAAAAAAAAAAAAAAAAAATTTTAATTAGCCAGGCATGGTGCCATGTGTCTATAGTCCCAGTTACTCAGGAGGCTGAGGCGGGAGGATTGCTTGAGCACTGCAAGGCTCAAGTGAGCTATGATCCCACCACTGCATTCCAGCCTGGGTGACAGTGCAAGAACCCATTTTTTTTTTACTGACTCTTACTGTGTCATCCCGACTGGAGTAACAGTGGTGCGATCTTGGCTGACTGCAACCTCCGCCTCCCAGGTTCAAGTGATTCTCATGCCTCAGCCTCCCATGTAGCTGGGATTACAGGCGTGTGCCAACATGCCCGACTAATTTTTGTATTTTTAGTAGAGATGGGGTTTCACCATATTGGCCAGGCTGGTCTCAAACTCTTGACCTCAAGTGTTCCCCCTGCCTCGGCCTCCTGAAGTGCTGGGATTACAGGCGTGAGCAACCACATCTGGCTGACCCCATCTCTTAAAAAATAAAAAAAATAAAAATTGCAAAAAAAGGGTAAGAATAAAAAGAAAGCCAGGTCTGGGGATCAGTGCAGGTAAAAGGCCGGAGGAAAGACCTGGAAACCAGGAGACCGGGGAGGAGAATGTTGCAAATGTGTAGACAATAAAGGTAGTTATCTGAACTGCAGAAGTGGCCAGGAGGTGAGAGGACTGGAATTGGACGTGAAAACATTTCCAGACTTAAGTCCCCAAGGTTTAGGGAGCAGGTGCAGGTGGGAGGTGAATAAGAAGGAAAGTTGCAGATAATGGCAGGAAGTTGAGTCTGGGCAATTAGGCAACTGGGGATATAACTGGGGAAAATATGAAAGTCAGGAAGGTAGGGGAAGGCAGCGAGAAGAGCAGATGAACAGGGGATGAAATTGAGTGCACCTTGGGATGTGCCTGTGAGAGACGTTCCGGAGAGAGTCTATTGATTCAGGCAACCCATATTTGTTGGGCATCTGCTATTTGCTGGAAGCTATTCTAGGTGCTTGGAATGCATCACTGAGCAACACAGACAAAGCGAGGCATAAAAAAAAATTGCCATCTCTCATGCAACTTCTCTTCTAAAGCAGGAGACAGATAATAAGCAACACACATTCTCTAATGTGCTCAATTATAAGTTAGAAGGCTGACACGAGTGTTTGGAAAAAGGCAAACAAGAAGGCAGGGTAGTAAAGATCAGAACGTTGGATCTGGGACATAGAATGTCATTGCAATAGGATTGTCAAGGTGGGCCCTATGGAGAAGAACACATTTGAACACAGACGTGAAGGAGGTGAGAGAGTGAGCCATGTGACTCTCAGGGGGGCATCACAGGCAGAGGGAACACCTGCACCCAGGCTGCAGGGTAGGCATGCACCTGGTGCCCTTGAGGAACAGCACAGAGGCCATGGGCAGAGCAGCACAACTGTGGGGAAAGCAGCAGAAGGTGAGGTCAGAGGGCCATGGAAGACATAGAAGAACTTGGGCTTTCACTCTCAGAGAAACAGAGAGCCATGCACATGTTTGAAGCAGAGGAGCAACATAATTTGCCTTTTTTAATAAAAGCATCCCTCTGGCTGCTGTGTTGAGAATAGATTGTTGGTGCAAGGATGGGGAAGAGTGGTTTCTGAAATGGAAGCAGAGAGAACAGACAAGAGACTACTGTGATAATTCAGGTGGCAGGTGAGGTTGGTTGAACTGGGGGGTAGATTCTGAAGGTAAAGCCAACAACACATCCAGAGAGATTGACTATGGAATAAGAGAGAGAAAGAGGAATCAAGGGCCAGGCATGCCTGTAATCTTACCTAGCACTTTGAGAAGCCAAGGAAGCAGGATCACTTGAGGTCAGGAGTTGAGGCCACGAGTTAAAGACCATCCTGGACAACACAGTGACACCCTGTCTCTACAAAAGAATTTTTATTTTGAGATGGAGTCTCACTCTGTCGCCCAGGCTGGAGTGCAGTGGCGCGATCTCAACTCTGCCGCCTCCTGGGTTCAAGCGATTCTCCTGCCTCAGCCTCCCAAGTAGCTGGGATTACAGGGGTGAGCCACCACAGCCAGCTAATTTTTGTATGTTTAGTAGAGATGGGGTTTCCCAATGTTGGCCAGACTGGTCTTGATCTCCTGATCTCAGGTGATCTGCTGATCTTGGCCTCCCAAAGTGCTGGGGTTATAGGCATGAGCCACTGCACCCAGTCCTACAAAATAATTTTAAATGAACTGGGCATGGTGGTCCATGCCTGTAATCCTAGCTACTTGGGAGGCTGAGGCAGGAGGATCACTTGAGCCCAGGAGATCAAAGCTGTGGAGAACTGTGATCACACCACAGTACTCTAGCCTAGGGCGACAGAGTAAGACCCTGTCAAAAAAAGAAAGAGGAATGAAGGATAATGTCAATGATTGGGGCCTGAGCAATAGAAGGTTAGAAACTGAGATAACTATAAAAAATAAATGAATTCTCATAAAACAGAGAGTTCTGGAACATTCCCTGCAGAGTTTTGGAGTCTGAAGGCATCACCACCCTACGCTTTTGGCTGAAGAAATAAAAGAATGAACTCAGCTCATGAGCCTGGGCATGAAGTCTGGCCTGCAAAACCCTGTTTGCTCTTCTCTTTTTCAACATCCCTTTCTGCAAAACCAGAGCTCAGGCACAGAGGATGACTTTCAAAGAACTTCACTTCGGGACATATAAAACCTTTGAAACAAAGGTCAAGGTCATTGGCTATAGCTCCCCCTTTCAGGGTGGGTCCTGGGTGAATGAAGAATCTTTCAGGCCCAGATGTTGGTACAGAGTTTGAGAACTGATTCTCTAAATGCAAAAACATCAGGCTCAGAAGTACCCTGAGGTTGGCTGCCATACGCAGCTGGCAAGCATTCCCTGAAACCGGCAGATGAATAGAGCACTTATTGATATAAATATCATCACCGCAGCAGCTGGGCGCCTTATGAAAATAAACAATGACACAGGATGAGCATCAGAAAAGCCGCCCTCAGCACCTGGAGGGGCGGTTCTTTGAAGCGGCGTCAGCATCTGTCTGCCTGCGTGCTCATGCCAAGGCAGCCTCCAAGCTAGCCCAGCCTGGCAACATGGACAGGTCTGCCTTAGGACCTGAGCATTGCTAGGTCACTCCTGAGAGGACCGATGCCATCTCCTGTGGTTTGCCTGGGAACCATAAGAGCGTACGTTGGGGATTGGGCAGGGCTACCTGTAAGCTGCAGCAAAATAAGAAGAGGGTGTAAGCTCTCACAGGGCCTTATTTTTTTTGCACTGCTGGCCAAATCTGCCCCTGCTCAGAATCTTACACTACTTCATTTAGTCAGCCCCAAATTTTCTTTCATTCCTGCAGTGGTTGCTGTTCAAAGGTAATTATGATCAATGAGGGCTCAAAATAAAGGCATTCAAACTTCTGCATTCAACCTTACAGATTTTTCTAACTCTTTAGGACTCCAAATGTCTGTGGTCAGATTTGCGGGGTAAAATCCTAGAACCACGCCAGCCAGCAAAGCATGCTGTCACTTCTCAGACTCAGCAGAAAGAACATTTTCAACCACATCCAACAGCATTGACAAGATCTTTTCCCTCTTTGTGGTCTCTACGGACCACCAGAAAGACACCAGAAAGAAGCCCTCCTTGCAGTCATGCCATACTCACCATACTGTTTAGAGAGCTCAGGAGATCCTGCATGCCAGCCAAAGGGTGGGGCTGTGTGGTAGCCAGAATCGTGGCCCCACCAGAGATGTCCACATCCTAACCCCTGAGACCTATGAATGTGCTATGGCACCTGGTGTATGGAGCATACAAGGATGTTTCTTTCCTTTAAAACAAATAAGAGTCCACAACTTACATAAAAGCTGAGTTGCTCTGTTCTGGGGCTCCCACTGTGGAAAGCCTGAGAGATCAGGGATGCAAAGCCTTTTGGAAAGGTGAGGGTGCCTGAGTGCAAGGATAATGGGGGCTGTGATGGATTCCCATGGAAGTGAGAGAGGCAAGCTCCTCATTCTCCCAGGAGAAAAGCAGGGTGCTATTTCAGAGATGTCTCTTGCTGCCATTGTGCCTCTAGGGCAAATAGCAACTCCTAATATCCCCATTTTTAGTCTGGGCTTGTGAAAACACAGCCTAACACACCAGCAAAATATGCAAAATACCCAACCTGCATCTCAGCCAGCCTCAGGTCTGACTTTGCAAGGGGCTGTGTCTCTGTTTCTGTCCCCACCAGAATGGTAGGGGTAACAGTAAAAAAGAAACCTGGGGTCAAGAGACCTGAGTTCAAATTGTAGCCTTGGTACTTACTCACTGTGTTGCCCTGAGCCAGTTCCTTTACTTTCTCCAAGTCTTAATGTTATCATTTGTTAGATTACTATAACCTAGATGTTAGCCAAGTTCATTCTGTCTTTGAAGATTTAAATAAAATTTGCTCTGTTCCCTACTCCCCATCCTATGGGAAAACCCAATGTCCATCCCCAACATTTCTGAGAATTCTGAGGGGGTTGTCTTCTCATGTTTACTTCCAAGTTTCAGCTGAGGCTTTAGTCGGAGAGATATGAGCTTCATATCCCAGCAATGCCCATGACTTCAAGTTGAACATCACACATCCTCTTTCTGAAGCCTCACCTTGCCTCCTCAGCTCTCACTAGCAGTAACACATCTTCCCCTGACCCTGTTGCCCAAACCATTTTCTTCCCATTTACCTCCTTTCCCATCCCTCCCTTCTCAGCTCTTCCACCCTCTCCCCAAAAGTTGTTCCTTTCTTAAGCTGCAAAATCTAGCCATCTCCTTAGTACGTCTTTCTTAAACCTGCTCTGAGCCTTGCCTCCCACCCCAAGACTCTTCTGTAGGTAAGTTCCTAAACTCCAACCCTTCCTTCCCTGAAACAAACTCTGATGCAGCTGTTTTAAGAGTAAGTTTCCACCCACTATGTGGAGATTGTATTATGGAGCTTCATGGGACTACTGGAAGGATACAATGAGGAGAGATGTGTGAATCTCTCTCTCTCTCCCCCCTCTCTCTCCCTCTCTTTCTCCCTCTGTCCCTGTCTTCTTTATGCCTTCATTCACAGTCTGCCTTCCTTAACTGGACATAGTATCAAAGCCAATTATATATTTTTGGATCTTTATAGAATCTGTTTAAAGGAATTTTATAATCACTGATGCTGAATTTTAAAAGCAATTCAGGAAACTTACATTTCTCTCTTTAAAATACCAATTCACTTCACCTTTAGGTGGCCTGGGATTGATTTCTTCACTCTGGGTCGCAGGGGCCTTAATAAATAAAGTCCTTTATTTCTAACGTGATGATATTACTTGGCCTTTCCATTTTATCAAAGTATTTTTAATAAAAGAAAGGCATAACTAAGGTGCACTGAAATATGCTCTAAAAATGTTTATTCCAAAAATAGACCCATATGCTAGTTTTCATTCAACTCATCGGAGCATGTTTATTCCAGTGATAACAAGCTTTCTGATTCCATCAGCAAGAAAAAGACGTTTAATGCGTGAGGCTACCTCTGCATTTGTTATATATCACACGTGAACTTGCACCCCCCAAGGACATCTTTTCATGGCCCAAACAGCCATGGAGAGCACTAGGTGGAATAATGTATGGCAGCTGTTCCAGGGCTATCCACACAGGCTTCACAACCTTTGCTTGGTTTAACTTGTTCTGACAAAAGACAACAAAAGTCCCCTCTGTTTTTTTGGAAGAAGCATGATTATTTCTAAATCATTAACAACAACTGGACTGACTTCCTCTCCCCGGTGTGTTCATCGCCACTACCTGTATGTATCTGCAGTGGCAAAGCCCTCCCTTCAGGCAGTATCACCTTTCACCCTCAGACCACTGGAAAAGAAAGGGTAGGAGAGAGTACTTACTAGGCAATGAAGTGGAAAAAGTCAGTTGGTCTAGACTCTTGGCTGAAGAATTTGAATCTATTCTTGGATCAGCCAACTTCAAAAGTTTTACATCTAAGGAAGAAAATGTCAAGGTTGCATTCAGGGTAAGTGTGGCCTTTAGGTCAGCTACGTCCTCGTGATCTTAAAGAGGCAAGTAGGCTTCCTAGAATTCCCATTTCCTGAGCCTTAAGAAACCATAAGCTTTCCCTCCCCAGGAGTTGTATAAATCGCAGATGCTTACGTGCTTATATGAAAAGTCTGGCTCCTCCACTCACAGATGTGATCTCTGTTCCATGTCTATGTGAGCCAGGGAGCCGAGCTCAGTTTCTTGCTGGTTTCTGCAAGAAATACATGCACAGTATGCATTTTACATGCTATTATGAGTTTATGGCATATTTCAGAGTTTAGGAGCAGGGTTATGTGACACACTGAGTTGCCTTTTATACCTCACTGCTTCTACAGTGATCTCAACCTTCCTCTTTTATCTTCTGGGTCATTCAGCTCATCGGAGCAACCCACAGATCTCTGTATTTTGACATGCAGTATCCCATATCTAGGATGCTACTCATCTTCACAGCTACCCCAAGCTGGCTGATCCAGAATTTCCACACGGGCAGTCCTTTGAGTATTATCCTAAAGAGAAATTTTCATAAAAGCTACTAAGTGGAGGAAAAAAATCATCTATTTATCCATCTTGGTTTGAGGAACCCTCCCCCATACTGCCTAATAATCACAGCTTACATTAATTGAGTACTTGCTAGATACAGATCCCTATGCTAAGTAGACATTAAAATTCACAGCCACTCATAACAAACTGGAGAAGCTAAGAGATGTAGCCAAGCCATTCAAACTAGAAAGTGATAGAGCCACGATTTGAATCCAGGGAGCTTCAAGAAGAAACCCCAATGCATTTTCGCACCTTTTGCTACACAACATAAGCAAACCAAAATGGTAGCATCCATTCAGGTGCAGCTACAGCACTTGAACACCAGGACAGTCTTGAGCTAAACCACAGAGGATGTTTCTTATTGATGAGAGTCATTTCTGAGCCCCAAAGGGTCAGTGGGAAGAGAAAACATGGCCCCCCTGCTTTCTTTCTCTTATTTCCCATGGCTAGAATATATGCAGTGTCCCGGGCTGCAGAGAGACCCTGATGATCCCTGGCAGCTCAAACACCACATTTGCCAGCACATCACCCTGCTGAATTCACCCATTCTGCTGCTGCTGTAGTCTCACAAATTAGGGCATCCAAGTGAAAGGATGACTCTGATTTAGGATTAGAAAAGCCTGCAACCTTCCCCAGCCCTCTGGGCATTATGAGAGAGTGACCCAGAAAATCGAATGCAGAGAAGTGTCCCGAAATATAGGAGTCTTGTTTGAGGCGTAGTAGAATCTATCAGCTTGAGAAATTGGTCTGGAAATCTTATTAAAAGAGACAAATCATTCCACATTCTCTCCAGACTGAAGATATTGGGGATAATAGGACTTCCCTGATACCTTGGATCCATGCACCTTGTGTCAGGATCACAGCCAAACTCTAGGAACCCTAAATTCAGTGCAGGTGATAAAGGCAATTATTTTTTTTAATGGGCAGTTCTGATTAATTCTGGTTTCTCTGACCAACCATAGACTTATTTGTACCAATCTCTCATTACTGTGAAGGTTGCAAGGCGGAAGAGCCAATGGCAAAGAGAAATGAAGTTCAAATTGTGGATTTGTCATCATTGCACAGCTCAGCAGATGGTTGTCCAGCCATGGAGGCCCGTGACCAGCGCCCGACAAGACACACACACACACACACACACTCACACACACTCAGAGCTCCTTTCTCACTATGCTTGGTTAACCCCCAGTGGAGACGCCAGGAAAGCAAGGCATCATTGCGTTCTGAAGCTTAACCTTGCATACTTATGCTATTTATGAGGGGCGATAAGAAGAATCCTTCAAATTTATATATCATAGCTATTACTATTATTATTTTTGTTGAGCACTGATGGATTCAACAATGGTATGAATCACTGGAATTTAGTAAATGCTTATTCCATGCCTGGCACTGTGGTAAGGGTTTATTTACATGAATTATGTCCTTTATCCTCAGAACAACCCTATAAAGTAGGGGTTGCCAAACTTTTTCTGTAAAGAGCCAGATAGGAAATATTTCAGGTTTTGCAGGCTATATGGTCTTTGTTACAACTACCCAACTCTGTGGGTGATGCATGAAAGCAACTGTGGACAATACATAAATGAATAAGTGTAGCTGTGTTTCAGCAAAGCTTTATATGCAAAAATAGGCAGCTGGCTGGGTTGGCTTGTGGGCAATAGTATGCCAACTGCTGCTATAAGGTGAATATTCCTAAGCTAGAACTTGGGGTTTCCACAGCTAAGAAGGTGGGAGACATGAGTTTCCATCTCCTACATCCTTCCTGCTCGCTGCTCTTCCCTTCTAATTCTAGTTCTGGAGGAAGGAGAGAATGAAGGTATTTTCACATGTGACTTCTCAGGGTGAGATGGCTGTTCTTCGGCCACGAAGTGGAGAGCAAGCACCCCCTTCGATGAAAACCCTGCATCTGTAGGGGGTGGGTCACTTCTGTCCATCTAGCCCCCTATTTGCAAGCCTGGGGTAGCCTGAACCAGACCCCCGCTGAGGAGAGACTCAATCCCAAACTGCTCTCAGAAGCCTCGGTGGGTCTTTCTTTGTGAATCTTGGCTATATCTTCAGGGTAACCCCCAGATGAAGGGTCTAACACATGACTTCTTTGTTCATGTTGGGGTGGTCCCCAGCGAGCCTGCAGCCGCAATCTTGTCTCCCCTCTGTACCCCAGCAATGGGACCTGTAGACCTAGGCAGGATCCATCTTGTGCCCCTTGGGAACCAGGAACTGGAGGGAGCATGCCTTGCTCCTCTCTGCAGCCACACACCCCACCCCCCACCTCAACATTCTCTCCTCAGCTAAAGTTATCTAGTGGCTTAACAGAGACAAAGATACAAGAAACAAGATATCCATCTCTTCTTCTTCTTCTATTTTTTTTTTTTTTTTTTTTTTTGAAATGGAGTCTTGCTCTGTTTCCCAGGTTGGAGTACAGTGGCGTGATCTCCACCCACTACAACCTCTGCCCCCTGGGTTCAAGTGATTCTCCTGCCTCAGCCTCCTGAGTAGCTGGGATTACAGGTGCCCACCACCATACCCGGCTAATTTTTGTATTTTTAGTGGAGACGGGTTTCACCATCTTGGCCAAGCTGGTCTCGAACTCCTGACCTCACGATCCACCCACCTTGGCCTCCCAAAGTGCTGGGATTACAGGCGTAAGCCACCGCACCCAGCCTCCATCTCTTCTTCTCAATGACCCCTGAAGCTTAAAGAATAATTTATGGCCAGGTGCAGTGGCTCACACCTGTAATCCCGGCACTTTGGGAGGCCAAGGTGGGTGGATCACGAGGTCAGGAGATCAAGACCATCCTGGCTAACACGGTGAGGCTCTGTCTCTACTAAAAACACAAAATAAAAATAAAAAAAATAAAATAGCCGGGTGTGATGGCACATGCCTGTAGTCACAACTACTTGGGAGGCTGAGGCAGGAGAACCACTTGAACCCGGGAGGCAGAGGTTGCAGCAAGCCAAGATCGCACCACTGCACTCCCGCCTAGGTAACAGAGTGAGACTCCGTCTCAAAAATAATAATAATAATAATTATAATGATTTTATACTAGGTTTTCTCAGTCTCTGCACTATGGATATTTGGGGCCACATAACTCTCGGGGGGAGCTAATCTGTGCACTGCAGGATGTTGAGTAGCATCCTCTCCTCTACTCACTAAATGCCCATAGCAACCCGCAGGTGTGACAATCAAAATGTCTTCAGACATTGCCCAGATGCCCTCTGGGAAACAAAACAGTCTCAGACTGAGAACCACTGTCTTAAACAGAAGGTCAATCACTGCCTTTTGCTCTCAGCTGTAGGTTCTAATTTCCAATTCCAGATAAATAGAAAGAATCATAGGCAAGATCTGTCAGCACCATGTGACATTAACTTTTGGTGCAAAGTAAGCATAATTATCCCCACTTTACCTATGAGAAAACTGAGGCCTGGGCTGCACAGCTAGTGAGCACCTGAGACCAGATTTGGACCCAAGGCCGCCTGAGGTCAAACCCATATATATATATATTTTTTTTTTTTTTTTTTTTTTTTTTTTGAGATGGAGTCTCGCTGTGTCACCCAGGCTGGAGTGCAGTGGCGCGATCTCAGCTCACTGCAAGCTCCGCCTCCCGAAACCCCTATATTTTTTACACTACTTCTGATCTGATCATGAATGAACACTATGAAGGTTTTCCTGGAATGAGGAAGAGCTTGTGATGATTTGCGTGGTGAAAAGAAAAATAGATGGTACTTGCCCTTTCTTTAGCATGTTCTATCTAATCCTGACAGCGGGGCTTAGAGGTAGATATTATTCTCCCCATTTTACAGATGAGGAAACTCAGGTTAAGCAAACCTAACAAATGGTTTGAAATCAACATAGCAAAGATTTGCAAGCCCAGTGTTTCTGTGCTCAAAGCCTTGATATTTCAACACCAGAAAAAGTGGATGGCTGCTCCCTAAAGGGGAAACTGAGTCTAATTTCCTACATAATACTCTACCTTTCTGGCCAATGTGTCCTTCCAGCCATAAAAAAAGCTTGGTGACGGCTGGGCACAGTGGCTCACACCTATAATCCTAGCACTCTGGGAGGCTGGGACAGGTGGATCACCCGAGGTCAGGAGTTCAAGACTAGCCTGGCCAACACGGCGAAACCCCATCTTTACTAAAAATAGCCAGACATGGTGGCAGGTGCCTATAATCCCAGCTACTTGGGAGGCTGAGGCAGGAGAATCACTTGAACCTGGGAGGCAGAGGTTGCAGTGAGCCAAAATCGTGCCAATGCACTCCAGGCTGGGCAACAAGAGTGATGCTCCATCTCAAAAAAAAAAAAGAAAAAGAAAAAAAGAAAAGAAAAGCTTGTTGATAAATGAGACTTTGATACCCGCCCCCTGCCTTTGAGCTCCTTCTGTGACCTCTTTCCTTATCTCAGTTCTGTATGCAGTACTGGCCTGAGAAGACCTCCGGGTGCTATGGGCCCATCCAGGTGGAGTTCGTCTCCGCAGACATCGACGAGGACATCATCCACAGAATATTCCGCATCTGTAACATGGCCCGGGTAAGTACACGGCCGCCATTGCTTGCTGAGCCCCTCCTCCCCAAGACAGATGGAGGCTGCCGAGAGAGGATCCCGCTGAGCCAGCCAAGAGTCTGTGTTGTGCTCTCCTGATAATTTCTTCCTTGAGGAAGTGATGCCTGTGCTGATTCCGGCTCCAGACTCAGCAATGACTCCAACACATAGAGATGCAACGAGCGACATCCAACCTGCCATCTGCCTGTTTCCTGACACACTTGCTGCCGTGTAGACAAAACTTCTTAGACATTAGCTCTTCCCCACTGTGTCTCTGTACTGGCATGAGTTGATGCAGCCTTTGATTGGATCCCATAAGCTTTGGGCCAGGCACTGCCAACACCTAGATGAAAAGTGATTACTTACTTCCATGAGGATGTTCACTGGCTGAGCAGAGTAGTGGGTGGGAGGGGCAGATTAGCAATCTATGAAATGGTTGCTAACTAATGCAGCTTTGGTCACTACTTGGGGCCCAGGATGAAAGGAGCTCAGCACCTCCCCTACCCCCCTGCTCAGAGTTCACTGTCCACTGAGACAGTGAGACATGTTCTGGCACATGAGCCTCAGGGAGAAAAAACTCTGCCCAACAGAGTCAGGGAAGGCTTTCCTAAAGAAAGGGACATTTAAATTGGGTTTTGAAGGCTGAGCAGGAGTTTTTCAGGTACAAAAGGGGGTTCAGGGCAGTCACGGCAAGAGAATCTGTGTACACGAAGGAATAGAAGTAGTCATGGGGACTCTCCCCGTGAGGACATGGCTTAGATCCCATTTGGTCTGTCTTCCACCATGATGCTGCAGTCCCCGGGGTATCTGCAAGGTGCATGTACGCAAGCATCCCCAGCAGAACAGCCCTAACAGCCTCTCTGTTCTCAGCCACAGGATGGTTATCGTATAGTCCAGCACCTCCAGTACATTGGCTGGCCTGCCTACCGGGACACGCCCCCCTCCAAGCGCTCTCTGCTCAAAGTGGTCCGACGACTGGAGAAGTGGCAGGAGCAGTATGACGGGAGGGAGGGACGTACTGTGGTCCACTGCCTGTGAGTACTAGGGAGGTGTCACCAGGGCAATAGGGTGGTGGGTGATAGAGCATCCTTGCAGATGCTGCTGGCCACATACCCCAGTCCTAGGCAGGCCTGGCTATACCACAACTCAACATCCCTCAAAGGCTAGTGGCAGTACATTCAAAGGAATTATGATCCTTTAATGGAACGGGGCTGCCAGTTTGTTGTCCTGAACTAATATATGACATATTATTGATGCAAAACCTAGTGGTCTTTCCACAAACATGAGAGGAGGTTGCCTGCTTCTCTACAATGGGCTTAAAGGGATCATAGGACAAAAAGAGCATGAGGGAAAGGCACTGCCCTCAGGGGCTGATAGATGGATGTGAAGGACTCTAGGAACACTATTGTGCAGGGGCACAGTGAGCTCCAGACCAGCTGTGTTTATACCCCCATTGCTGGGGTGAACTGGAGACTTTACCTCCTGTCTTCGAATGGACATTGTCCAGTCTAATGAATTCTGGTGTCATTACGCTGGGTGGAGGTCAGGACCTCGAGAGGACAGTGGCTGACAAGCTGTGCAACGTCAAGAAAATCACTGAATTTTATAAGCCTGAGTTTCCTCGTCTGTTCATTGGGTATGTGGAATTAGACAATCTTCAGACCTTATAGTGCTTTGGCATGAAATAGAAAGTGAACACACTTTATCTGCCAACATAGAGACCAAGAATGTCATGGTAGCAAATATGCAAACGTAAATGTAATTACTTAAAAGAGCAAGTGTCACAGAATCTATCCTGGGAGTATAGAGTGACCACAGAGGATTCTACAAAGTCTCACACCCAAAACAAATCTGCAGCCATAACAGCTATGTGTGAAATATTTGATTCACACTCACTTTGCTTCTTAGAACTTCAACGATTTGAGGAAAAGTCATTGAGAAGGCCTCTCTCTTTTAAAATGTTATGTTAAAGGAAATTTGAACGAAGGTCTTCTCTTTCTTACAACAAATATTTCTGGAGCTAGTGGAGGCACTGATAACATCTGACTGACCTCAGAATTGAGGTCAGTCTTTTCAAAACCAGCTAATTATTCTCCCTCTCAAACAGGTGGTGCATGCACATGTTAGGCAAGTCAAAGAGCTTAAAGGAGGTTAAACACACAGACACATAGAGATGCACACACAGAGCTTCAGGGCCACCACCTGCAGCAAAAATTCTTCTCCAGAGGAAGCAAACCTCAGGCTAGAGTTCAGGAAGATGCTGCGTAGTGTCCCAAGTCAGGCTGATGGGTGACATCAGCCAAGCCCAGCTGGCTCTGCCCACATCCCAGAAACTAGCAGCTGGTTTCCTGCCAGCTAATAGCTGCTGCCTCCAGATGCCCAGATGCCTCCCACACATTCAGGTGACCTTACCTTAGCACCCATCTTTCAGGGTCTCACACCACCAGGCCCTGAGACCCTGTGTCTACTCACCTCTTCCTTTTGGACGCTGTTATTCTTGCTTCAGAAATGATAGAACCGTCTTTCATAGGAGACCTTTCTCTCCTCTCTCTCTCTCTCATGTTTGTTTTTTAGCCTGCTTTTTTTTTTTTTTTTTTGCACTAGTGTCTTTTTATCTATGTCCTTTCCAGCCAAGGTGGCCAGTAGTTTGAGCCAAAGGAAGGTACAGGGGCATTCTTTTACCAACAGGGAACTTGGTTTCCTTGAGGGCCACAGACACCATAACAGACCTTGAAATGCAGGCACCAGTCAGTGAATGGAAAGCAACTCTCTGTACTTGAAACATCTGGTCACTGCATGTCCTGTAGATAAAACATCTGGGAGATTGACTGAGTGCCTTAGTTTCTGTCCAGATGTTCTTTAGACACAGACCATTACATGAAATCATTAGTTGCTCTTGGCAACACGCCCAGGAGTTCTGAATCAGGCATATTCCTACAGGGACTGTCTGTAAAGAGTTTGAAGGGTGTTTCCATGAAGATGATTTATGGAGTTTCAGAAAGGAGTAACAGAGACACAGTTCTGCCACCAACCCTGTATCCCTAGACTCAAGATCAGTAGCATCTTGCTTAAACCAAAGTGTATAGTAGAGACCTGTCATTTTAAGATAAAGCCTATCAGGACCAGTTCCTCCCTCCAAGTTCCTACCTCCAAGCTTGGGCTGGCTGACCCTAGGCTAACAGAGCATTGCTGTCCTTAGTGGAGGATGGGAAGAACTAGTAGGAAAATCACTTGGAAATTTTCATTGTCTTTATTGGATGTTTAAGTGGACCCAGAGCATTCTTTTGGACATGGATGCAAGCATCAGCAAGGATGCAGGTGTCACATGTACAAAGACACAGTACCATCCTGCCCTTGGGGTTTGGGTGAGTGTGCCCTGAGTGACTGTAACATGCTCATAGAACCAAGAAAACATCAAGCTAATTGAACTCTCAAAGGTCATCTAGTCCAACCCCTTCATTATACAAGTGGGGAACTTGGGGCCCAGACAGAGGAAGTGACTTGGCCAAGGTCAAAGCAAGTTAATGGCACAGATGGGACTCAAACCATAACTCATGGCTCAGGCTAAAGCCTTCACCATTGCCTTGCCTTGCATCTGCCCAGACAGCTGATCCCTACTCCTACTGATGTAGCTTTAGAATCATCAGGTGCCTGGAAGGGACCTAGGAACATGGCTCACCTCTTTGCTCTGTGTTTAGAAATGGGGGAGGCCGTAGTGGAACCTTCTGTGCCATCTGCAGTGTGTGTGAGATGATCCAGCAGCAAAACATCATTGACGTGTTCCACATCGTGAAAACACTGCGTAACAACAAATCCAACATGGTGGAGACCCTGGTGAGTATCCCAAGGACTGTTCTCCAACAGCCAGGGCTGACTAGTTCCCTTGACCTGGAGAAAATGACATCAAATAGTAACATCACTCAACACCTGGCTGCTAATTGTATACCTGCATTCTGTGCCCTTGGTATGCACTGTTGTCTGTCCTGTGTCTTCCCCTTCCAACCTCCCCAACTTTTCTTTCTTGCAGGAAAATCCAATTACTAATCCTGGTACACCTACTTTGCTTCACTTTCTGCCCATTCCTTAAGACAGTGTCATTAATTCAGGCCTAAAGGAAAGGATGCTGGATTAGTAGAATGTGAAGTATGTTTTCAATTCAGTCCAATTATATTCCAATTAATTTATGGTAATTTTTACAATAGAGAGCATTTATAGTAGAGAGTACTATGGAGGAAAGTGTGATAAAGAGAGTGTGTGGGCAGAGCCCCGGGTGATAAGACCTGGTACCATGGTGGACCACCGCACCATGCACGAGGAGCTTTAATATAAGTCTTTAAACCTACTCGAATAGTGGTCTTAGTCAAAATGAGGCCATATTAACGTGTGGGTCACAGACCAGCAGCAGCATCATTATCTGGGAGCTTGTTAGAAATGCAGAATCTTGAGCCCCACTCCAGATTTACTGAATCAGAATGTGCATTTTAAAAAGATTTCTGGCTGCCTTGTATGCACGTTACAGTTTGAGAAGCCCTGTTGTACAAAACAGTAAAAAAGAAAGGGAATGATGCCAGCTGGGCATTCGAGGAAGCTTGGGTAGAAGCAGGCATCAAGCAGAATTTTGAAGGATGTCCAGATATGGGTAATTTTGAGTTGACATAATATGGATATAGAAAAAGTTTTCTCCAAAATCTGTATCTCTAAACTAAATGCATTTTCCCTTTCCTTTTTCATCTCTCTCGTCTCCTCTTCTCCCTCTCTGCCTCTGCTCCTCTCCGCCTCTCAGGAACAGTATAAATTTGTATACGAGGTGGCACTGGAATATTTAAGCTCCTTTTAGCTCAATGGGATGGGGAACCTGCCGGAGTCCAGAGGCTGCTGTGACCAAGCCCCCTTTTGTGTGAATGGCAGTAACTGGGCTCAGGAGCTCTGAGGTGGCACCCTGCCTGACTCCAAGGAGAAGACTGGTGGCCCTGTGTTCCACGGGGGGCTCTGCACCTTCTGAGGGGTCTCCTGTTGCCGTGGGAGATGCTGCTCCAAAAGGCCCAGGCTTCCTTTTCAACCTAACCAGCCACAGCCAAGGGCCCAAGCAGAAGTACACCCACAAGCAAGGCCTTGGATTTCTGGCTCCCAGACCACCTGCTTTTGTTCTGAGTTTGTGGATCTCTTGGCAAGCCAACTGTGCAGGTGCTGGGGAGTGGGAGGCTCCCCTGCCCTCCTTCTCCTTAGGAGTGGAGGAGATGTGTGTTCTGCTCCTCTACGTCATGGAAAAGATTGAGGCTCTTGGGGGTCACTGCTCTGCTGCCCCCTGCAACCTCCTTCAGGGGCCTCTGGCACCAGACATTTGCAGTCTGGACCAGTGTGACCTTACGATGTTCCCTAGGCCACAAGAGAGGCCCCCCATCCTCACACCTAACCTGCATGGGGCTTCGCCCACAACCATTCTGTACCCCTTCCCCAGCCTGGGCCTTGACCGTCCAGCATTCACTGGCCGGCCAGCTGTGTCCACAGCAGTTTTTGATAAAGGTGTTCTTTGCTTTTTTGTGTGGTCAGTGGGAGGGGGTGGAACTGCAGGGAACTTCTCTGCTCCTCCTTGTCTTTGTAAAAAGGGACCACCTCCCTGGGGCAGGGCTTGGGCTGACCTGTAGGATGTAACCCCTGTGTTTCTTTGGTGGTAGCTTTCTTTGGAAGAGACAAACAAGATAAGATTTGATTATTTTCCAAAGTGTATGTGAAAAGAAACTTTCTTTTGGAGGGTGTAAAATCTTAGTCTCTTATGTCAAAAAGAAGGGGGCGGGGGAGTTTGAGTATGTACCTCTAAGACAAATCTCTCGGGCCTTTTATTTTTTCCTGGCAATGTCCTTAAAAGCTCCCACCCTGGGACAGCATGCCACTGAGCAAGGAGAGATGGGTGAGCCTGAAGATGGTCCCTTTGGTTTCTGGGGCAAATAGAGCACCAGCTTTGTGCATAATTTGGATGTCCAAATTTGAACTCCTTCCTAAAGAAACCCAGCAGCCACCTTGAAAAAGGCCATTGTGGAGCCCATTATACTTTGATTTAAAATAGGCCAAGAGAATCAGGCCTGGAGATCTAGGGTCTTGTCCAAAGTGTGAGTGAGTCAATGAGAGGGAACCAACATTTGCTAAGTCTCTACTGTATGCCAGGGATCATGCTTGGCACTTTCCATAGGACATTTCACACAGTCCTTAGAACCCCCAGGAGAGAGCTACTGACTTGTTATCATCTCCATTTGATCATCTCCTCCAATGAGGAAACCCACGCACCTTCCTTAGTAATGAAATCCTGGGTTCCAAAGGGGCAGGTAATGGCAATGAGACTTCTCCGTGCTGTTTTCTTCATCTTCTCTAAGCCAAGCAATTATTTTATGGAGGGAAAATAAGGCCAGAAACTTCTGAGCAGATAACTCCACAAATGGAAATTTAGTACTTTCTTCCTGATGCCAGTTCTTCTGGGAAGCGCAGAATTTCAGATATATTTTAGTAACACATTCCCAGCTCCCCAGGAAAGCCAGTCTCATCTAATTTCTTAGTCAGTAAAAACAATTCCCTGTTCCTTCAGGCTATGAATGGACCAGCCAGGGAAACTCTCGACCTTGATCTCTAGCCAGTGCTTAGGCCCAATATCTGACAGCCTCAGGTGGGCTGGGACCTAGGAAGCTCCATCTTGAAGGCTGGTCTAGCCCCAGACAGGGCATGAGGGGCAGAGAATTCAAGAAGGTACAGCTTTGGCCCTCAAGAGCCCACTGTATGCTGGGGAAATGGAACCATGGTGCAGTAGTGTGGAGTGGATGAGTGTTCCATGAGCCTAGGAGCAAGAAAGTCTCTTCGGCCTCGGGCTTCCTGGAGAAGGGGACGTCCATTCCTGCTGGGTCTTAACAAGCATAAAAAGGAAAAAAAGGAAACTCAGGCAAAGGGATCCATATGTGCAATGGCAAAGAAATGTGAAAAGGCATTGGGAGAAGCAGTCTGGGGGAGGCCAGCCCAGTGCGGGCACAGCACAACACGGGGAGCAGCAAGAGATGAGCCAGGGTCCAGGAGACAGATGCCCATCGCGAGTACAGACTTTGTCCTATTGGCAACAAGGAGTCCATGGAGCTTTAGAGAGATGCACTCAGCTTCGTGTTGGCCAAGACTCCTTCTGGGCCAATGGGGCTGCCTCTTTTCCTTTCATCAGACACTGTGAAAACATTCCCTTAAGCGTGCACTTTTTAATATCACATCTATTTGTCTGTCTGCTCATTGTTTTGTTGCTGGAACTAAATATGCAATGGATCATGAGACTCAGATTCTATGAGAAACCCAGGGTCTCTGCTTTACCACGGAGCAGGGTCACCAACCCAGATCTCCAGGCCCATGAGGATGGAACATGAAAGGAGCCGACAAAAGTTGCTTCCATTGGCATGGGCTCTGGAGCTGTCCAGAAGTCCAGGGACACCAGACTTGATCAAGGAAGGGCTGTCACTTTAGAGGTTCAAAAGGAAGTGCCTCAAAGCAAAGGCAAGCAAAGGAACCCCACGATGAACTTGCTCTTTTCCTTTGATGAGCCTCTCCCCAGGTGTATTTCAGCAGACCCCGGGGACCCACCCCCACTGGGCCTGCTGGCCTCCCTCGGCTCCAGCCCAATGCCCCAGCTGGCCTTCCCCAGCCTGCAAGGAGCCTGTAGCATGGCAAATCTGCCTGCTGTATGCTATTTTCTTAGATCTTGGTACATCCAGACAGGATGAGGGTGGAGGGAGAGCTATTTAACACAAATCCTAAGATTTTTTTCTGCTCAGGAAGGGGTGAAATAGCTGGCAGATACAAAAGACAGTGGCTTTTATCATTTTAAATGGTAGGAATTTAAGGTGTGACTTCAGGGAGAAACAAACTTGCAAAAAAAAAAAATCTCAGGCCATGTTGGGGTAACCCAGCAAGGGCCAGTGATGATTTCCCCCAGCTCATCCCCTTATTTTCCCACAACCCAACCATTCTCTAAAGCAGGACAGTGAATAGGTCTTAGGCCAGTGCACACAGGAAGAAATTGAGGCTTATGGATGGGGATGACTTCCCTAAGATCCCATGGGACAAGGATGTGGCAAGGCTTGGATGAGATGGGGCACCAGTGCCCAGGAATTTGAACATTTTCCTTTACCCAGGAAATCTCCGGAGCCAACACCACCACCCCCAGGGGGTCTCCCCACCCCACCCCATTTACAGGGTGAGCTCAGCCTGTCATGAGCAGAGGAAAATATTATTAATGCTCTCTGAGTCTTTACAACAGGAGCTCTTACCTCATAGATGTGGGCTCTGTTTGGGGAAGATGCAAGGAAGTAATGAGAAGCCCAGGAAATTTCTCCACCTGTGTTTATGGCCTAAATAGCTTCAGGATGTATCTTAGCTGCACTCCAACATTGCATCCTTTCTGGGGTGAAGAATCTGGGCCAACCAGGGGTCCTTGGGCCTCTAGAAGGCCACAGTAGGCCTCTCTTTGTGGGAATGGAAGGGGACAGTTTGCTTTTAGTGCTGGCCCTCTCTGTGGGTGTGGCCTGCAAAGGAACCAACAGACCCTATGCTGGGGACTCTAACATGTGAGCTCATTAAATTCTTCCAGCATTCTAAAGGAGGGTTTGTGATTGTCACCATTTACTGATGAGGAAACTAAGGCTCCTAGGGGAGAAATCACTTGCCCACAGTTCCACAGCTAGTGAGTGAATGAACCAGGATTTAAACCGGTTTTTTCTCACTACAGAGACAATATTTTTCCACCATTGTATCTCACATTTTTCCCAGGAGGTTACCCATAACAGAAGAGACTAGAGTGGAACAGATACGTCAGTGGATAAAGCTCAAAGCAAACAACAGTAAGCTTAAAATTCCTTCATAGTCTCATGTTTTACGTTCACAATTCATGCAAAATTTGCATTCCACTTTCTGATTTAGCCTTGTTGGTTTTAATATGACTCTATGAATATTTCAAAAAAAAATGTGCTCTGTTCCTCATGTTGTTCTGTTCTGTTCACCCCGCTATGACGGACCCTAGGTCAGCTGGTCTTCAGCTTGACCCTAGAATTGACTCTAGGAGCAGTGACCCTGCTGCCTCCCAGAGCCAGTTATAGGCTCAAGATCAAGACCAACTGACCTTCTCCTAGGCAGCTCCTTTGGTGTGTGGGTGCTCTGACCTCACTGTTCATGAGGGGACCTCAACTAAGGCATCTTCCAGTTGGGTGCTGGAAGGAACCCATTAACTCACACTAGAATGATGAGGATTTGCTCATCTGGCGTGGAGAAGGATGAGCCCACAAAACCCTAAAGGGAAAAGAGAAGCTGGACACAGCTGTACTCAGCAGATTCCTGAATGCTAGGCTGGAAAGTGGTGCCTGTTGTCCAAGTGGAGTCACATGGTTGCTAATGTGGGCAAGTCTGAGGACACACTTCATGAGCAGCTGGGGTCTGGAAGGCTCCTCACTTTACCCTAGCCACACATAATTACTGGGTGCCTACAGCACCTAGCACCTTGGAGGGGGCACTATTAGGAAATCGAGATTACTATGGCACAATTAATTCCTGGGTAAGGCATGGGGTTGTGGTGGACAGAGCTCAGTCTTTAGTTTGAACGAAAACATACATACATGAAAAACATACATGAAAAAAGGACCCTCATCAACATTAGAAGGGGTAGATTTGGAGCACTTTAGGCAGGAAAACAGGAACGCAAGGCCAGGAAACTGGAACCCAGTGAATACTCAGAACCGAGGATGCAGATGACTTATTTAGCAAAATGGTCACTTCTGTGACATAGCTGGAGAAAGGATGGGTAACAGCTTGCCAGAGCCACTTGGAACAAGGGCAAATCTCAGTGTCTGGGGCAAAAGATGATGCATTTCCCTCTGACCCATCATGTTTATTCATCCTCCACTCCCCATTGCCACACTAGCTCTTGCTGTAAGTCCTCACCAGGATCTACATTTCCTCGTCGCTGGTGGGAACCCCTTAGAGTACATAGAGGTATCAGTCCAGTAAGACTGCTCTACACAACAGAAGTGAGGCCCAGGGAGTAGCAGCCAGGCCCTTATCCTGTTACCTCTGCAGGAGTGACTGCCCAACCCAGATCCAGAGACATTGAAGGAAATGATAATTCCTTGGTACCTCACTGCCTTGGGACAAAATGAAGAAAGCCACCCTTCCTTAGGCTGCAGCTTGCCACTCCTGGGCTGGGTAAACAGGTCATCAGCACCAAGCTCAACCAGGAGTAACACTCTGGAAGACATGGGTGAGCCCAAGAGGAAGCATGAACAGGACGCTGTTCCTAAGTCATGTCAACAGGTTGTGCTGGGCCAGGATCCCCAGGGAAAAAAATGGTCAACCCAACTGGAGGGTAGGTTAGAAGAAAAAAAACATAAACGTGGATAGTCATGTCATCTCAAATCCCTGACTTGGCTTCCCCATTACTTAACAGTCTGAGCTCCTTCTTAGCCTGTGACCAGCTTCAAATCACAGCCAAGTAAAACAAGGAAATAGGAAAAGTAAATCCAACTAGAAGAGACAAGCTGAGATTCAGATTTGTTTACTCCTCCCATGCAAAGTTTCCCTGTTGGAGGTTTTCCATGTATACATGTCTAGAAGTGATAGAATGCAAGGCCTTGGCTTTGTCTTGCAGGGATCTGCCTTTGAGGTCATAGACTGAACAGCAGGGAGAGAGGTTAGTGGTGGAGTGTGGGGGGAGCTGTTCTAGCTCCAGTTTCTTCTGACACATTTTTCAGGATCATGGATCTGATCCTCCGAAGCACAGCAGAGATATCTAAGCCATATTTGTGCACATGAGCAGACTCTTCTAGTTTTTTAGTAACCAGGGATGGGCTTTTGCATGGCACTGACTATAGAGATGTCTTGTAGAGATCAAGCCAGTCTTTTGCATCCCACCTGCCCACCTCCAGAAGAGATGGGAAAAGGTCATCAAAGGGCATTCACCAACTGAAATCCACTCATGAATGTTAGGTCTCTAAAAGGAGGCATCAACACTCACAATGGTAGCCTCCAAACCTAGCATCCCACCTATCTAAGAGCTCAGGGGTGGTCCACTGGGGCAGATACAAGGGAAGTGCAAGGGCTCAGGATGAAAGAAAATCTATTGGGAAGAGTTTTAGGGGCTTGATCATTATGGGGCTTCCTTCTATATCTGAGAACTGCTCTGGGTGGTGAGATGTGGACTCTGATCCTTAATTGGAATGTTCGGAGAATGAGTGTCTGGTGGCCTTGAAGTGTTGGACAGAAAAGTATCAGTATAAAAGCCTGGAGCTCAGGGTAATTAATGTAGTTCATGGTTCCTTAGTGAGCAGGACTCTTGGATGTGGAGGAGAAAGGGTCATAGGAAGTAAACCACCAAAATTACAAAATTGAGTCTCTGTACAATTACTTCAGTGCCTTTGGGCTTATGAATACAAATCAGTGGGCCTTCTCTATGATGGTCCAACAAACTCTCAGTGTCCACCCTGTCCCTGTATCTCCCATGGAAGATGAATAATGTCAGGTGTTCTTTGGGTCAAAGGCCCCAGGGCAGTCTGGAGGCTTAGAGGGCAGAGTGGTGTCATTCCATGTAAAGTTAGGCTTCTGAGGGGTCAGGCAGAATATGGTGTCCATATCTTCCATAGCTCTGCAGATTCTTGGATGAAGTCAAGCACAGTTTGCTAGACCCAGGTCACTCCTCTGAGTATAACTAGGACCCATGAGTGAAACTTAATAGCTGTAAGGAAGAACCTGCTGTCTGCCAGAGAGGATAAGCTGCCCATCTCAGCAGCTGTCTAAAAGAAGGCAGGTGTCTCTTTAAAGGGAAGAGAAGCATTGGTGAAATGGATTTCAGGTCACTTCCATTCCAGATGGGTGAGATCTTGTGGAGCTGGGATCATGTTTGAACTCATTCATACCTGTAGAGCACGAATCCAAGTAGATTGTGTTTGGTCTGTACAGGCTGAAGCCCCCTGCTCTCCCACCCAAGTGCCCCCACTGAGCAGGCCAACATGCTGTTGTGGCCACATATACTGGGCTGATCCAGGCTGGTTATCACCAAACAGCAAACCATAGGGAACAGCTGCTTTGCCATAGACCCAATACCCATGTAGATCTCTCATGAGAGCAGCCATAACTCAGACCCACTGACCAACAGGGCCATGAGTGACAGCCAGAACCAGTGAAGGTCCAAGTAGGACACAGAGCAGGGCTTTTCTTACCATACACATTATCTCCAGAGGTTATTTCTACCCCACTCCCTATTCAAGGCCTGTTGGAGCACACTGCAAAAGCAAAAGCACAGTAACTCAATTTACACATGATTATAATCATTTCCAGTGCACACATTTCATCACCAGGTGGATCCTGAGCTAGCCCATGTAAATCCGGGTTAACCCATATTGGTAATCATACTCAAAAGCACTTTTCACCCTACATTCTACTAGCCAATCAAAGACAAAGAGTTGTGGCCTCTACCATTGCCTTGGCTTCTGGACACCCTCACAAGCTATCCCAAGGTTCCCGCTCAACTCCAGGGAGGCTGACATCTTCACATCCACTGGGCATATAATATTGCATGAGACCAAAGTCTCCACACTCTTTGCAGCCTCCTCCATGAATCCCAATGGCCTGCACTTGTACAGTTTGGGTGTTTGATAGATAAAGCACGTATGAGAAGAGAAAACAAAATAAATCAACTTTTTAAAAAAGCCAGCACTGTGCTGTCAATGTTTTTTTTTTCTTTTCAATTCTAGCTCAGAAAAGCAGAAGGTAAATAATGTCAGGTCAATGAATATCAGATATATTTTTTGACTGTACATTACAGTGAAGTGTAATCTTTTTACACCTGCAAGTCCATCTTATTTATTCTTGTAAATGTTCCCTGACAATGTTTGTAACATGGCTGTGTTAAAAAATCTATACAATAAAGCTGTGACCCTGAGATTCATGTTTTCCTAAGATATTCGTACTGGTGTCTTCCTGAGGTTGGGTAGGGATGAGGTGGGGACAAGTTGAAGGAGGAGGAGAAAAAATTATCAGCTAGGTTTCTTTATATTTAAGTTAATCCTTACATCACAGGAAATACATATTATTCCCTCTTTGCAGACGAAAAAGTTGAGGCTCAGAAACATCAAGGGATTTTCCATGACTGCACATTGAGCTAGTAAAAGGGTTGAGTGTAAAGTGGTGTTTCTCAAGTGTGGTTCATAGAGCAGTGGCATGAGAATCACTGGGAACTTTGTTAAACATACAGATTCCTAAGCCCAGAGAATCACAATTTCAGGGTCTGCCTTGGTAACGAGCTGCCTAAATGTATCAGCTAGCTATGGCTGCATAATAAACAACCCAAAACTCAGTAACTTGAAAGAAAAATATTTGATAGCAGCCAGCTAAGACTCTCTGATCTAAGCTGAGCTCAG